>NC_000023.11:20016275-20319306 GCF_000001405.40 Homo sapiens
GGCGAAGCCTTTCCTCCTCTGCCTTTCTTTTCAATTCCTCTCTCTCCAGCCTTTTGAGAATACAACTGTTGTTAGAAGATGACATGCTCGAAAAGCAAACTGCCAGAGAACTGTGTGCTGACAGCCGAGAATAATGCTCCACATGGTAACACACACACATACCTTTCAACGAGCATTCATTTAATAACATGATTCATCCTTCCTGGAAATCCACTCTGGTCCATATATTTACCAAAAAGTATTAACCAGGCTTGACTTTAAATTCTGTAATACAGCAATGAATGATGTGTTGATGTGTAACGCATACTGTATTGAAAACAGATGCTCCTCAGTCAATGAACAAATGACCACGGTGACAGAAAGCCAAGCCATCATTCTTATTGAATGACAATTCTTTTAAAACCTAAGCAGAATATTTAAAACCAATGAAAGCTAGGAAAAATGGGAAGTGTCTCAATGGCCACAAATGTGCCAGTCAGCAATTTAAGAGCAGTGACTACGAACTCAAAAAGTCATACCAATTTGGTTCTAATTGGTATGTGACTTATGAAGCAGCAAATGGAAGAAAATGCTCAACAGAAACTTGACATTTAATAAATTAAAACCTCTATTTCCATTTATTTTGGCAATCTTTAGAAATCTATTTTAGCTTTCTTTGCTATATGAAAATTAAGTGGCATTTAGACATTTTCATCCACAGTCAGATGAATGGTTCATGGTGTAATGGTAAAGAGCTCGAAGCAGTAAGGGAAAATCCTGTAAAGTCCAAGAGCTTGTTTTAACCTTTCTAATGTTCCTCCTCCTCACATGTACGTCACTTTCCTTGGGTAATCACTGGCAATGTGATGTATGGGCATGACTCAAATTGTACTCTGATTATGCCACTCACTGTGTGACACCTGGAAAGTCACTCAATGTTCTTGATGCCCATTTAAAAAATGGGAAAAGCTATACTATTGTTCTATGGCTTTACTGTGAGAATGAAAATGCCTGGCCCTAGAAGGTTCTCAAACGTTAGTTTGTTTTACAATTTAAAATGAATCCTCTCTCCAAGCCCCAATGTCCTTTAAAGTGCACCTATAAATCTGTATGTCCTTTAGAAATTACCTTCATTTGGAAGCATGTGCCAATGACTTACTGGGATGCTGTTGTTATAAAAAGGTCAAGACTTAAAAAGAGCATCCATCCATCCTAATGGTCAGCTTCAGAACTTGTGCAGGCTAACAGCCTATGTATGACCAAAGGAAATATTTTGTTTATTCATTCAAAGAAATATTTTAAAAGAAAGATAAACAAATACTTAAATATATTAGCCTGAGACTGTAACAATACGTGATAACACTAAATTAGGTCACAATGCCTATAAACCATTGTGAAACAACTCAAATTATTAACAGATATTCTGGAGAGGAGCATTATAGAACCTATCAGAAAGAAGCTCCCATTTTCTTAGATTCCTCAATGAAATACTATGTCCAACACAGGATTATCCAAAATGGATGTGTTAATAACAAGATGTATCTAAAGGTTAACTGAAGTACCATTTCATTTCTTACCCTTTATTAACGAGCCAATTATGATTGTCCCAGAGAAGTTAACACACAAAGGATACATTGTGTATTAATTAATGTATAAGCTACTTCATAAAGGACCTGCCGTCTTCATCTCCAGGACCTGAAAATCCATTCTCTTTTTTTTTTTTTTTTTTTTGATGGCGTTTCACTGTTGTTGCCCAGGTTGGAGTGCAATGGTGCAACCTTGGCTCACCACAACCTCTGCCTCCCAGGTGCAAGTGATTCTCCTGCCTCAGCCTCCCAACTAGCTGGGATTACAGGTATGCGCCACCATGTCTGGCTAATTTTGTATTTTTAGTAGAGACGGGGTTTCACCATGTTGGTCAGGCTGGTCTCAAACTCCTGACCTCAGGTGATCTGCCTGCCTCGGCCTCCCAAAGTGCTAGGATTATAGGCATGAGCCGCTGCACTTGGCCTCTGTTTCTTGTTTTTTACCATCAGGACTTCAGAAGTGCCCAGATGCACACATGTAAGAACATCCTTATGGCCCCTGAACCTCCATAATCCTCATTATCACCCAAAATATAAATCCCCACAAGCCCATGAGACCCCGCTTGTCCTTTCCATAGCACCTCCAGGGAAATCTTGTCCTTTTTTTTTTTTTTTTTTTTGAGATGGAGTCTCACTCTGTTGCCCAGGCTGGAGTACAGTGGTGTGATCTTGGCTCACTACAACCTCTGCCTCCTGGGTTCAAGTGATTCTTGTGCCTCAGCCTCCCAAGTAGCCGGGACTACAGGCATGCGCCGCTATGCCCAGCTAATTTTTGTAGTTTTAGTAGAGATGGGGTTTCACCATGTTGGCCAGGCTGGTCTCGAACTCCTGACCTCAAGTGATCTGCCTGCCTTGGCCTCCCAAAGTGCTGGGATTACAGGTTTGAGCCACTGTGCCCAGCCCCTTCATCCTCTTATATACCAAGTTCTCTCCCTTAACCACACTTTGCTTCCCTAAAGTAGGTAAAATTCAACAAAACAAACAACCCTGGCTTCCCCTGTGTGAAACCAGGTCCCTCACAATCCTCTCCGAGGATGAGCATTCCTTCTGTCTCTGCTCAAAGAACCAGACAGCACATTAGATTTCATCATTTTCCCCACCGCCCTCTGCCGTGGGCTACCCCGAGCCTACCGCCCTTGCCGTCATTACTAAACCTCCAAAGTTCATCAGCTCTGTGTGTAGTCCTTTTTTTTTTTTCTTTGTAGAGGCAGGGTTTCGTGCTGTTGCCCAAGTTGGAGTGCAGTGCTGCCATCACAGCTTACTGCAGCCCCAACCTCTCAGGCTCAAGCGATCCTCCCACCTCAGCTCCCAAGTAGCCAGGACCACGGGTGAGTGCCACCATGCCTGGATCATTTTTGAATTTTTTTTTAATAGAGACAGGTCTCATTTTGTTGCCCAGGCTGGTCTCAAACTCCTGGGCTCAAGTGATCCGCCCACCCCATTCTCCCAAAGCACTGGGATTACAGGTGTGAGCCAGTGCCTGGCCCTGTGTGTAGTCCTGTCACCCTCTCCATCCTTGTTCTTGTCATTCACCCAAGTCCCTCTCCCTTTCCTCACTATGTACAAAGTACCAGAAAACTGTGCATTACTGTCATCATTTGGCATTCAGTGGATGCATCATCCCTTGTCCCTGTCACTGGCCATTTGAGGAGGATCTTCATATATTGGCTCCTGTCTGTTGGAAACTCCAGCACCTCGCCCCCTTTTCTGTCGCTCCCTGTTAACCTTCCTCATGTCACTGACACAAACTTAAACTTGAATTGTTCAATCTGAGGGACGAGTATGTGGGTTTCACTGGTCTCTATTCTTACGTGCTTAAAAGTTTTCATTTTAAAACAAGCCTAACCTTCAACATTAATCTTCTTTGATCTGATCACACCCCATCCTTCTGCCTTTTTCTCTCCTGACCTGCCCTGGTTAGCGCTGTGCAGTCTACTTGCGTCTGCTTCCCTCTCTCTCAGTGTTCCCCAGGCCTTAGGTACCCTTGTGAGCATTTCAGAGATGGCATGGAGGTCACTCTGCTGCCCAACTCCAGGCTTGGGTGGTTTCCAGGACCACTCCTGGGCTGCCAATCACTGGTTAGAGAGAGGTGTAAACGAGGCTGGCTGGTTATCTGCCTGCTGGCAATTGCATTCCGGCCTTTTAATCCTCATCCCCTGGATCCCTTATGGACACAGTCCCAATTACCACTTTTCTCAATCTTCGTCATCTTCCTTAGTTGATGCTTATCACCAACTGCTATACAGAGAAGACTGAGGCCACCTGATCTGAGCTTCTTAAACTCTCCTCTATGACATTACTGCTCAGAAATGTCCCCATTTGTTCCTCTGCTTAGATGGAAATGCCACCACTTGTGCTGTGAATTCCACATCCTCCACAGCTATGTGTCCCTCCCACTAGCCCCTCTTCCCTTCATTTGTCAGTTTCAACCTTCTGCATGCATGTTTTCCATGCCCTGGAAAAATGCTCATGTCTCGGGAATCACAAGCAACCCTCCTCAGTCCTCTCTCAGCTGCTTCTCATTCATGACTGCTTAACAGCCAGCTTATATTCTGGGCCTGTATCCACTCATCTCTTCAGGCTGCTTTGTCTCTATCCTACTTCTCAACAATTTCCCTCCAAAATCTCTTTTCATCTCCTAAATCCCAAGACCAACAGCCTTCGTCTTTGATAAGCCTATGTCTTATCAAAAGTCCTGCCCATGTGGCTCTCCCTACAGCCCTGTGCTACATAAGGCTGCATGACCCTGGCTCTCTCCTACCTCTCTTGGCTTTCCCTTCCTGCCTCAGCTGCTGCTACATCCTGCTGCCCCACATCGCATGTGCCCCCACCTGCCCTAGCTCTCACCAAAACCACCTGCCACCTGTAGGCTCAGCAGCAAAAAGCCAGGTCTGAGCAGCCTCGAAGACCTCTGCCTGTGGTTCCTGGCCTGGGCTAACTCTTGCTTCGACAAGAAACTTTAGCCTGCCTACGTGACCTTGCTCGTAGGGAGCTGTCTAACTGGAATATTCTCTTTCCTTCAATTTTTTAAAAAGATGGGGTCTCTCTACGTTGCCCAGGCTCAACTCGAACTCCTGGCCTCTAGTGATCCTCCCACCTCAGCCTTTCAAGTAGCTGGGACTACAGGTACAAGCCATTGCGTCTGGCTGGAATATTCTTTCATGTGAACCCCTAGTAGCTATTTTAGCTTTTTAACATGACTTAAAGTGATCCGTCTAGGAATCCCATTAAGATCTCCTGCTTACTAGTTCCTGCCAGTGCCTTCCCCAGGGTGGACCCGGCGTCTAAGGTTTCCTGCCCCACCTCTAAGAATCTCACTTTATATCTTGGGCCATCCACAGCCTGGGGGCTGGGCCCTGTTGTGTTTGGGAATGGACCAACTTTTGTTCTTCTGCTTAGGGCCTGCTTGTCTGGACTCCTGGTTGGCCCTTCTGTTCTGGTTCCCCCATCCTTGACTTGGATGGTGTTTCCCTTACCAGTTTGTGACAATAATTGGGCTTTCCACGGTTTGACTCAAGTAACTTTATTTTTCTCTAAATTATTTTATCTGGCAACATTTCTGTGGCTTTAACTATTAACTGTAAACATAAAACAGATGTGAGGATGATCTTATTCCAAGAGGTGGCCGCTGTGTTCCAGCCCCAGGTTGTCTGGTACTTTCCTTCCTCACTCCTCACCTCCCACGTGGCACTATGCAAAGCTTCACATTCTGGCAAGAGAGAGGAAAACTCATTTGGGGTCGAGTGTATTGCTCTAATTTTTACCTACACCCCCAACCTTCAATTCCATCTCCAATCATCTGGACGTACTGTAGACACCATAACCTCACCTAAAATCAAATGAATAATTTTTATCTTTTAAAACCAATTCCTTATGTCCTTTCTTTACCTGTTATTGGGTGTACCATTCTCCTAAGACCTTAGAATCAAACCTCAGCATCAACTTCAAATCTGCCCATTTCTTTGGCATTGTGTAAGTCCACAGAGACTGGCTTTTGCATGTCTGCCTTCACCATACTACTTTAGCCCTTCTGTTCTCTTAACCTACTACTACGATGGTTTCTTAGTCAGGATTCTTCCTCCTTCTGTTCCTTTCTTGTACATTTACTGAGCGCCAGGCACCAGTGATCCAAAGACTATGTCCCAGCCTTTTAAGGTGCTAACTGGGGAAAGGAGGCCTGTAAACAAATGAAGCTATGTTAGTCAACTGAACAGCTGGGCTCAGTATGGGTGAAGAGTGGGGGGTGGTCAGTTCTGTCCCAGGCACAGGGCCAGAAAAGGTACAGGGAGGGAGCAAGACTTGACCTGCATTTTGAGAAATGAAGAGGTGTCTGGCAGGAAGGAGCACAAGTCCACGTGGGGGCAAAGTAAAAGCACAGCTTTGGAGGTGTGGAGCCGTGTGATGGGTGAATGTCAGGGAGCTTTGCACACTGGTGTCTGGAGGAAAGCAAGGAGTAAGAGGCAGGTAGTGGTCAGTTCACGGCAGGCCTTGAAGGCCTGTTGACAGGTTCGGGTGGATCCAGTGGGCAGGGGAGTCACTGGCTTGTTAAAGGACAGGAGAACAATCACATTTATTTGAGAAAGGTCAGTGTGGGCCCAGCGTGGACAGGGGACAAACTCTAGGAGACCTAGAGCAGGGAGCTCAGTTGGGATATAACAGATACAGTCCAGGTGAGAAGCGATGGGGGCTGGAGCTGAGGAAGGAGAGGAGGGACGGGAAGGGAAGGGAGAGAACAGAGATGCCAATGTGACAGCTGATGAAGACTGGACCTGACAACCATTGGGAAGAAGAAGGAAAGGAAAGAGCTGAGAGTAGCACTGAGACTTTTCACTTGGGTGTCTGAGGAGATGGGAACACAGAGCTCATGAAAGAGAAGGGAAGTTTGGGGAAAAAATACTAAGTTCTGCTTTGGAAATGCTGGATTTGAGATGTATATGGGACACACTCAAACGAAAACTTATTGCAGCTGGAAATACAGTCTCTAGGTTCTAGACCAGTGCTATCCAATAGAACCTTCTGTTGAGTAGGAAAACAATCTATAGATTTGTGCTGCCCAATGTGGTGTGGATCCACATCTACTCAGATGCAGCTCTTGAGCACGGAAATGTGGCGGGTGTGGCTGGGGAAATGAATTTTACTGAATGTATATTTTGGTGGCCACATGTGCCTAGAGGGTCTGATAGTGGACAATGCAGCCCTAGACAGAGCTTGGGCCACAGGCATAGTTTTAGGAGTCATCAGTACACATGTGTTATTAGTGCCTCCCTTGTTCCAGAAAGTATGGAAGGTTTAGAAAGCAAGCTGCAGTTAGCTTCAGAAACGGACAATAAAACAAGACAAAGGGAAAATGAAGGTGGGAAGTGAGATGAGAGCAGAGCTGGTTTAGCACAACAAAGGCTCAACAGAAAGCTGTTGTGTAAAATGTGGGCCCTAAATCTTTTGACGCCATAGGAAACTGGCAGGATGGCAGGGACACTGGCAGAACAGGCGGGAGCAGTGCTGTTCGGGAGAGCTTGTTGGGAGAGAAGCTGGTCCAGGACTAAGGGCTGAAAGCCCAGGCAACATTTAAGGGGATGAGGGGCAGACAGAGGAGGCTATGAAGGAGAGGCCAGAGAAGCAAGGGCAAGCTTGACAAGGCCAAAGCCAACCAAGAAACTGATTAGTAGTTAGGCAACGAGGAGGAGTGGTAGGTGTGAGGTTTGAAGACTGAATGTGAGTTGAGAAAATAAAGACAGAATGTTCAATCAAGTCTTTCAGGAGCTGGGCTGTGAAGAAAATGGGAGATACAGACGGTGGTAGCTGGAAAGTAAAGAACATCACCTTCTTTAGCACACGACTACGATCATGTTACTCACCAGCTCAGAGCCTACATGGTATCTCCATGGCCTGCAATTATCAAGGCCTGTCATCTGAGGTCCTGTGATTCATCTTTATCTCTTGTGACCTCCCTTCACACACCTTAAGGCCCACCCAAACCAGCCCAAACATGCCACTCGACAAAACAAACAAACAAACAAACAAAACACGTCTGTATTGACCAAAATGTTGGAAACAGGAAAACAATCAAAGAAGTCCCAAATTTCAAGAAGGGACTGTCGAGACCTACCCCACTGTCCCTTTTAAAAAATAGATCAGCAAACCTGTAATCAGAGACCACAAAGACTTACCAAGGTCACTAAAGGATCAATAATATTCTATTATTTATTACTCTAAATTCGGTGCTGGCCTTGAAGTGCTACAGCATTGCCTGCTTCCTGTCATGATAATTCTCTAAACAGTATTGGATTGTACTCTGTGATGAGCCTAACGGCTTCCTTTATCAATTTAATGATAAAATCGACCTTGTCCTTCAACATGCTTTCCTCTCTAAATAAAAAGATCAGAAAAGGAAGGTCTGTCTGTATTGTGACAAAGTACCCTGGTACTAACATCACAGTGGTTCTCAAACCCTGGCAAGCTACTAAAACAGAACAGGGCTGAGTCCATGTGTTTTTACTGCATTCCCCGGATGATTCTGATGCTCTTCAAGGTGTAGGGACCACTGCAATGATGTCTTTTGTCTTGCTCCCAGATGGGACTCCCCATACCTCACTGTTCTTAGACTATGCGGTTGCCCCTACACACAACCCTATGCCTAGGGGACACTGCTCAACCCTCCCCTCTGTCTCTCACTTTGGGGTGTGAGTTAGGATAATTTGACGGAGGAAACAATTTGGAAATCAGAATCAAGACCAAAACCAGAATCTTGAACCTCTTGTTTTCCCAGGGAGAATCTCATTTTTTAAACAAAGTTCAGACTTCCCTGATAGCTCTAGGAGGCCTGCCTGGCCCCAAAGTCCAAGAGGAGAATGGGAAGATGCCTGTGCCATTTAGATCCAAGAGCTATGAGTTTCCAGGTCCTCCGAAAAGAACAAAGTTCCATTGTTATTAATAATTACATCTAATATAAGACTCAGTCTCCTGAACACCTTCCATGTAGTTCAGACATTCTAGGTTCCCATACTTCTGTTCAAGTTTTATCAATACCAACGCTGTAAAAAGAAAGGCAAGCTGCTCTTTCCAACACAACAGTTACATGAGATCACACCGAAATTCTGAGCACTAGCATACCTATCTTGTTCTTCCTTCTCCAGTCGTTCTTGCTCCTCCTGTTCCTTCTGCAGCCGGGCCTGTCTTCTCTTTTCAGCCAAGATCTTCGCAGCCTCTCCTGCATCAGTGGTGCCTGCTGTGGGCTTCCCCAAGGCTGCACCAGAGGAGAGGCATCAAGAGGAAAAGATCAAGGGAAACGAATATAATGATTCCACTCACACAGCAGCTGCCAGTTGGAAGTGAAAAAAAATCCAACCCAGTGTGGTGATGGGAAATGCCGTCCAGACTAGCACAATCGACCACCAAGCAAGAGAAGCTGTCATGGGCTGGCTGGAACCCTGGACGCATTTTACAGTGGAAGACAATAGAAACATGAGGAGGAAAGACAAGGTCACTAGCAAGTGCCACAGCAGCCACCATCTGGGTGAACTCACTGCATCATAGAAGCCTGAAAGTCTAAAGGAAGATCTTCTTTTGCGTGAGGTGCAGATGCAGGCCTGTTTTACTCAGCATCCCCGTGAGCTTCCACAGCCATGAGTGGAGTCAGCCTCTAGATTTCCTCCAGGGGACCCTCAGAAGACTGAAGGAAAGAACTCAGGAGCAACGTGCAAACCCAAGAAAGCTGCACGAGGGGATGCACTTGTCCCCAGAGAAAAATCCCTTTCCCTCCCCAAAACATGAGAGAATGGCACGTGGATTGGGTCTGAGGAGAACCGTCTTGGGAAAGCCAAGGCACGGTGGCAGCATCTACCTGCGCTGTTTTCGGCTTTCCCTCCTGCGGCAGCAGCATGCTTCTCGCTGGCATGCTTGTCCACTACATGCTTCTCTAGGGCTTCCTCTCCTTGCGGGCCAGCAGCCTGCTGAGCCAAGGTACCTTCCCTTTCCTTGTTGCTCTTCTCTTTCTCCGCTTTCCTCTTGGGCATGTCTTGGCCAGAAAGGGCAGGTAAGCGGTACTTCACAGGAGACCCTGGGTAGGGAGGTTTCGTTGTCTTTGGAGACTGTGGATAAGCTTTAGTAGCTGTCCTGGAAAACAAAAAATATGCCAGAGGATGATTACTGGGCCTGAACACAGAGCTCTCTGTTCCTAAGACACCTAGTTCCAACAAGCTGAACAATTTCATCCTTCCAGAGGAAGGAAAATAGGGCTTAGCACACACTCAAAAGTCACTAAAGTGCTCTCAGCCCAACAGGAATATACGGTCTCTCTAAGACGGCCCTGGTGGAAAGGGAAACATTTTAAGAAGCCCAGCTGATGATGCCATGTCCTAATCTCACTTAGGTTTCATGACAATGTAAAGATGGAGTATTAGGCACTTCCCTACTCCCTCTTTTTAGGTGAACATCAGGGTTGAATCTGGTTTCAGCATATGGCAATGAACATGCTGGCTCCTTTTAAAAAAATTGTGACAAAACATATATAACACCAAATTTACCATTTTAACCATTTTTAAGTGTACAGTTCAGTGGCGTTCAACTCTCCATTCCCCTCCCCTCAGCCCCTGGCAATCACCCTTCTACTTCCTGTCTCTGTGAATGTGCCTCTTCCAGGTGACTCGTATAAATGGAATGACACAGTATTTGTCCTTTTATGTCTGGCTTATTTTACTTAGCAAGTCTTCAAGGTTCCCCATTTCTTTTTAAATGCCAAGGAACACAGCCAAGAGATGGGGATGGGGGGTGTTTTTTGGAGGGTCTCAGGTTTAAAAGAATCTCTCTTCTCCCAACTGGGCAGATGCAAAAGGTGAGGACAAGCCACTTGGTTAAAACACAGGAGCTCGTCTTATGTCTGCTGGGAAAGGGTCCGTTACAGGTACGCCAGCCTAGGCTGGGCTCCTGGTGAGTGCTGCTTGTTCAGGACAGGGGTAACAGCTTAGCTTGAGATGCCCAGTTTCCCTAGAGGTTTGAACAGGGATGTGGGCATTTGTACAGAGTTCCTCTAGGAAGGATATAAAGTAATGTATACAGAAATTACAAGTCATCACCCTCAATCCTCAGCAGGTTGAACCATGAATTGCTAATATCTGACTTTTTTGATCTATAAAAACAGCAATAAAAATGGCAAATCACCCTGATATTCAAAGACGATTTTTCACCAGAGGCTTAGAGTTACCAAATCAGATCCTGCTAATAAGGGGAAATATGATCAGATCAATATTAAACTTGGTCTTGAAGGAGAAAAGAATCCTCAAGTGGCATGTGGACTTTCATATTGGCCAAGTGGCTTCCCTGTGTCCTCATGCCATTAGGCCTGGAGCAACTCAGAACTCCCAAGACACCTTGTCTTTGTGGATGGTGCTTCGACTCTCTGCAGACTATTCTCCCCTCTGGCCTTGGGCTCAGGCCCCACACTCGGGTTCTCCTAAGGGATGTGGTTTTTCAGAGTGCTTAGCAATCAGGTGGTTTTTTCCAGGTACACTATATAACGCTGATCTTCTATTTTTTCCTAGACTTTTACCAAATAAAAGCCATGCAGAGAATCCCCCTGCCCCGCCATACATATACGCCCGCAGAGCAGGCTTCCTCAACCTGGCATCACTGACATTTGGGGCTGGATAGTGCTTTGTTGTGGGGTTGTCCTGGGCACTGTGGGATGTTTAGCAGCATCCCTGGCCTCCATTCACTAGATGCCAGCAGCAGTCCGCTCCCCACGCAGGTTATGACAACCAAAAATGCCTTCAGACATTGCTAAACGTCCCCTTAGGGACAAGATCTCCCTCAACTGAGAATCCCTGAGACATGGGGTAGGGCGGGGAGGGAGAGAGGGAGAGAGAAAGAGAGGGAGAGAGGGAGAGAGAAAGAGAGGGAGAGAGGGAGAGAGAAGGCGGGGGGAGAGAGAGAGAGAGAGAGAGAGAGAGAGAGAGACAGAGACAGACAGAGACAGAGACAGATGCACACACACTCTGTCTGTACCCAGTAGGTAAGAGTGGAGCTGTTCTGCTTGGAGGGGTAGTGTCCAATCCCCATGGTGACCTTGAGGCTCCTGAGAGCCTTGGCTTGAGAGGTAATGTGTGAGTGCCTCTACGATTCAGCACGTTGAGTCCTCATGTGTTCTGACACAGTCAGACCAGGTCCTTACCCTGGCCATTTGGAGCTCAGACCTCCATTCACACTCTCTGCAGTTGTGTCCATGTTTACTGAGTGCTGTCTACACACCAGCCACTAGGCTGCTAAATGTCTACAGACACATATTTGTGTACATATGTGTGTAAATGGTATGACACAGGTACTATTATCATGGCCTCTTTACAGATGAGAAAACTAGGCTTAGAGAGGTGAAATGGCTTCCCACAGTGAACTAAGCCACAGAGCCTTCTTACAGCTCTGCTCTACTTCCTGTGTTGCCAGCGCAGCTAAGTCTGAGTTTGGGGTCACCAAGACCCCAAGATGTTCTTTATAGAACTGGCATAGAGTAGGCACTCAATAGCTGTTAGGTATTGGTGTTGATCAATTAGATGATAAACTAAAAATCCAAATAATCCTCACAGACAAGAATGAACCAAAACCAGGAAGATGAACTGTAATAACAGGGGAGCCCATGTCCTGCTTGCTCACACTGACAGTGCTCCATTGAGCATGGTTTTCCAATGAGTTACACAATGTGTACTAACTGTACACATTAGCTGAGCCTGCATTTAGTCTCAGTTAATATGTATAAAGATACAGCTGGTGGTCTTTTGCTTGGCCACGTCTTCCTTTCACGCTGTTATCTAAGGTGAGTGGCGCCCACAGTAGAGCTGTATACCCGCCACCCAACCACCACGAGGGTGTCTCAAAAGACTTGGTCTAGTGCCTTGCCAAGATCAAAGCACATTATCTCTCCACTGGATTGTCACGTGAATGATATGTGTCCTTTGATCCAACAACAGTACAAGGGCAGGGAGTGGATTTGAAACTTGGCGATAGAGGCTGTAGGAAAGACTATCTCGTGGTAGATGATAACAGATGGAAACACTTTCTCATCCCATAAGCATTCCTACCTTGACCTGTTGAGGAGGACTTTCTGGCATTGGAAGGCCTGGCAAATCTCACCTGATCTTCTTGCTTGCCCTCACCCTCCTCCCCGTGGAATGAGGTACGATTTCTCTGATTGGTGAGAATGAGCAAAGCTGCTGGGTGTGCACAACCCTGCCTGTTCTTGTTCTCTCCCTGGAACTGGCCTGCGAGCCCACACTCTGGGCTTCTCTAAGCAGTATAGAAAGAGTTGGGCTCTGCTTCGGGGGTCCCTGAAGTGTGCTGGCACTTCTGCCCATGAATGGGTAGGCAGACAAGAAGCCTTCCTGCAGACATGACTCCGACCACAAGGGTCTCCAGGGCTGGACTGGGGGGAGTGGGTGGGAGGCCTGAACTGGCTGCAGCCTCAGCAGCCATAGCCAGCATCTGAGTTCCAGCACAACCTCTGTGTCTGCTTAAATGGCTCACACACTCAGTCAGTGTGGCAGGAGCCTGTTGGCTATGTCAGACCCATCTAAGTAAATGGAAATGCAGGACAAGATCCTAATCCTAGGGAGAAAAGGCCAGGGTGGCCTAGGTGGGGGAGGTTCTGACAGCCTCAAGTTGGCATAGCCCTGAACAGCCTTGCTTGTTTTAAGAGAATGGTCACATGTAGGTTCAGTTCACGCCACAGACTGCGAGGTTCCATTCTAAATAAAACTGGACCAATTACCCATGAGCACACATTTAAAAATAACTTCTACCTGAGAAGTAAGGGTGGATTCTTTGGGATAAAGCTCATTAAGAAGTCTGTTTACAGTCCCCGACCCCAGCCCCTGCCCAATAAACAGAGTAAGTTAGAAAACACACACACTTGTATGCACACACAAACATGACCTTCAAATTAGAAAAGTGTGGGCAAGTCATAGATTTTTTTTTTTTTTACAGTGAGTGAACAAAATACAGAATTAAAAAAAAGAAGTTCCCAATGTTATCTACAATCTGTCAAGTTTCCTGCTCATCCTGCTTTGCCACTTGCTTACATGGACTTTGTACCCTGTCAGCTGCCCTGCAAAAGTGCTAAGCACAGGTATCCGGAAGAAACTAAACCACAAGGCTGGTATGTCAGACTGCACGGCTCTCTGGCCAGCCCTGCTCACATTGCTGAAAGCCAAAGAAAGTCTGGCAAGCTATTTTTCAATTTCCTGGAAATAGGTATTTTGGCTGATTTAAGAAATATGAATTAATTAGGGGAACTCACTGTGCTTGTATGGAGGTTTATTCTGAAGTACCTTCTCATCTATTTAACAAGGGTCTATTTGATTGCCACAGTAATCCAGTGAGGTACGTAGGAAATTGCTATTAACCATATTTTACAGAAGAAAACCAAAGTCCTAAGAGTTTAAACAACCTTTCCCAAAGAAATGCAAACAGACAAGAGTACCAGGGCTGGCACTCAAGGCATTTGTTCATTGTCTCACTTTTTTAGCTCTTCCACTTTAATTTTTTAAGGTCCAATAAAAATATAACAAAGGGGATTCACAAGGTGTGTTTAGGATGGTAAACTAGACCTTCTAGGAACATAAGGCAGTATGATATAACCTTTTAGGTTCCATGACTGGCAGAAAATACGAACAAACACCTCTGTAAACACAGTGGCAAGAATAACTCTCTGGAGAGGGTTGTCATGCCTCTGAATGTGAGTTGACTGCAAAGTGGAACCCCCAAAAGACTTTTTTCCTCCAATCTTGGAATCTAGTTCCATGTTCTCCAAAACCACTTGACTCCATGCACAGTGAGTGAACACGGCCCACTCACTGCATGGGAGGGGTCTTGGCTTCATCAGCACAGCTCAGCCAACATTCAGAAAAGTTTGTTACTTCCTAGATAAGAAAGAGCAGCAGTTTTATACCGGAGAAACCTGGGAACACCACCTTAATCCAGTAATCAAAGTTAATATCACCAGTAATTAAACAAACTGACATCATAGCCTCCTGATAAGAGGTACTGAGAAGGACCCAACACCTCTGCCACGAGATTCCTGCCCAAAGAACACAACCTGAATGCAATCAGAGGAAACGTCAGGCCTATCCAAACTGAAGGCAGTCCTCAAGACGACTAGCCTATATTCTTTAAAAATGTCAAGGTCAGCCGGGTGCAGTGGCTCACGCCTGTAATCCCAGCACTTTGGGAGGCTGAGGCGGGTGGATCACGAGGTCAGGAGATCGAGACCATCCTGGCTAACATGGTGAAACCCCGTCTCTACTAAAAATACAAAAAATTAGCCGGGTGTGGTGGCATGTGCCTGTAGTCCCAGCTACTCGGGAGGCTGAGGCAGGAGAATCACTTGAACCCGGGAGGCGGAGGTTGCAGTGAGCCGAGATTGCACCACTGCACTCCAGCCTCAGTGACAGAGGGAGTCACCATCTCGAAAAATAAAATAAAATAAAATAAAATAAAATAAAATAAAATAAAATAAAATAATGTCAAGGTCAGGAAAAAGAATGGCTGAGGAACTGTTTCAGTTGAAAGAAGACTAAGAAGGTGAGACAATTAAATGCAATGTGGGACCCTGGGTTGGACCCTGGACCATGAAAAAAAAAATGATATAAAAAATCTTATTGGGCCAGACCTGGTGGCTCATGCCTGTACTCCCAGTACAAAGGAGAGGGCGAGGCAGGCAGATCACTTGAGGTCAGGAGTTTGAGACCAGCCTGGCCAACATGGTGAAACCCCATCTCTAATAAAAACACAAAAATTAGCCAGGTATGGTGGTGTGCCCCTGTAATCCCAGCTACTCGGGAGGCTGAGGCAGGAGAATCACTTGAACCTGGGAGGCGGAGGTTGCAGTAAGCCGAGATCACAGCACGGCACTCCAGCATGGGCCACAGAGCAAGAGTCTGTCTCAAAAAAACCCAGAATCTTACTGGGACACCTGGCAAAAGTTGCACATACATTAGAAATTAAGTAACAGTACCAAGTTAAACTTTCTGATTTCCATAACAATGGAAAATAATGTCTTCGTTCTTAGGGGCAAAGGGGTATGATGTCTGCAAGTTACTCTCAAACGGTTCTGGGAGAAATCTGGGTATGTATGTCTGTGTGTGCATCTATGGAGGATGAATGTGAGAGACTGTGCAAGACTGAGTGAGGGTGATAGGGGATGGGAAGGATGACAGAAATGTGGCTACACATTAATACAGGATAAAAGGTGGGGAAGAAAGAGTTCTGTGTTCTAGTCTTGTGATTCTTTTGCAAGGTTGAAATGATTTCGAAATTTAAAAGCTGAAAAAATTGGTCTAAATTCAAATGATCCTCTGATAAGACTCAAAAATACAGGACTGAGTGAGTATATAGATATGGCTGCAAGGAGGGGACATCACTTGACATTTTCAATTACCCTCTTCAGGAAGAATTTCAGGTAAGAATGTAAAAGCCTACTAGAGAATGATGTGGTGGCAAAAACAGCAGTTAAGTCGCCCTTGTGGGAGCCTAGTGTGCTGTAGATGCTTATCTGTGGGAGAGGATAACCAAGCCACACATCTCCCAGAGAAGCTTATGGGAAGGGCACTTGGCCAGGATCCATTAAATGTCCTCAGCCACCAAAGGGATAGCCTGGGTCTGGGAGGGAGCCTTCCACGGGCCTGTGATTTGGAGTAAAGTGGGAGGTACTTGTTTTGGGCCATCCAGACACCTTTATCCTAATTTTTTCCCTCATATGGAATATGTTTTGTTTTCAACACATGATAAAGTGAAATTAAACTAGGTCCCTGAAACAAAACTGATCTCAGCTATGATCTACCTCTGGAAGTGATTATCTTTGGCACACTGAATTTTCCAAAGTTGGCCACAATAATATCTCCCATCCCACAAGATCTTATCTTTTGAGTTTATCTCTCCATCCCATTGAATCTAGGTTGGCCCGACTGCTTTGACCTATAAAATACAGCAGACAAGTAAGGCTGTGCCAATTGAGAGCATAGTCCTTCACTGGCCTGACAGCTTCCGCTTCCTGACCCAAAAGATGCTCAATCTTGGGGCCATTTCTTGTTGGAACCCAGTCACTGTGAGAAGCCTAAGCCATACAGAGAAGCCATAGTAGGCACTCTGGTTTGACAGACTCAGCTGAGCTCCCAGCCAATAGCCATCATCAACTGCCAGGTAGGAAAATGGCCCATCTTGAACCTTCAGCTCATCTGAGCTCTAGGTAACTGCAGCTCCAGTCAACACTGGACTGCAATGGCATGGAAGACCCTGAGTAACCCAAGTCAACCCACAGAGCAACTGCACAAAAGATCCAAAGAGAGAACCTCCCAGTAAGCCCAAGTCACAGAACTGTGAAAATGAATAATAAATTACTGTTTAAGCAACTCAATTTTGGGGGCTTTGTAACAGCAGTAATAGATAGCTGAAATATTACCTATCGTAATGACCAAACTGACTTAGAATATATTTCTAAGAATATAAAACCATTAGAGAATATTTCACACTGAAGACCTGGAAGTACAGGCAGCATCAACACTCAAGAGGTAGAGATGGGCTGGACAAATCCACTTGGCCACACTGGATTTCTTTTCTCTAGGTTATGGGAACAAAGCTATGCTCCATCTATGTCTTTCAGAGTGTTGTTGAATCTAGTTTTCTAAAACCCATGCAAGTACCCAATGATGAAAACAATAAAAATAAACTTGAACGCTTAAAAGAGCAATGCTATTAACATGCACAGCCACCCAACAGTGGCTTAGTTTATCTGACATCAGGCAGGAGAACAATGCACTGTCAGAGCTTAGGAGGTCACAGGAAAAGGTATCATTAATCACATGACCTGCCTGGGATTCTGGATGGGTGAGTTCATAGGGCTAATTAAGCCCCTTTTCAAAGCCACATCATTTCCAGTGCGTTTTAAAAATCACACACTTGGTCTGCACAGAAGGAATGTCAAAAATACCAGTTTTGGTGGGGGTTTGTTTTGTGTGTGGCATCATTCTAAAAATCAAGTAAGTCTTTTTTATTATGTTTTTCCAACAATGAGTATGCAAGAGAATATTTACAAAACTTGTAAGGTATAAAGAATGATATAAATGGCCGGGCGCGGTGGCTCACACCTGTAATCACAGCACTTTGGGAGGCCAAGGCGGGTGGATCACTTGAGGTCAGGAGTTCAAAACCGGCCTGGCCAATATAGTGAAACCCTGTCTCTACTAAATATACAAAAATTAGCCAGACGTGGTGGTGCATGCCTGTAATCCCAGCTATTTGGGAGGCTGAGGCAGGAAAATTGCTTGAACCTGCCAGGCAAAGGTTGCTGTGAGCAGAGACTGAGCCACTGCACTCCAGACTGGGCGACAGAGTGAGACCCTGTCTCCAAAAAAAAAAAAAAAAAAAAAAAAAAACAGAATGATATAACTGGCCAGGTGCAGTGGCTCGCACCTGTAACCTGAGCACTTTGGGAGGCAGGGGCAGGTGGGTCATTTGAGCTCAGGAGTGAACAAAGGGCAAAGTCCTTGAGCAGGTTTGGTCTCAACATTTTCCCTATCTGCCAGGTGACCCTGCCCTTGCCCCCCAGCTTCTCCTTCCCTTCTTAGTTGCATCCCATACCACTGCTATGTCTGAATGTTTCTGTCTCCTCAAAACATGTGAGTTGAAACCCTAACCCCATGGTGGTGGTATTAGGAGGTGGGGCCTTTGGGAGGTGATTAGGTCATGAAGGTGGAATCCTCCTGAATGGCATCAGTGCCCTTATAAAAGAGACCCCAGAGAGCTCCCTTGCGCCCCTTCCATCATGTGAGGACACACTGAGAAGATGGTTGTTCATGAATCAAGAAATGGGCCCTCAATTGACACTGACTCTGGCCATACCTTGATCATGGACTTCCCAGCCTCCGGAACTGTGAGAAATACATCTCTGTTGTTTATAAGCCAGTCAGTTTAGCAGCCAAACAGACTAACACACACACATACTGAGCACCTACTGTGCAACAATAAATCAAGACAGTTCCCAACCTCATAGCAGTCTAGCAGGAGATTGCTAAGTATAAAATACTAACACCAAGCAATGAGGCATAGACCAACCCCGCCTATGCCCTAGTTTCCTGCATGGCTCTGCTATAATGTCACCTTCTCAGAGAATCCTTTCCTGACCACCTTATCCAGCTACTCCCTTCCACCCCTCTGTCATCTGAACCGGTTTAATTTTTTTTCCATAGTGCTTATCGCCACCTGATCTTATCCATGCTGTTCACTGTCACATAAGCTCCAGGAGGGTAGGGACTTTTGCATCCTCAGCCCTTAGAAGAGGGCTGGATGTTAAGTGAGTGAATGAAAGAGGGCTGCACATGATGCTCTGTCAACACAGAGAAGGGGGTGAATTCAGCTTTGGCTGGCTATGGAGAGGATGATGGCTGAGCAGAGTCCTGAGCAGATGGGCGGCTCTTTGGATTAGGGCCTGTACTGTGCTCAACTGTGTACAAGGCTCCCCGCACCTTGCTGGAGGTTCCTTGAAATAGGGACTGTTCTCACTCATTTGGGGATTCTCTGAGGCACTGGGCATAGTGACCTGCATTCATTCATTCCACAAATATTTATAGCACCTACTATGTGCCTACTAGTGTTCTAGACAGAGTGGAAATTAAATTTTTTTTCTCTAAATTAAACTGCATAAAAAAGTCTGGAATTTTAACCAAGTCCCTTTGATCAGGGACAGCTTTTACAAAACTCAGATGATGTGTCCTTTAAAATATAAAATAGTTGGCCAGGCGTGGTTGCTCACACCTGTAATCTCAGCACTTTGGGAGGCTGAGGCAGGCATATCACAAGGTCAGGAGATTGAGACCATCCTGGCTAACATGGTGAAACCCCATCTCTACTAAAAACAAAAACAAAAACAAAAAAACCCCACAAAAAATTAGGTGGGTGTGGTGGCGCGCACCAGTAGTCCCAGCTATTTGGGAGGCTGAGGCAGGAGAATCGCTTGAACCTGGGAGGCAGAGGTTGCAGTGGGCCGAGATTGCACCGTTGCACTCCAGCCTGGGCGACAGAGCAAGACTCCGTCTCAAAAAAAATATATATGTGTGTGTGTGTGTGTGTGTGTGTGTGTGTGTATAAAATAGTTCTAGAAACACAATCTTCTTCAACATTTTCGACTTCACATTATTCTAAGTGAACTAATGCAGAAACAGAAAACCAGACACTGTATATTCTCACTTATTAATGGGAGCTAAACAATGAGTACACTTGCACGTGAAGAAGGGAACAACAGATATTGGGGCCTACTTGAGGGTGGAGCGTGGGAGGAGGGTGAGAATCAAAAAACTACCCACTGGGTACTATGCTTATTACCTGGGTGGCAAAATAATATGTACACCAAACCCCTGTGACAGGCAATTTATTTTATTTTTTATTTTTTGAGACGGAGTCTTGCACTGTTGCCTGGGCTGGAAGTGGCGCGATCTCAGCTCACTGCAACCTCCGCCTCCCGGGTTCAAGCGATTCTCCTGCCTCAGCCTCCCGAGTAGCTGGGATTACAGGTGCGTGCCACCACGCCTGGCTAATTTTTTGTATTTTTTGTAGAGACGGGGTTTCACTATGTTGGCCAGGCTGGTCTCAAACACCTGACCTTGTGATCCACCCACCTTGGCCTCTCAAAGTGCTGGGACTATAGGTGTGAGCCACCGCGCCTGGCCTGTGACACACAATTCATCTATAGAACAAACCTGCACATGTGCCCCTGAAACTAAAATAAAAGTTTTTTAAAAAAAGATTTTCGGCCAGGCGCGGTGGCTCATGCCTGTAATCCCAGCACTTTGGGAGGCCAAGGTGGGCGGATCACGAGGTCAGGAATTCGAGACCAGCCTGGCCAACATGGTGAAACCCCATCTCTACGAAACATACAAAAATTAGCCGGGCGTGGTGGCGCACCCCTGTAATCCCAGCTACTTGGGAGGCTGAGGCAGGAGAATCACTTGAACCCTGGAGGCAGAGGTTGCAGTGAGCTGAGATCGCACCACTGCACTCCAGCCTGGGTGACAGTGTGAGACTCCATCTCAAAAAAAAAAAAAAAAAAAAAAGGATTTTCAACTTCAAAGAAGCAGCACAGAGCCAGTGAGCCAGTTGTGACCTTGCTTCTGAGAAGCCAACTCCAGAAACCCCAAAACCAACGAAAGAACTCCATCCTTAATATTCTGTTCCTCTAGAACTACTCCTGGTACCAAAATACTTCTAGAGGGACAGAAGTAATAGGATAGATGTATATATAAAGGGGAGTTTATTAAGGAGTACTGACTCACAACCACAAGGTGAAGTCCCACAATAGGCCATCTGCAAGCTGAGGAGCAAGGAAGCCATTCCTTGTGATCTGAACTGCCTATCATGAACTGGGTGCTTTCTGACCTATCTAGCCATAAAGTGGGGTGTGCACAGCAGCATTCTATCATCAAGTGGAAATGGTATATACATGATCGGGCTCGAGCAGGTCCTGAGGGCACAAGCAAATTACATGAGGAAGTGGCTCAAATGCCCTGTCACCCTGCCTTCTCTCCCCCAGCCCGCACCGATGGCCTCATGGGTGGTGGTGGGCGGTTCCCTATGATCAGTTGACAGAGGAAGAGAAGACTAGGGCCTGATTTACAGATGGCTGTGGATGATATGCAGGCACCACCTGAAAGTGGACAGCTACGGCACTACAGCCCCTTTCTGGGACATTCCTGAAGGACAGTGGTGAAGGGAAATCTTCCCAGTGGGCACAACTCCGAGCACTGCACCTGGTTATGCGCTTTACTTGGAAGGAGAAATGGTCAGATATGTGATTATATACTGATTCATGGGCTGTAGCCAATGGTTTGGCTGGACGGTTAGGGACTTGGAAGAAGCATGATTGGAAAATTGGTGACAAAGAAATTTGGGGAAGAGATATGTGGATGGACCTCTCTGAGTGGTCAAAAACTGAGGACATTTGTATCCCATGTGAATGCTCACCAACGGGTGACCTCAGTAGAGGAGGATTTTAATAATCAAGTGGATAGGATGACTCGTTCTGTGGACACCACTCAGCCTCTTTCCCCAGCCACCTCTGTCATTGCACAATGGGTCCATGAACAAAGTGGCCACGGTGGCAGGGATAGAGGTTACACATGGGCTCAGCAACACAGATTTCCACTCACCAAGGCTGACCTAGCTACGGCCACTGCTGAGTGCCCAATCTGCCAGCAGCAGAGACCAACTCTGAGCCCTCGATATGCACCATTCCTCAAGGTGATCAGCCAACTACTTGGTGGCAGGTTGATTATACTGGACCTCTTCCATCATGAAAAGGGCAGCAGTTTGTACTCGCTGGAATAGATACTTACTCTGGATATAGGTTTGTCTATCCTGCACGCAATGCTTCTGCCAAGACTACTGTCTGTAGACCCATGGAATGCCTTATCCACCTTCATGGTATTCCACATAGCATTGCCTCTGAACAAGGCACTCACTTTACGGCTAAAGAAGTGCAGCAGTGGGCTCATGCTCATGGAATTCACTGGTCTTAACATATTCCCCATTATCTTGAAGCAGCTGGATTGATAGAACAGTGGAATGGCCTTTTGAAGTCACAATTACAATGCCAATTAGGTAACAATACTTTGCAAGGCTGGGGCAAAGTTCTTCACAAGGCTGTGTATGTTCTGAATCAACGTCCTATACATGGTACTGTTTCTCCCACAGCCAGGATTCACGGGTCCAGGAATCAAGGGGTGGAAATGGAAGTGGCACCACTCACCATCACCCCTAGTGACCCATTAGCAAAATTTTTGCTTCCTGTTCCCGCAACATTACGTTCTGCTGGCCTAGAGGTCTTAGTTCCAGAGGGAGGAATGCTGCCACCAGGAGATACAACAAAGATTGCCCCCTGGACACTTTAAGCTCCTCCTACCTCTAACTCAACAGGCTAAGAAGACAGTTAGTGTTGACTGGGGTGATTGACCCAGACTATCAAGATGAAATCAGTTTACTACTCCACAATGGAGGTAAGAAAGAGTATGCGTGGAATACAGGAGATCCCTTAGGGCATCTCTTAGTTTTACCATGCCCTGTGATTAAGGTCAATGGAAAACTACAAGAGCCCAATCCTGGCAGGACTACAAATGGCCCAGACCCTTCAGGAGTGAAACTTTGGGTCACTCCACCAGGTAAAAGACAACGACCTGCTGAGGTGTTTGCTGAAGGCAAAGAGAATACAGAATGGGTAGTAGAAGAAGGGAGTCATCAGTACCAGCTACGATCACAGGACCAGTTGCAGAAACGAGGACTGTAATTGCATGAGTATTTCTTCCTTATTTTGTTAAGAACATGTTTGTGCATGTATACCCTTACTCTGGATATAGGTTTGTCTATCCTGCATGCAATGCTTCTGCCAAGACTACCATCTGTGGACCCATGGAATGCCTTATCCACCTTCATGGTGGATGAAGAAACTATTGTCATTTCCTTTCTCTTTCCTTTATCATGTGACATAAGATTTATTGATGTCATATCAGCATTTAAGTGTTAACTTTATGTAATAGCATTTGGGTTGGGGATTGGTATGCTTCCAGTTGTAGGAAGGATAGGCGTAATTACGACCTTATTATTTGTCTTTATTTGAAGATTATGTATGATCTCAGGAGATGTGTATGGGTTCAAGTCGACAAGAGGTGGACTTGTGATGGTTAATATTGAGTTTCAACTGGATTGGATTGAAGGATGCAAAGTATTGTTCCTGGGTGTGTCTGTGAGGGTGTTGCCAAGAAGATTAACATTTGAGTCAGTGGACTGGAAGAGGCAGACCCACCCTCAATCTGGGTGGGTACCATCTAATCAGCTGCCAGCATGGCTAGGATAAAAGCAGGTGAAGGTGGCTCACACCTGTAATCCCAGCACTTTGGGAGGCCAAGGTGGGCGGATCACAAGGTCAGGAGATGGAGACCATCCTGGCCAATGTGGTGAAACCCCGTCTCTACTAAAATATAAAAAATTAGCTGGGCATGGTAGTGCATGCCTGTAATCCCAGCTACTCGGGAGGCTGAGGCAGGGGAATCGCTTGAACCTGGGAGGCAGAGGTTGCAGTGAGCCGAGATTGCGCCACTGCACTCCAGCCTGGTGACAGAGCAAGACTCCATCTCAAAAAAAAAAAAAAAAAAAAAAAGCAGGTGGAAGAGTGTGGAAGGACGACTAGACTGGCTTAGTCTTCTGGCCTACTTCTCCCATGCTGGGTGCTTCCTGCCCTCAAACACTGGACTCTAAGTTCTTCAGCTTTTGGACTCTTGGACCTTCGACCACAGACTAAAGGCTGCACTGTCGGCTTCCCTACTTTTGAGGTTTTGGGACTCGGACTGGCTTCCTTGCTCCTCAGCTTGCAGATGGTCTATTGTGGGACTTTACCTTGTGATCGTGTGAGTTAATACTCCTTAATAAACTCCCCTTTATATATACATCTATCCTATTAGTTCTGTCCCTCTGGAGAACCCTGACTAACACAGGCTGTTTCCCTTTCTTATGGTTTGTGTGTTCACTGGAGTAGCACTTTTAATTTCCTTCAATAACTTTTCCTTTGCATTCATGACTTGGCTAACTGGTGCCAGAGGCCTAGCCTTCAGCCCATGTCAGATTTGATGTGCCTTCCTCACTGAGCTCAATCATTTCTAGCTTTTGATTTAAAGGGAGAGATCTGTGGCACTTCCTTTTACTTGGACACTAAGAGGCCATTGTTGGGTTATCAATTGGCCTCATTTCAATATTACTCTGTCTCAGGGTGTAGACAGATCCAAGGAGAGGGAGATGGGGGAATGGCCTGTCAGTGGAGCTGTCAGAACACACACATTAAGTTTGTCATCTTATATGGGTGCAATTCATGGCACCCCAAAACAATTATAACAGTAACATCAAAGATCATTGATCACAGATCACCATAATGGATATAATAATAATAATGAAGTTTGGATATTTTGAGAATTGCCAAAATGTGACACAGAGACAAGAAGTGAGCACACACTATTGGAAAAATGGCATCGACAGACATGCTCAATGCAGGGTTGCCACAAACCTTCAATTTGTAAAACAAACAACAACAACAACAAAAAAAACCAGTATTTGCGAAGTGCAAAGTACAACAAAACTAGGTATACCTATAATTCTCATTTCTATAGAAGATACTACCATTTACAATAATAATGATGAAACTTGCAAGCTAGTATCCCTGCAGGGACCATGAGTCCAAATTCCAGCAAGACAGAGAGAGGGTGGAGCCTGTAAAAGTCTCAGCGTAAACTAGGCTTTTCTTTCTGTTAATGCAAATGTCCAAAATTAACACCAGAGTAATGATGCATGGGTGGAAGCTGAAAAAGGCTCAGATATAAGACAGAGGGAAACGGATCGTAGAGTCCACATAATAAATTTAAAGAGGTGGTAGGATAACAACACCATAACCAAAGATGGGCAATACTAGCACAGAAAGGTTGCAATGAACTAAAAATAAAGAAAGAAAGAAAAGTAGGCTTTTAATTCAGTGATGTGCTATGGAAAGATTTTCCTTATGGAGGACAAACACATCAATGGCAGGTATTAGTAGTGTATCAAAACCATAGTGATCTCTAAAAAAAATTATTAATAGTAGTGAAAAAGTCTCTATTAGAAAGCAACACATTGGAAATTTAAGAGCTGATGTCATCTTTAAATATTTTTGACAAATTCGCAAGTTTTCATTAAACTTGTGTTTATCCAACATTCTCTGAACTAAACTGATACACTGAATAAGGTTTATATGATTCTCTCCATATAAAAACTTTCCTATATTCCCAAATTAAATCATATTTCTCTTTCTTTCTCTGTCCTACTAAAGATGGTTTCCACTGTCCTACTGGACTGAGTTATTTACTGAGTCTTTTGTCAGTTACTGTCAGTAAAATATTTTAATGACTTAAGACCTTGGTGGTCACAAAGTTATTGTAAATTTTTCAGTTACATGGTTTCCTTGGTGAGTTTACCTAGTTCCTAACAAAAATTAGGCATGGTGGTGTTATGGTGCATGGGCATAGTGGTCCCAGCTACTTGGGAGTCTGAGGCGGGGGGATCACTTGAGCCCAGGAGTTGGAGGCTATAGCGTGCTGTGATTATGCCTGTGAACAGTCACTGTACTCCAGGCCTGGGCAACCCAACAAGACCCCATTTCTTAAAAACACACACACATATATATTTGCTTCATTAAAATACTGTTGATCATGGCTGACAAGTTATTATTGTCTCTCTATTAAAGAGAGAGACAACAAGGTGGGGGAGAATGTCAGGAGGAGCCCAAGCCCAATGCAATCACTTAAATCCAAATGCAACTGGAAAAAGAATACCAGAAAAGCAGAATGGAATTCATGGACCTAAAGAGAAAATGCTGAATGCATCATCTTGGTAAATAAAAGCCCTGTTACGCACTGGGGTCCCTTAGCAAAGGATCTTTCACCCAGAAGATACACAGAGAGTCAAGCCACGTAACTCCAAGGCCAGCATTTCTCCCACTTACCACTTCTGGCTGGCCACGCCTCACGGGGGAGCAGGAGCTGCAACACTGGATGGCACAAAGCCCTAGCAAACTGACTCATGACAGTCAGACTGTCTGGCAAAGGGGAGAGATGCTTACTTGGATATCACAGGAGAAGATGGTCTCTTAGGAATGCCTCCAGAAAACTCACATCTTCTCAGAGGGGACCCGAAGTTCACAACAGGAAGAGAAGTTGCTGTTCGTTGCCCCCGCTTCACCTTCTCCACCTGTAGGGGACACAGGATAGCCACAGTCCATGACTGGCACTACTTCCACAATTTATAAGACTAATACCCCAGATGGAACAATGCACAGCTTTCTTTCAGAGGGATCGATATGAAGCTATAACGCTTCACATGACAGGCATCTTTGCGGGGAGGCAGGATGAGGTCATCACATTTGCATTATCCAGTTAAAAAAAATCAGCCTCAAAATGCAAAGATTTCCTTCTCCTTGTTGTCTTTCAAAGAGTTAACAACTGAACCATATTACGGTCTTAGACATATAGGAACTGAAAAGAGTATAAAAATGTAAAATCACTACAAAAAAATTACAGGTGGGTGAAAATGTGGTTACAACATCCAAGACAGTGAGCTGTGGCCCCTGATGGTATACATGGTATAATGGGTCTGCAACCCCATCTAGTCCTGTAGGTCTTCCCATTACCTCCTTTGGCAGAAGGGAACAGACATCAGTGCCCAGCCTGCAGAAAGTGCTCCACAAGGGTTAGCTCCCTTCTCTCCCTATCACACTTTTCTGCAGCAAGTCCTCAATTGGCCCCCACACTCACATCCATCAATCCCTTTCAACACTAATCCACTGTATAGTAAAATCCGAGAGTCTAAAACATGCACTTCTAAGAGCCACAACAGATTTGAAAAGAAAATATGGCATTATAAAATGAAGTAGTTTTGAAATAAGTCCTGACATTATTTGATATTCCTCCCTTCGACAGGTGAGGCTTAATTCCTCTCCTCTTGAGTGTGGGTTGATCTTAGTGACTTACTTAAAGGACACTGCAGCTTCCCGATAGCTTGCTTGGAGGGAAGCCAGCTGTGGCATCATTTGGATACTCAAGCAGCTTTATGGACAGGCCCATGCAGTGAGGAACCGAGGCCTCCTGCCAACAGCCATGAATGAGCCGTCTCAGATGAGGCCCAGCCATGCTTTCAGATGATGCAGCCCTGGCCAACATCTTGACCACACCTCATGAAAGACCTTGTACCAGAACCACTAAGTCACTCTGAATTTCTGACCCAAAGAACCCATGAATTAATAGATATTTGTTATTTTAAGCTGCCAAGGTTTGAGGTGATTTGTTAAGTAGCAATCAATAACTAACAAAAGTAGTATGGCACTGTGTAATTTCTAAATAAATAGACACAATTGGGGGTGCCTTCTCAACATTTAATTTACTGATAGTGCCAGTATGCCATCAAAAATGTTTAAGCTTGGCATAGTAACATGTGCCTGTAGTCCCAGCTACTCAGGAGGCTGAGGCAGGAGGATTACTTGAGCCTAGGAATTCAAGGTCAGCCTGGGCAACATAAAAAGACTTCATCTCAAAAGAATATTTAATGATTACTTTTGTAGGTAAAAGTTGACGTAGATCCTCAGTTCCACTTAGATGCACGGGCAAGACTGACCCAGAATCAGATATCCGTAACGAGGAAGACAGAGGATATTTAGAACATTCCTTCTGACTCCTGTCCTCTGGAGGGCAGGCTGTGACAAGGACATCATTAAGAATTTGCTCCAAGGTACTAAGACTTAAGAGGGTGCAAAAAGTTAAATGATTTTCAAAGGTTGGGTAAAATTTTGAACTAAATCTACCCTTTCCTGCTTTGAGCAGTCCCAGGAGATTGATGGAAACAGACAGCCCAGGTCAAGCACAGAAGTAATCACACCATCAGACAGAACACAGTCTAGAGGAGTGAGTGGGTGGGTGGTTTTAAACCTACCAGAGAGGCCTCTCCTCCTGAAAGGGCTTCTTTCCCAACATCTCCTGCACCAGATGTAGACGTAGATGTAGCTTTCTTCTTCTCAATGTTTCGAGTGGGTGAAGACTTGTAAGAAGGGTTAAGAGGGCCAAGAGGAGCTAAACGAGGACAGACATGGAATACTAGAAAGTTACAGTATAACAGCCAGAAGGACAGAGAGTACAGATGGAAAAAGTAGAGCAGAGAGTTGGGAAGAACACATTTCTGTTAAAATATGACCTGGGCAATCAATATCATACTTTTCTATTGTACACAGGATGGATCTTACCCTAAAAAGGCTCCCATACTCAAGAGTCAAGTTTATTCAAGTTTATTTCAGGGGTTAAAAGTCTGTACTTTGGAGCCACAGAGACCTAGCACTGCCACCTAATAGCTGGATCACCTTGGGCAGGTTACTTAACCTCTCTAAACATCGATTTCCTTGTGCACAAAAGGGTTAACATAGCAGATCTGACTGCTGTGCTTGGAAAGGCCTGCTTATAAGGGTGGCCCTTGGCTGGCATCTGAGAACTTAGATTTCAGGAGGGTTCCCACCATTAACTGATGGGTGTCTAAACTGTTTATACAAACAGTATGGTTTATGCTAAGCATCTGCTTTTCTTGTGGGAGTGTGGAATCTGGGTATGTGCCTGGGAGGGGATGCCTACATATCTAGCCCCCAGTAAAAACCCTGGGCACTGAGTTTCTAGCCAACTTCCCAGCCTGGCAACATTTCATACATGTTGTCACAATGTGTTGGTAGAGGAATTAAGCTCGTCCCATGTGACTCCACTGGAAGAAGACTCTTGGAAATCCACACCTGGTTACTTCTGAACTTAGTCCCATGCACCTCCTCCATTTGCTAGTTTTTTCATGTTTCCTCCTGCTATAATAAATCATAGCCATGGGCCGGGCATGGTGGCTCACCTGAGCTTAGGAGGTTGAGACCAGCCTTGGCAACATGGTGAAACCACAGCCCTTCAAAAAATACAAAAATTAGCTTGGCATGGGGGCACACTCCTGTAGTCCCAACTACTCTGGAGGCTGAGGCAGGAGGATCGCTTGAGCCTGGAAAGTTGAGGCTGCAGTGAGTCAAGATCGCGCCACTACACTCCAACCTGGGTGACAGAGAAAGACCCCATCTCGAAAAAAAAAAAAAAAAAAAAAAAAAGCTAAGAAAGAAAAAATAAGTCACAGCCATGCGTGGAACTATGCTGATTCTTCCAAGTTCTCCTAGCCAATCATCAAACCTGGGGTGGTCTTGGGGAACTCTGGCACAACTAGTGTCAGAAATGGGAATTGCTGGAATGACCCTGATTTGCTGAAACGTGGTAAAATCACATTTTGGGAAAAGGACAAAAGGGTGGAGAACAAACTTGTGATGCCTGGGTGGCTATGAAGTTATCCATGGTATAAAACAGCAGCTGAGCTGTTTTGAGAGGTAAAAGTGACCTACGGAATTTAAAGATGACCAATACAGCTCCAAGAGAGTTGGCTTGATGGATCCCCCTGGCTGCTTTTGACTGTAGCATGCTAGCTAAAGTGAGGGAAAAAGCACAGCCCAAGTGATGCCTTTGGTTTTTGTTTTCTCCTCCAAGTGAGAGTTAGACACAACCTCCTTGCTTTTTGCCAGCAGTGGGTAGGCTGGAATTTAAACTCCAAATATTAGAACCAGAACAAGTCTCTGTAGTAGATTTTTCTGCTATGACTTTTGTCTAATGGAGCCTCTTGAAAAGGGGAGATATGAAAAGACAGGCAATTTCTAGGAAAAGACATGCTTCTGGAGTTTTAAAAATCGAGTAGGGACCACTACAAATATAGAATGCCCTTCATGGGGCCCAAAACTGTAAAAAGATTCTGGATGCTGCTAGACTGGGTCACATACAAGTGCCCACAAGACAGGGCTTGTTCTCTGATGGGACCATCCACAATCAAGCTGCTCATTGGCTCTATTATTTCTGATGCAGAGTCTGATTATATTCCCAACACATGATTCCTACAAAAGCTCCAAGTCACACCACAGGCAATGTGACTCTTTCAGCCATCCCTGACAGACTGAACTCCATTCCCTCTGGGGAAAGTGTCACTGCTGTTGATGCTTTGTGTTTAATTTTCTGGAGTAGCTGCAGTTTGTAATAGACTGAGATCCTGACTATATTTCCTCTACCTTTCTCTCACTACACACGTCAGTAAAGCAATTTGTTAAATGCAGCTGTCACTGGAAAGGGATTGATCTTTTCTAGGCTGCTCACTGGATAAAATGATCAAGATGAAAGGGCTCAGAGGTGATACAAACCTACTTTAAAATGTTTCGAAAACTTAGGATTTTAGCCTAATACCTGAACACAATATATCTTTCTGGTTAAGTTGGATAAAAATGGGTTTTAAGAAATGCTTTTGTCCTTTCTTTGAAAGGTCTGGGTGAGAGTAGGGGATGATTAAGAAAATGTAAAGTTTTGATTATTGAATAGGACATGGAGAAAAACAACATAATCCAACACCTGGGGTAAAAATGATACAGGGATACGGAAGGACATTTGTGTTCTGTTTTCCATAACTGCTCCTGGAAGCGCTCTCCTTCCTGAAGGAAAACTCCTTGTGCTGAAAGCACCTTGGACTCAGACCCATGGCTGAGCCTAGATGGCATGTGACAGCATGACTATGAGCCGGCAGGAGTGGGGCCAGTTCCTACATGTCCCCACAGAACAGCTCCAGATGCCATCTGCACTTGCCAGGAAGATGAAGTAGGGTCACTGGTAGAACTGTTTGGGACTGATGGCCTCAGGCAGCCGCCATAAAACCTGGGACTGAGCTGAATTACCTGCACTGGACTGAGCACCCTGAGGCACCAGTCACCACAGTGGGAGGCCACACTGGGAACTGACTGACCAATGATACCCTGCTAGTGTGCCCTAACATCTTCAACTCTTTTTTTCCAGGGAACCACATGAGCCCTTGGGGATCATAGTTCCTATGTGCGTGCCACGATTATCATGACACGGCGTCAGGCCTGGAAGGCATTCAGATCAGTTTCAACTTACTGGCCAGAGCTGTTCTGGGCCTGAGCTGATGCCACAGGCCAGGTAAAAAGATTCATACAGCAACTGATGGAGGAGGCCACCTGGCTGCCTCAAACAGACCTTTCTAAGGCCAGGTGCAGTGGCTTAAGCCTGTAATCCCAGCACTTTGGGAGGCCGAGGTGGGAGGATCGCTTGAGTCCCAGAGTTTGAGACCAACTTGGGCAACATAGGAAGACCCTATCTCTACAAAAAAAAAAAAAAAAAATTAGCTAAGTGTGGTAGCACACACCTATAGTCCTAGCTACTCAGGAGACTTAGGTGGGATGATCACTTAAGCCTAGGAGGTTGAGGCCACAGTGAGCCATGATCATGCCACTGCACTCCAGCGTGGCTAAGAGCAACAGAGCAAGACCTTGTCTCCAAAATAAATAAATAAATAAATAAATAAGAAAAAGAAAAAGAAAAGAAAGAGAGAAAAAAAAGACAGACCTTCTGGTTAATGAGATTTGCTTTAACTGCTAAGTCCCAGAACCCCTAAAGGACATAACTGAGATCAATACTGCAGGATGGTCTCACCCCCTGCTATGTGGGGCCCTACTGAAAAATTTTCTGTAAAGACACCTTGGCCAAGGGTCAAGTGGGTGAGCTGTGCAAAAATGAGTTAACATAGCAAGCCTGACTGCTGTCCCTACTAAGGCCTGCTTACAAGGTTAGCCTTTAGCCAGCACCTGGGAACGTACATTTTAGGACGATCCCCCTTTAACTGTTGAGTGGCTCACAGGGCATAAACAAACAACATGGTGTATGTTGAATACCTGCTTTCCTTCTGGGAACCTGGAATTTGGGTATGTGCTGGGCATGGAGTACATGTGACCAGCCCTCTGTAAAAACCGTTGGCACTGAGTCTCTAAAAAGCTTCCCTGGTTGGCAACATTTCATACATGTTGTCGTAACTCATTGCTGGGGTGAAAGGCGTCCTGAGTGACTCCACCAGAGAGGACTCTGCAAGCTTGTGCCTGGTCTTCCCAGGACTTTGTCCCATGTGTCTTTCTCCTTTGCTGACTTTGCTTGCATCCTTTCACTGGGGATCCTGTGAGTCTTCCTAGCAAATCACTGATCCTGGAGTTGCTCTTAGGGAACCCCAACATATTCCTTATTCTCAAAATGGGGTACTTCCTACTTGCTAGGGTTTTTTGATACATAATTCATATACCATAAAATTCACCCTTTAAAAAGTATACAGGACAGGCATGGTGGCTCATACCTGTAATCCTAGAACTTTGGGAGGCCAAAGTAGATGGGTCGCGCTTGAGCCCAAGAGTTTGAGACCAGCCTGAGCAACATAGTGAGACCTTGTCCCTCCAAAGAACCCAAAAAATTAGCCAGGCATGGTGGTGTGTGCCTGTAGTCCCAGCTACTTGGGAAGCTGAGGTGAGAGGAGGGCTTGGAGTTCGAGGCTGCAGTGAGCTATGATCACATCACTGCATTCTAGCCAGGGTAAAAGAGCAAGACCCTGTCTTTAAATACATATACATATATATACATATATGTATACGTATATGTATACGTATACATATACACATACAATTTGGAGGTTTTGCTACATTTGCAAGGTTGTGGAACCATAACCACAGTCTACTTCTAAAAACATTTTCAAGATTCCCCAAAGAAACTTCGTCCGTTAAGCAGTCACTCCCCTTCCTTCCCTCCTCCAGTCTCTGATAACCACCATCTATTGTCCATCTCCATGGATTTTCCTATTTCAGACATTTCACATAAATAGAAGCACACAATATGTGGCCTTTTGCAACTGGTTTCTTTCACTTAGCACATTTTCAAGGTTCATCCATCTTGTGGCATGTATCTGTATTTTTTTTTTTTTTTTTTTGAGATGGAGTCTCGCTGTGTCACCCAAGCTGGAGTACAGTGGTGCAATCTCGGCTCACTACAGTCTCCACCTCCTGGGCTCAAGTGATTCTCCTGTCTTAGCCTCCCGAGTAGCTGGGATTACAGGTGTGCACCACCACACCCAGCTAATTTTTGTATTTTTAGTAGAGATGGGGTTTCACTATGTTGGCCATGCTGGTCTCGAACTCCCTACCTCAAGTGAACTGCCCACCTTGGCCTCCCATAGTGCTGAGATTACAGGTGTGAGCCACCATGCCTGGCCTGTATTTCTTTTTATAGCTGAATAATATTCTACTTTATGGGTATATCATATTTTCTTTCCACTTTGTGGCTATTGTGAATAAGTTTTTGTGCAAACATATGTTTTTAATTTCCTTGGCTGTATACCTAGGAGTGGAATTGCTGGGTCGTATGGGAACTCTATGCTTAAGTTTTTGAGCAACGGTCAGACTGTGTTCTACAGTAGCTGCATCATTTTACATTCCCACCAGCAGTGTGTGAGGGAAGAGTGTCTCCACACCTCCACCAACACGTGGTTATTTCCCCTTTTAAAAAAATTCTAGTCATCCTAGTGGGTGTAAAGTGGCATCCCACTATGGTTTTGATTTGCATTTCCCTAATGATTAATGATGTTGAGCATCTTATGAACCTATTAGCTATCTGTACAACTTATTTGCAGAAACAGTATAACTGTTTGGAAGCAGCTACAACTAGGCAGAAGTTTTATCTCATTTATGTATCATCACAACTGAGTACACTATCTGGAGAACAGAGAGTAGACCTGACCTTAGGTGGACACAGTGCTGCTCATCTGGAAACAAAGAGAATGCCAGCCGCCACAAATCCTGACATGACGACTTGATCTGCTTTGATAAAGGCAGGGCTTTGATGGTCTGGTCCAGTGTTTCTCAGACTTCAGTGTGCAGGCTAGGTGGGGCCTTCCAACCAAGCTCCTAGATGCTGCTGCCATTGCTGGTCCATGGACCACCTTTTGAGTAGTGAGGCTAGAAACTTCTCAAAGTTTCTAGCTTTCATTCTGTGCTAATCATTGTGCTATCTCATTTGCATGCACTCTCTCATTTAATCTTCAAAATAATTTAAAATAGCTCCATCTTATAGATGAGAAAACTGAGGCTTAAAGAAGTTAATTAACTTACCCCCAATGGTGAGAGCTAGTGAGTGGTAGAGCTGGCTATGGGACACCCCAGACTGGTCTACAGGCTGTTTTGCCACACCGTCTCTTAAGAAAAGTCTACTAACCTCCAGAGTTCATCAAGTGGGGTTTTCTTCCCCTAAAGAACATGCTCTCACTCATAAGATAATTTACTCACCTCTGTGACACTCAAAAGAAACATAAAACAGCAAAACACTGGTATAAGACGTTATTAACCAATGAAGACTTTTCACAAAGCCAGCAAATAGGAAGCAAAATCCAAAAATTCAGGAGTAAATCCTAGGCTGACCAACACCTCTTCGGGCATTTTCCTTGGTGTTACCAGCTTAGCCTCTTTTACCTGAATCATTGGCCTGCCCAGAGAGCATGACTGAAGCTCTGCTTCTGGCTAAAGAAGACTGTGTGGGTGTCAACAGTCGCGAAACAAGAATGGCTTCCATTGGACTAAGGTGCATGTGATGAGCTGAGGGATGGAATCAAATGAAAATTTTAAAAAGCAAAATTAAAACAAAACAAAATAAAACATTTAAACAACACAATGCATGGTGCAAATTAACTTTTGGGTGGCAGAACATGGAAAATAAAAATATTTGAACAAAGGATGGATTTGGAATTTGTCATCGTAAAATAAAACAAATAATGTGTCCTTTAGAGTTTGGGAGAGTGCATTAATTGTCACTAGGTACCAAAATCCATTCAATATGCTATTGCAGTACAGTAACCTGTATCACTCAGAGAATTAGCCCACCTCCCAGATGTAATATGGACTCAGGAAATCATTTATGGCCAGGCATGGTGGCTCATGCTTGTTATCCCAGCACTTTGGGAGGCCAAGGCAGTCGGGTCACTTGAACTCAAGAATTTGAGACCACCCTGGGCAACGTGGCGAAACCTCGTCTCTACAAAAAATACAAAAAAATTAGCTGGGCATGGTGACATGCGCCTGTAGTCCCAGCTACTTGAGGCTGAAGTGAGAGGATGGCTTGAGCCCGGGAGGCAGAGTTTGCAGTGAGCCAAGACTGTATCACTGCACTCTAGCCTGTGCAACAGAGAGCCTGTCTCAAAAAAAAAACAAACAAAAAAAAAACAAAAAAAACAACAACAAAAAAACCTTTACTCCAAGTAGAAAACAAATTATGCCTATAAAACACTTGTTTTAGGTCCTGCGCTAAGAAGCATTTCATAACACACTGATTTTTAAATAAAATGTCATCTTGTAATAGTATAAAAATATATCTTTTCATACTTTTTACATGTCAATAAGGGTAAAAATTAAGTGAGAGGCACAAAAATACAAACAGCCAACTGATTATCAGCTTTAATGAAAGACAAATAGTAGTATTCATAATCTGGAAGTCAATGACCAAAATATTTAGATCAGTTTTGAATGTATTATATATGGCAATGAATTAACTTTTCCCTCACTCTGTATTCAGCTCTTCATCACTTCCAGGTTCCTGGTGCTTACCATGAACTGCATCACAGATCAGTAGCATTATGAACCTTATAGGGTCTCTGACACACATAATATGCCTCTGGGATAGAGGTACAAGGTCAATGTCAGTGGAAACAACCAGGAAGGCACACCAGCCTCTGCCAAGTCGCAACCAGCCTTTTGCTCTGCCCTTGGTGATAACTTGTGCTAAACACTCCACTGGCACCTGATACTTCTTCAATGTTGCTTTAGAATAAACATTTAGTGCATGGAGAGCTTCCGTCATTTCCTTAACCTGTATACTCTGAAAGGTATAAACAGACTTTCAGTGACTTATCTGAGCCTTTGTGAGAATGCAGACCCTGTTAAATCTACTCAGGTTCTGGAACTGGCACACGTCCCATACACATCATCTCCTAACTCAAAACAGAGCGCCACCCAACCTTTTCCTCTTTTAGAGGCCTCATTAGTTCTGTGCTTCTCTTTTCATCTACAAAATGGGCAGGCCTATAAACCACAGATGACTGCAGAACCCCATTTTTTCACATATCTAAGCCTCCCATATAACTATAACTTATCAATTCTGCTCTTTCTGGCTAATCAACTGTATTCCATCATTGACCAGGCAGTTACTTTAATGGTCACATCTGCCCACTGGTTAATTAATTCCTGGGCAGGATAACTCCTACATGCAATGTGGAAAACAGAACAGTCTCTTTCAGACTGGGAGACTGCATTAATTCCTACCTCTATTCAACAACGACCTGGCTCTAAAGAGCCGTGCCACGTTCCAAAGTCCCACTGACAAGGCCCTAGAGCTCCCACATTCAGACCACAAGACTAGGACAATGACGGTATCTGCAGAAGGCTCAAGAGGAGACTCTCACAAAGACAAACGTTAAGATGCTCACACCAGAAAAGAAACAAACTAGAGAGACCAAGTCTACATGTTCACTTGCCTCGGTCTGGGGAATAGGATATTGCCACGGTGGATGAAGACAGGCGTTTATTCATGGGAGGCTCCGTTGGCTTTGGCAAACTCATAGTTGATGTTGAAAGTTTGTCACATGCTGCAGAGAAATGCATTAAAGACATTGGTATTCATCACACTACTGTAGAACCAAGAAACACATATCCCGAAGTGTCCTTCCTGTCCTCATCCACGCACCTCCTAAATGCTGTGGCACAGCATGCTCTGCTTTCATCATCCTGGCATCTCATTATCCTACTCTAGAAATGACCAGGCTACAGCAGCCCTTGGTCTGCAGCAAAATCTCTGCAACTTCTTCACTGTGTTGTCATCTTCAATTTCAAATGTTCAACCTCACTCAACTGTTCAACTGAAGCCGTGTTAATCCCACCAACAAATCATTTTCTTTTGTCTAGGGATTTTTGAGCATGCTCACATCACACAAAAACAAAACCAACTTGGACCCAGAGACAAATCACCACTGGAAAACGCCCTATGGTCTGACTGTCACCGCTTGCTGAAACCGACTCTTTTATGAAGGTTATCTGTAGCTCAGGTTGGAGAGAGATGAAATCCGTCCTCTCAGAGTTGTATTTAAAGCAGAACGGCCTCTTTAGCAGTTGGTTTTCCTTTTCTTACTTAGTAAGAGACAGATCAAAATGGTCCTTTTGCAAATGCTTTAACTGTTTGAGGTTAGCATTTTAACAGGCGACCCTGAGTTTGGTGTTCTTACGTTCCAGTCATTATTTCAGACGGCAAACAAAGAGATGCTGACAGTGCCCTGCCAAGCTAAGTTAGAGCCTGAGGCCAAAAGAAAAATGTGTGCTCTTGGTTGTAAAAAAGCAAACTCATCAATAATATTTTCAAAATCTACTCCTCTGCTCATCGTGTTTTCCCATGAGAACTGCCATAAGAACTGCGATGTTCTATAATTTCTGCTGACCAAATGACAATCTTAAATAATTTTTTTTTTGAGACAGAGTCTTGCTCTGTCTCCCAGGCTAGAGTGCAGTGGCACGATCTCGGCTCACTGCAACCTCCGCCTCCCGGGTTCAAGTGATTCTCCTGCCTCAACCTCCTGAGTAGCTGGGACTACAGGTGCATGCCACCACGCCCAGCTAATTTTTGTATTTTTAGTAGAGACAGTGTTTCACCATGTTGGCCAGGATGGTCTCGATCTCTTGACCTCGTGATCTGCCTCAGCCTCCCAAAGTGCTGGGATTACAGGCGTGAGCCACTGCACCTGGCCCGGTAATTTTTAATTAACTAAAGCTGAAGTAAAAGTACAATAAATTTGATTTGTGTAGAAATAAAACTATTTAAAGTTGAAATTATATGAGTTTTAATACTCTTTTCAATTTTTCCATATTTTAAACTACTTTAATGTTTTGATAAAACTAAACATTAGAAATTACATAAAACCACGTATATAGGAGTACACATTTTCCCTTTTGCTTCAGGCTCTGATGTGCTCAGCATGGCACCAGTCTTTAGAAATTTGTTGTTTATTATGGATTGTTTTGCATTAATTTGGATTTTAAAAAATATCACATTAAGATATTATTTTATCTTTATTACTGAGATTTTTGGCACTCCCTTAAATTGTATGCTCTAGTCAAGTACTGCACTCATTTCACCCTGGCCCGGGCCCTGGGTGCTGATTCCCAGTGGGTGATTACTCCACCTCTCTGCACCTTTCTTTTTTCTTTTTTTTTCAAGACAGAGTCTTGCTCCGTTGCCCAGGCTGGAGGGCACTGGTACGATCTCACTGCAACCTCTGCCTCCCGGGTTCAAGCAATTCTCTTGCCTCAGCCTCCTGAGTAGCTGGGGCTCCAGGCACCCGCCACCACACTTGACTAATTTTTGTATTTTTAGTAGAGGCGGGGTTTTACCATGTTGGCCAGGCTGGTCTCGAACTACTGACATCAAGCAATCCGCCTGCCTCAGCCTCCCAAAGTGCTGGGATTACAGGCACAAGCCACCACGCCCAGCCCCCCTGCACCTTTCTTAGGGGGAAAGCCAGTGCCCACACTAGAGGTAACTCTGCTTGTGCAGCAAAACTGCTGTTACGAAGCACCCCCAGTAAGGATTATTCATTGTCAAAGGAATGTCAGAAACCAAGGATATTGATTCCTACTGCTAATATGACCTTCCGCATTGTTGGTAAATATTGCATCCCTTTTACAGCTTTTTTTTTTTTTCTTTGCCAGTTGAAGATGGATTGAATTTCTAAAGTCATTATTAAATGGAAACAAAGTTTGGCTAGTTCTGTTCTTGATCTAGACCAGAGGAGTTTCCCAGGCCTGTATACAAAACAGACAGCCTATTAAATAAAATCAAGCACAAAGCCAAATTATCTAATTATTTGGATTACCAGTGTTAGCACTGATAAAATTCCTACCACTCCCTCTCAAACACCTCTCCAGGAATCTATCACTTTAACACTAAGCCCAAGTTCTCCATTCAGAACTCCGGGTGATTACAGGTTTTGGTAACCAGAAGTAATCAGAAATGCCCTGCTTCTTAATGTCTACAACAGATGATGAAGAGATTGTTAAAGATCTGAGTGTGCAAAAATCCAACACTGACAAGATTTTCAAGGCAGACGTTAGTGAGTTGAGGATGAAATGTCTCCGGGGCACTAAGATGTAAGGCATGCACCGCTCTATAATGACAGAGGAACAAAGAAATATGGGCATGTCATTCACATTGCTAGGAAAAAAAAATTGTGACAGGCCAGACTAAGAAACCAATTGTAAAAGTGCTTGACGCAGACATGGTGATGGGGGAGGATGATCAGAACAGTTATCACAAAATGCTATGGCACAGTGATGCTCGGATATACCGTTGGTGGACTCGGCAGCTGCGGCAGTGGTCCCTGCATCCGGAGGGAGGGTGCTGGCTGCTAAACCTAGAGGAGGGGGTGGGGTATTTTCTGATTCACCTACACAGCAAAAAATCAGAGCAAAGAGAGGTAAAAGAAAAAAGTCCCAATTTCTTGTTGCTTCTTAGTTTCTAATTAGGAAATTAGAAAAAGTAACTGAAATGGGTTGTTGACTTTTCAAAAAAGAAAAAATAAAGTATATTTACTGCCCAAAGGTGAAAAGCACAATACAGCAAAGTCAAGAACTGTCCTGTAAACACAAATCCATTTGCTCTCAGATAGAGCTAGTACACACCTCCTGCATAATAGAATGCTAAGATCGCTGAAATGTAGTGAGACACTGAAAAGAAGGAAAAGCCATCCAGAGACTAGTAACAATCCATATATTAAATTACACATTTGAAAATTTAAAGATGAGTTTGAACTGGTAATGAAATAAGTCACCTTGAAACAAAGTCGAAAAAGCAACAAAAATTTAAAATGCAGCAGGAAATAGTCCAGCCCTTTTTGGAGGATAACTGCCACTGTGCTTTTCCTGATCGCATCTGGACCAGTGACAGAGCCTCCTGCCGTTTCCCTCCCCTGAAGTCAGAACAACCCTGGGCTTGCCAGCTGGGCCCAGCTCACTGGGCTCTGCGTTCAAAGTCTTCTCTTTTGCTCTCCCTCAAAACCCAGTTTTTGTGTCAACTGCTGTTTGCTATCAAGAAGAATGCACAGATCCCCTTCATAACAAATGCATGCGTAGGAATCTTGGCAGTTTTAAACATCACATCTGAAAGTGGTGCCTCTGAAAAGCTGTGCAAAGCATCCCCCAGATCCTGGAGACACCCAGTGGTGCCCATAATCCCCTGCCTGCTCCATTATTTCCCACCCAGGACCTGAAATACAGGGGCAACCCTACACTCACCATCATGTCCTCCGGGTCCAATGGCCAGTGGTGCTCCCCACGAATACTTCTTTTTCAGCTCCAGCTGCTGTGTGCGCTCCAGGGACCGGCGCATCATCGCCTCCAGCCGTTCCTACACAGTTCGTGTAAGGCAAGTGTTAACAAGATTAACTACCCAGCCCCACCACACTACCTGCTGCCTCAGTGCACAGTGTGAGTCACCAAATGGGGCTTTCTGTGCTCAGCATCCAAAACCCAGGCATACGTGCTCTCTCTGCCACACCAGCGTGTTCTGAGTAGGTGGAGAGTAAACAATGCGGCTAGGCTAGCACTGGCTCTCAACCTAAACACCGTGTGTCCTGTCCCCTCCCCTCCCTGGGGAGAAGCTGCCCTAGGAATAATGCCCAATAAGCATTAACTCCTTGAGGCCTATCTCAAGGCATTTTGCCCTAACCAGGAGAGCTGGAATTCTGCTCCAGAACCAAGAGCATCCTTTCTAGTTAAAAGCATAAAACATTTTGCTTTGAGAAAATTTTAATGCAAATATAATTTGAGTTTTTGGGGTGATACATGACACTGAGATCTATTTTGCAAAGCTGCATTTTCATCTTAGAACTTCTTAAAGGGGAACCAACTGTTTTACATAGTGTGACGCTTTTCTGCTATATAGTAATCTGGGATAATATTGCATATTTCAAAATTTTCAAGAGGCAAGAGTAAAGAACCTTCTGGCCACAAAAAAAAAAGCATCCATGCGTTCCCAGAGTTACTTAGGTGGAGGAGGCAGGGAGGCAGAACCCAGTAATTTTTAACCAGAAGAGAAAAACAACCATTAGGCTTCGGCTTCTCTCGTAACAGTATTTATCAAAAACACTCTCCTGTATTACCCAAATTGTTACTTTCATAAAGTTGTCCTTGCTGCTGCAGTGAAGGTGCTCTAATTCTGCACTCCCCACCACCTCCGTGACACTGCAAATACCAACTCCTCTCCCTATCTCCACTGGAGAAGGCCTGAGCTAGCAGTTATAATGACACCCTTTTGCCCTCATAAAACCCAACCCCGAGGTGCTCCAGGAACTGGGCTAATCATAGCCCATTCTAAAACAAAAAGATACAATTGTCATGGCTTAAAAAAATACACACAGAAGCAAAATTAATTTAGGACATCATCAACTGAGTAACCATGACTTAAAGATCAGGAAAGGCTCCTTTATGTCACACTTACTAGAAACATATAAAGGTCACTTAATAGGTATCTGGATTTATCCCTTCTGTCTATACCAGAGGGATGAGATGAGGATCTGGCTTCTCCACATCTCAGCCTCCTCTACATAATTTTTCTCTGAATAGCACTTTGCTAAGAGACTGCCTCTCCAGGGACCTGTAAGCAGAAAGGGGGATTTTTACCTCCTGTAACTCTTAGATTTGTATTAGCTATTAACTGTGCTCTTGTATTTGGCCTGAGACTCTACAATCGTGAGTATGCATGCCTTGGCAGAGTCCAGTCCTCACGACCCTGGCCCATTAAACGATGATGGCCAACTCTGGCAGTCTGCCTGATAAAAGCTGGGGCTTGGAAGGAAGAGAACTTCTCTGCCATGTGATGCCTGAAGTACAGCCACTCGAGATTGGGGCTGAATAGTATTTCATTATACGGTTTAACGTAAAGTATTTAACCAATGACCTAACTGAAGTGTTGAAACCTTTCATCCTAGAGTGAATTAAGTATTGGGTGGGTTACGGTAGATTTCCTACATGCCAGAAGGACCTCACAAAGTGGTCCCTTCTCTACTAGGGGACCAATGAAAAGAAAGAATAGTGAGCTTCACTGAACCAGCCTGACCACTGATCAGCTATCTGGGGGGCACCCTTGTAAGGGAATGAGTGCTCACTGAAAGCCAGACCTGCCCCTGGACTTTTCAATGGCCTCTAGAAAAACTACCCCTGCCATCCATCCCCAGTCCACTGAGCTGCTCCAAATCCCACCACTGGAGATTCATTCCTTCAGACCTTGAGGAGGCCGATGAAAACACAGTTGTCCCTGAGAGAAAGACACACTCACTTTGTATCACCCACTTTTGGAGAGATGATGAGAAATAGATGATAAGCAAGTTCTAAGAGAAGAGGATTTATGGAACCCCAAAAAGTCAGAATGGGGTGATTCATACATATAGAAAACAAAACTTGTCCAGTGCACAAGTCTTATTTAAGGTTAGTCCTGAATAGGTCAGTATTGCCTCGTGTTTGTGTGTACCTTTTTGTTCCTTCATATGACGAAACAGAAAGGATCTCAGATTTGGAATCAGGAGGTAAGGATTCAAATCCCACCTCTGCCTGACACTTTTTATCCCTGTGACCTTGAGCTAACATTGCAGTCCTGGGCTTCAGTTTCCTTGCCTATAAAATGGGGATGAGCTTACCTACATCACCAGATCACTCTAAGTCTATTTGATAATGACTAGTATGCAGTAAGTCCTTAACCAAAGCTAAGTGAATCTGAATTTAAAGAGGAAGATTCTTATCAGGACCATTTAGAGCAATAGTTCTCAAATCTGAGAGATCAGGTAGGAGAATCCCCTGGAGGAATTATTAAAATCCTGGGGTTTATCCCCAGAGTTTCTGAGTCAATAGGTCTGGGGTGGAGCCTGCTGAGAATCTGCATTTCTAACAAGTTCCCAGGTGCTGCTGGTCATGGGACCCCCAAGCAAGAGCCACTGGTTAGAGGAAAGGCTGAGCAACAGAAAGTGAGCATGAGAAAGTTCCATCACATTAGAAAAACAGTATTAATAAATATCAGAACTGCATACTGCAATTCCTGCCAAGTTCTGGTTCTCCTGAGTATCATCTGATGATCAACAGAGGATGGGGAAAGGGCAAGGCAAATCCTCGTCCCTAGAATCTCCTCTATTAGGTAGGGCTTAGTGGAAGGGTGGAAGGAAGGAAGGAAGGAAGGAAGGAAGGAAGGAAGGGTGGAAGGAAGGAAGGAAGGAAGGAAGGAAGGAAAGATAGGAAGGAAGAAAGACAGGAAGGAAGAAAGGATAGATAGGAAGGAAGGAAGGAAAGAAGGAAGGAAAAAAAGAAGGAAGGAAAGAGAGGAAGGAAGGAAAGATAGAAAGGAAGGAAAGGGAGATAAGGAAGGAAAGAAGGAAGGAGCGAGCCTCACACTTGATGCCTTGAGGTCTGGCTTTAGATCTGTCTGGATGAACTTGGAGAATCACGACCAAGGTGACCCCGCTGAACTGGCTGAACAGTATTAAAGGTTGCCAGCAGGGCACATTCCAGACACTGTTACTCAGACAGCAGTCTCTGGCAGGAATGGGTGGTAGGGGGTGGCTGTGCCTTTTCAACTGCCATTATATGTGTTCTTTTTTTTTTTTTTGAGACAGAGTCTTGCTTTGTCACCTAGGCTGGAGTGCAGTGGTGCGATCTCTGCTCACTGCAACCTCCACCTCCTAGGTTCAAGTGATTCTCTCACCTCAGCCTCCTAAGTAACTGGGATTACAGGTGAGCACCACCAAGTCTGTCTAATTTTTGTATTTTTAGTAGAGATGGGTTTTCACCATGTTGGCCAGGCTGGTCTTGAACTCCTGACCTCAGGTGATCCACCTGCCTTGGCTCCCCAAAGTGCTGGGATTACAGGCATAAGCCACCATGCCCGGCCCATTACATGTGTTCTGGGGATGACACTGCAGGGACACACCCCCAGCGGTCCTCAGCAGGGATGTGTGCAGAAAAGAAAGAAAAGAAAAGAAAAGAAAAGAGAGAGAGAGAGAGAGAAAGAAAGAAAGAAAGAAAGAAAGAAAGAAAGAAAGAAAGAAAGAAAGAAAGAAAGAGAAAGAGGCCTTTCTCTTTTCTGTTTAGCATAAGGAACATGAAGTTGGCTTTTCCAAATCCAATTTTCCAGGGCCACTGGTCAGGAAGCTATACTGCCCTGAGAATGGGCTGGCATACTGTGTTGTCAGCCCTAACACAGGTGACAGGAACTTGTTCTGGTAGCTTGGTTCCTGGGAGCTGTGTGGCACGTGAAGGTTCTAAGAACTTAAGGAGTAGGTGGCCTCCAGCAAGAGAATGAGTTTAAGGTCAGGGTGTCAAGTGGACAGTAGAACCACCCCACCCCTCCCTGGGACCCCTCCCTGGGACAGGCCTGACTACTCTTAAGACCTCTGCCAACTCTTAAGACCTCTGAGAGACAGGCCATTGGTGGTACCCACTTCTGCCCTGGCACAGACATGAGGGGTTATCAAGAGTGACATCATGGCAACCATAGGGGTACAGAGCCAGGGCAGGGCTGGGGTGGGGTCAACAGGCCTCTCATGAGCTCCTAAGTATCAGACCCAGAGAGGCAGGATTTGGTGGGCAACAAACACTTTCCAACAGGCTAGAGAAGTAAAATGGCCTGCATAGGATGAATGATCTTCCTGCAGAGGCTTTTCTCTGGCTGACAGAGACAGAACATGACCAAAAAAAAAAAAAAAAAAAAAAAGACTTCAATCTGACACTGAGAAGAGAATGGAGAACATCCACAGCCAGGCACTGAGCAGGCTGCAGCCCTCCCAGAGCTCCCCTTGAATCATAGGGGCCAGTGCAGAGGGTTTCCTTTGAAGAGGGGCTTCCGTAATGCAGGCTGATCCCTTCTCCCTAAATGTCACCCACGAGAATGCCAAAAAGGCCTCTGTGCCAGCAGAGCACCGACCCAATGTAGCTAACAAGCCAGCCTGTGTGTGGCAAGTCCCTAAGCTACACCTGGGTCCCCTGGGACCCTGAGGGCAGGAGCAGGTGGCAGAAGGAGGCTGCTGTTTCCTTGGGTTGCTACACAACCACAGGAGGCCCAGCCCTCAGCCCTGCCCTGCTGTGCCCAGGGAGAAGAGGGAACCAAGCTCAGCTTGGGCTGACAAGGGTCGGTCGGGCAGCCTCCTGCTTCCCTCCACCACATTAGGGGTGCAAGGAAGCACACAAATAGAAAATTACCCAGAAGGGAAACCACAAAAGATTCAGCTGCATCAGGACCAACCATATGGCATAAAACTCCCTCACCTCCAAGAAGGGGGAGCTGTTCTACTTAATTTAACATGCCTCCAGCACTAATGTTCTGTAGAGAAAAATTATAAACAGAAATTGCCTCAAAAGCAGCCCCCAGTGACAATGCATATGTCAGAGCATGGGAAGTGTCTTATGTGACTTCACAGTACCCCTTCCTGGAAGCAGCAGTGACAAGCTTTCAAAATGGAGAGATCATGGAAGAAGAGGACAAGCTCTAAGTCATCAAGGAATGGAGGATGGGAAGAAAATGGGTGAGTCCAGCAACTCTTAACACAGAAGTTAGGAAAGGAGAAATCTGTCCCAAGTTACCAAAACAGCCTATTATACTGTGGCTTTTTCCCATCTACTGACTCTGTTTCATAAGCTTTTGTGGGTAGCACCCTCTTGACCTTGCTTTAGCCAAGCTCAGCTGAAGTAACTAAACAGAATGTAACATTCCTGAACGATTACTCTGTGCTAGGTGCTTTGCTGGGCACTTTTACAAAAGTCACCTCTTTTAATTCCTGTAACTACCTCTGTTTTGGGCTAAGGAGACAGAGTTAGAGGGGCATGTGACTTGCCCCTGGCCACCAGCTGCTCAGTGGTAGAGCTGGCATTGGAGCTGACATTTGAACTGGGAGCAGATGAAGGCACAGCAATCAGACTGCAGCCAATAACGGTGAACCATAGCTAAGACACTGGCTTAGACCTCATTTTCTAAGAGGAGGAAAGAAATCACCATGAAAGGGTGCTTCTTGGGCAAAGATGGGTCTGACTATGTGTGTGTTTTCGTATGTGTTCTTTAAAAAAAAAAGAAGGAAGGGGTAAATATATATAGTGATAAGCAACTGTTCAGAGATTTTAAAAAATACTGAATTTGTACAAACATCTTCATATCCTATAGGGTTGGAGATTACCAAACCTCTATATTGTTCATACTAAAAGATGAATCATTATACCTTATGAATAAAAAATTATCATCAACTGACATAAGGTTTTTATTACCTCCTAAAAATATAATCGTGAAGAAAATCTATAATCCAAATATGCTTTCTAAATATATTTTCAAAATTTAGTAATAAAGAACTCTGTAGGGGTAATTATGTGCCATTTCTTTTTTAAAAGGTAACTGGAAAGAGCAATTAAAGCGAAGAACTACATTAAACTTTAAATATATTAGCATCTTGGTATTTGAGGGTAGACTAATTTGCCAGTAGCAACTGACAGGATCACATTGTTCTCAACCTCACAAGCTCTTGTTCTGGCCTTGTGCCTGCCCTGGAGGCATGAACTCCCATCTGTAATCCTCAGATTCACCTCACCCAGCCGCTACCCACAATCTCCTCTGAGTCTTTTTTTTTTTCCCCTATCTACTAGACCACCAGGGACCCTTTGAGTCTTAGAGTCAGAAAAGGTTATGACTAAAAGAGGCATTGGAGACTGCCAAATCCAACCCTCACTTCACAGACACACAAATCAAGGCCCAGAGAAGCCAACCAGTTTGCCCAAGATCACACAGCAAATTAACACCTGAGTTGAATGGATAAGTCTCTGCGGTTCTATGTCAGTGCTGCTTCGAGTTTCATGTCATGTTGCTGAAAGAAGGCATGGGAGCCACCAAGGAGAAGGTGCACGGCAGGTCTCTCTCCTACCCCAGAGCTGGGCAGGATGCCCAGGCACTCTGAGCAGCCTGCTGAGGGGGCTGGAAGGTGGCGGAGGGTGCACCTGGGCCTTACCTCCTCCTCCCGGAGCTTCTGTTTCCTTTTCTCTTCCACAGCAGCTCTCTTTTGGTCCTCCCGCTGCCGCTGCTCTTCCAGTTTTCGCCATCGCTCCTCCATTTGCTTTTCGTACTGCAGCCTGGCTCTTTTCTGTTTCTCCAGGATCTGTTGCTCCCGAGCAGCTGGGGAAGGAAAGTAGAAGAGAGGTGTCATTACCAGAGCATCCCATGCAGTTTGGATTAAGACCAAAAACAAGGAAGCAAGAGCAGAGCCCTAAAAAGAGCCTGGTAGGATCCTAGCATGCAGTGATTGAGATAAAGGGTTCTGGTACCTCTGCCACTAGCTGGGTAACCCTAAGCATGTTAGCTAGATCATCTCTCTGCCTCGGTTTCCTCCTCTACGATGTGGGGACAGTCATGTTTGCCACATCACAGTGTTGTTAAGATTGAACAAGATGATGACCGTGAAGTTCACAGTAAGTGCCTCCCCACGTGGGAGCTATGACTATGACGGCTGTCATTAAGTCAAACTTGTGCATAATGGCTAAACTATATGCTAGGTTGAGCAATGATGCTTATAAGGCTATGTTCATTCAAAAGCAGTTTAACTGTGTGTGCACCAAGCACCAGACACTGAGCTAAGTCAGGGGGTAAAACACACGAACAAAATTTGCCTTACCCTCAAGGCATTTACTAAGGGGCCCTTAATTCCACCTAGCCAAGGCAGGGAAGGGTTCCCTGGAGGAGGCAATGCTTGTACCGACCAGCAGGAGGCAGTGAAGAAGAGAAGAACCTGAAAGCTCCTCATTTGTCTCAATGCAATGGGGAAACGCTATCTCCCTCAGCATCCTGTGAAGAACACTCTGCACTAATCTGTCTACAGCCTGCAAGAGGCAAGACGGCCTTTCTCAACCAGGGCTCTCTGTCCTAAAATATAAAATGACTCAAGTGCTGATTTTCTCAGTTCTCCTGAGGATGGCCCTTTTAGATTCCCAAGAGAGAACCTGAGGGAGTGTACACAGTTGACACTTGAAGGTGTTAGGACTTCCTTAGATCAGGGGCAGCGACTGTTTCTCTTTCTTCAATATCGTAACTGCAGACCCTAACACAGTGGCTAGAACACAGCAGAGGTTCAATGTTTGCCGAGTGAACTATTCTGAAAATTACCTATTTGTGAACATGCCAGTTGCAGTGTAGGTTCACGCCTGATTCTTCATGTTCATCTAGCAACTGTCCTAGTTCCCATTCATTCACAAATTTCTAAGAATCTTCAGAAAAGACACCACCATATCTCCACTCCCTTGGACCAAAATAGCCAAAGTGCATAACTTACCCAGACATTTTTCTCTTTCTTCTCGTCTTTCTTTGGCCAATCTCTGCCTCTCATCTGATTTCAAAAATCCCTCCATGCCTACAAAGGAGAAAACTAGATTATGTTTCAGTTCTTCACTCTTTCCCTATCTGCTAAGTACTATAGGCAACTGGGCATGGCACCCGAGTCTGACTGCACGTGCACATCATCCATCTCCATCACTTCAACCAAAGGAAGTCCAATCTGTCACTCTCCATGACACACACAGCTGAGGGGCAGCAGCTACCACTTTCGCATGCACCTGCCAAGCTGTCCTGTAGTTGGGCCAACATCAGCCCCAGAGGACAAAGCCCCTTCCTTAATCCTTTGCCCCCAGGCAGACAAGGGGTCAGAAAGTACAGTAAGTGACAGACGGGCCTGGCAGTGTGCAGAGAAGCCCACTAGGCCTCGTCTAGTCAGGCTCCCAAGCCTGAAGCAGGACCACCTGGGGGAGAGGAGAAGCACAAAAATGGACAAAATTTTGAATACTGCTCATTACACAGACACTGAACATTTTACTTTTTTTTTTTTTTTTTTTTGAGACAGAGTCTCACTCTGTCGCCTGGGCTGGAATGCGGTGGCGCGACCTTGGCTCACTGCAACCTCTGCCTCCCAGGTTCAAGCGATTCTCCTGCCTCAGCCTCTCGAGTAGCTGGGATTACAGGTGCGTGCAACCACGCATGGCTAATTTTTGTATTTTTAGTAGAGATGGGGTTTCATCATGTTGGCCAGGCTAGTCTCAAACTCCTGACCTCAGATGATTCGCCCACCTTGGCCTCCCAAAGTGCTGGGATTACAGGTGTGAGCCACCATGCCCGGCCTACTTTCTGAAAGGAGCCAACGTATGAGCTCCTTGGGTGAGCACTATGAAAGACAACACTCAAGTTCAATTTTGGTTCTGCCAAGTTTGTGCCAATGTCAATCTTAGTATCTTAGAATCATCCAAATATCTACAACAAATAAGATGGAACAAATGACAACTTCCCCGAAAATGTCTGAGAAATATCCCTGGAGCTTTTCATCTCCAACCAACCCCTGCAGAACCCTAAAGGGCTTTCTAAACAAAAGATTAAATGGATCTTCATGATCATTTTAGGATTACAAATAATTTACTGCACTCTGTTACAACTGGACCCAGTATATTATGTATATAATATTTAAGCACACCATTCTTTTTTTTTTTTTTTTGAGACGGAGTCTCGCTCTGTCGCCCAGGCCGGACTGCGGACTGCAGTGGTGCAATCTCGGCTCACTGCAAGCTCCGCTTCCCGGGTTCACGCCATTCTCCTGCCTCAGCCTCCCGAGTAGCTGGGACTACAGGCGCCCGCCACCGCGCCCGGCTAATTTTTTGTATTTTTAGTAGAGACGGGGTTTCACCTTGTTAGCCAGGATGGTCTCGATCTCCTGACCTCATGATCCACCCGCCTCGGCCTCCCAAAGAAGCACACCATTCTTTAGAAGTCAGCTTTCATGTTAATATAACCAGGTTCACTTCCCCAGCATCTGTGCCTTCCTCTCTGGGAGCATCACAAGTTGGCATCATAGTGTGCCTTGCTGCCACAGCAACCTGTGCTTCTTCTAAGGAGGTTCCTGCTGCTGTCCAGGAGGGAGGCCTGAAGGCCTGGCCCACAGTGTAGGCAGTGGGAATGAGGAAGGGGGATGGCGTGACAAACACTGGATTGTCATGATTCCCCACATACATCTGGTTTTGCAGCCTAGATTAAATATCAGGGATATTAAAATGAGATAAGTACTAGAAAAATCCAAGTGCCATTCTTCATTTTGTTTTTGGTCATCTCTTAATCATTATGACACTATCAACAATATGAACGTCATCAAAAATTTAAAGGCCAACTCCTCAGCTCATTCCAGCCACCCCGCAATCTGACTCCAAACTCTTTTCCCAACTTTACCTCAGCACTGCCCTTTCTCCCATGCACCTTCTAGCTCATGCCATCCTTTATTCTACCCTGCTCCATCTGTTTAAACCCTGCCCATCTTCAAGACCCCCACTGTCCCCCAGCCCTATGATGCTCTGTGCTCCCACATGGTTTGAGGACTCTTATTCTGCTCTCTCTGTAACTCAGTCTCCCCTGGTGTGTTCCAGAGCCATGTGTGGCTGATGCAACTCTGGGTCTATACAGCTCCGGCCACTGTCCCCTTACATGGTGGCACCAATGCATGCACACAATGCTCAGAGGCAGGTGTGAAGTTAGTGGAAGGGGAACAAGCATAGAAAATCAAGTTTCTTTTTTCTCTAAACACAGTCAGGTTCTAGTGTCTACCTCAAGAGTCTGATTAATAAGAATTAGTTCTGTGTGAAAAGTTACAAAGAAAAGCCTAGGACGCCTAGACAGACGCTCTCATTGGCACCTACACAAACTCACCCACCCAGGCAGGGCCTGAACCTAGCTCTGTACTGCCCATGCTGCCCTCTAGGTGTTCATGGGCCTGCTCCGTATCTAAAGTAAGCCTGAAAATGGCTGAAAGCGCTCTTCAAACAGAGGGAAAAAAGAAAAACAGAGAAGAAAAAGGGCCAAACACACTTGAAACTGCCCACATTACCTTGAGGCTTTACAGAGGCTGCTTGTTCCACAGACATGCATGATTTTAGGCTGCCCTCTCATGGACACACATGAGAGTCACACCTTCAAATCATCTTTCCAGAAAATCTTTATTATCATGCTCACAGTCATCATCACCAGCATCATCATAATAAGAGGTAATAACTGAGCAGTTCCCAAGGACAAAGTGCACTGCTCAGACTTTCTCAGCCCAACCACCCTATGATGACAGAGGTGCTGTGATGATCCTTGTCTTACAGGTGTAGAAACAGAGGCACTTGAAGCCAGATTCCAATGCAAGAAACTGGCTTCAGGACCCACTTTAAAAACCATTAAATTTTTTTTTCCTAATCTCTCACATCTGGCGGAAAGGACCCACATTCTCAGTTACCGCTTTTCTGTGCTGCTTCCCTGGCACGGGAAGAAATGTAACACCTTAGTCTTAGTGCTGTAACGAAGTGATGCATGCAGGGAACAAATCTTAACCTGGCCCCAAGAATGAGCTTGCAAATCTAAAGAGAAGTCAAGTGTGACTCATTAGAGCAGTATGAAGTAAGCAGTACTGTGAGCCAAGCGCTGGCCCAGCTGGACACAGATGTGGCTCCTGTCCAGGCAGGCTAATTAGCAGCTTCCTCCTCACACTAGTGGTTTGAAAATGTTTGCTCAGCAATGTTTTAGGGCTGATGCTGGGTGGGGAAGGGGTTACAGAGGACCCTGGGGGAAGCTGTAAGGCCTCTCCTTGCTCATGCCACAATGCATGGCCGTCTCTTTCTTTTTTAAATTCAGTTTTATCCCACTGAAAGGGGTGGAGTGACTCAAACAGCCCAACATGGGCAATGTGGAATCTCTGTGTTCATTTGGTAGCCATGAGCTATACATGGCTATTTAAATTTCATATCAAAATTAAGTACAGTTACAGTTCAGTTCTTTAGTCACACTGGGCACACTTTAGGCGCTTAATAGCCACATGTGGCTGGCGGTTACCACCCTGCAGTGAGAAGCCTGGCAGCTCCCTCCTGTGATTCTCTCTCTGCACGTCTAGCTGCTCTGGGGCACATGTGGATAAGGAAGTCTGAGTTCAGTCGGGATTGAGATTTACTGGATGAGTAAAGCTTCTTCCACACAGCATCTGCTTCTTCTGCTTAATTGTTGAGCAAACATTTTGAGAATATCCATTCCAAGAGAAGCCAAATTAACTCATCTCCAGCTTCCACCTTCTGACTCTACATGTTTCTCCCAAAGGCTGTCAAAAAGCCCTTGAGCTCATTCCGAGGTAAGGAGGGCTGGAGCACAAACCATGGCCTCTAACAAATAAACCAGTTATTACCAAAACACAGCCAGATTTAAACCAGAGGAATTGAGGTAGATTACTGTGAACACTAACACCAGGAGATGCCCTCTAAAGACACAGTGTATCCAAGAAGTAATGCTTGATATGGTTTGGCTCTGTGTCCCCACCCAAATCTCATCTTGAATTGTACTCCCATAATTCCCAGGTGTTGTGGGAGGGAACTGGTGGGAGATAATTTCAATCATGGGGGCAGTATTCCCCATACTGTTCTCATGGTAGTGAATAAGTCTCACGAGATCTGATGATTTTATTTCTGCGTTTGCATCTTCCTCATTTTCTCTTGCCGCTGCCATGTAAGAAATGCCTTTCGCCTCCCTCCATGATTCTGAGGCCTCCCCAGCCATTTGGAACTCTAAGTCCAATTAAACCTCCTTTTCTTCCCAGTCTTGGATATGTCTTTATCAGCAGTGTGAAAATAGACTAATACAGTGCTGAATTCAGTTCCAAAAGAAAGTCTTTATGTATGGCCTGAAATCCTAAAATGTCTAACTTTCCTACCCAATCATCCTTTGTCCATGTGCCCTATTTGTGTGCATTTATCATCTTTTTTTTATCTTTTTGAGACAGGATATCACTCTGTTGGTTGCCCAAACTGGAGTACAGTGGCACGATCATTGCTCACTGCAGCCTCCAACTCTTGGGCTTAAGTGATCCTCCCACCTCAGCCTCCCACGTAGCTGGAACCACAGGTATGTGCCACCATGCCTGGCTAATTTTTTTATTTTTCAGTAGAGACAAGGTCTCCCTATGTTGCCCAGGCTGATGTTGGAACTCCTAGGCTAAAGCAATCTTCCTGCCTCAGCCTCCTAAAGTGCTGAGATTACAGGCATGAGCCACAGTCTATGGCCATCTCTTTCTTTTTTTAAAACCAGGGACCCAGTTTTACCTTTGAACTCCATAAGAACTTATGGAGAACAGATCCATGCCTACATGCTTGCCAGGGGTTGAGAGGGTAGGGGTGGGAGGGAAGTGGATGTCTATAAAAGGCATCATGAAATGTACTCTGTCTTGATTGTATCAGTGGTAACATTTTAGTTGTGATACTGTTCTATAGTTTTGTAGGATACTACCACTGGGGGAAACCAGGTAAAGGGTACATGGGCTCTCTCTGTAATTTTTTTTTTTTTTTTTTTGAGACAGGGTTTCACTCTGTCACCCAGGCTGGAGTGCAGTGGCACAATCAGCTCACTGCAGCCTCGAACTCCTGGGCCCAAGCAATCCTCTCACCTCAGCCTCCCATGTAGCTGGGACTACAGGCATGTGTCACCATGCTTGGCTTTTTCTTTTCTTTCTCTTTTTTCTTTTTGAGACGGAGTCTCGCTCTGTTGCCCAGGCTGGAGTGCAGTGGTGCGATCTTGGCTCACTGCAACCTCCGCCTCCCGGGCTCAAGCGATTGTCCTGCCTCAGCCTCCTGAGGAGCTGGGATTATAGGCATGCGCCACCACGCCTGGTTAACTTTTGTATTTTTAGTAGAGACGGGGTTTCACCATGTTGGTCAAGCTAGTCTCAAACTCCTGACCTCGTAATCTGCCCACCTCGGCCTCCCAAAGTGCTGGGATTAAAGGCATGAGCCACCGCGCCTGGCCTCGGCAATTTTTTTCTTATTTATTTATTTATTTATTTATTTATTTATTTATTTATTTGTAGAGATGCAGTCTCACTATGTTGCCCAGGCTGATCTTGAACTCCTGGCCTCAAGTGGTCCTCCTGCCTCAGCCTCCCAAAATGTTGGGATTACAGGCATTAGCCACTGCACCCAGCCTATAATATTTCTTATAGCTGCGTGTGGATTGACAATGACCTCAAAATACAAAAGTTTAATTATTTTTTAAAAAAATCTGGCCCAAATGTGAAGCCCTGGGAAGGACCTAAAGGGGATACCCTCTCAGAGATGCCCTACCCAGGAGAAGGACAAAGAGCACCCATGTCAGAGCCACCCCTTCCCCACTGTTGATGCAATAATGTTTCCCAGGGCAACAGCATCCAGGCAAACTTGCAACTCTGAAACAGAGGTCTTTTCCTGGGCAATTAATTCCTACAAAAAAATTGGAATAAAACAGGGATACTGAGCAGTCAAACAACTATCTTATGTTAACAGAAAAGCATAAAATCTCATACTTGACTGAGATCCTACTATCCCTGGGCTGCAGGAACACATTTTTAAAAACTAATTTTAAAATGAATTTTATTAGCTTGAAGTACTCTCCTATAGAATATTAATGACCTGATATTAGTCAATTATTCATGGTAAGAACCACTATCAAAATACAAAGTTTTAAAGGGAAGCCAGCTGTGTTCAACTTTGAAAAATTAATCACATTAAATGAATTTTAAAATAACCTTTCCGATCACACTCAGATTTGTGCAACTGCAATGTCCAGAAAAAAAGGGAAGGAGGAATGAAGAGCTCATCCAATAGGAAATACAATGAAGGGTCCTCACCTCCTCTGGGGAGCCATCCTGATCCCTTCAAGGGGTTGCCAGGCATCCTCTGCTCTGTGGACTCACAGGCACTGTTTCCCACCTTAATGGTCACTCTTGGTTGCACTGTGATGATCTGTTTAAGCATGTGGAGACCACCGCTTCTCAACTTTGGCTATACAATGGAATCACCTGGAGAGCTTTCAAAAATATAGATGCCTGGGTCTCCCTTCAGATTCTGATCTAGTCAGTCTTAGGTGTGGTTTAGGCACTGTTGCTTTAAAAGCCCCGCGTGTGATTCTAATGTGCATCCAGACCTGACAACTGTCCTAGCCCACTGCTCACCACACTTGAGCATGCATCAGAACCACCTGGAGGGCTTGTGAAAATGACTGCTGGACATCACCTCCAGAACTTCTGATGGAGTAAGTCTGGGGTGAGCCAGAGAATCTGCCTTTCTAACAAGCTTCCAGGTGAGGCTGACACTACTGGTCCAGGGCCCACACCTTGAGAACCAGTGTTCTAGATTATGGTGATTCTACAGGGCAGGGCCCTCCCTGTGGCTACTCTCTGTATGACAGAGCTCAGCAGAGTGAGCCCCAAAACAGTCTGCAGAAGGAATGACTGATCACCTGCCACATTCCTCCACAGTGTTTACCTTTGCCAAGGTTGTTACTGTCCTACATGCTACTGTCTAGGTCTGTTTGTTTTGTTTTGTTTTGTTTTGTTTTCCGTGGAGGTGGAAGGCAGGGGCAGGGGGACTGGGTCTTACTATGCTGCCCCTGGTTGATCTTTAACTCCTGGCCTCAAGCAATCCTCCTGCCTCAGCCTCTCCAGTCGCTGTGATTACAGGTGTGCACCACCCTGCCAGGCTTTGGGTCTTTTCATTTGACCCTTGTCCTCTAAACTCTTGTCTTATCTCTGAATCTCTGGCACCCTAAAGACTGGGAGGGACTCAAAAAGTTGCTGAATCAAAGGGCCACGAATATTATGTCCCATTGATGGAAACCTCCCAATTTGCAGAATATTTTAACCTCATACCAGAAGTGTCTATAAAAACAACCAACATTTTAAGGCATCTTTGTACCCATTTTTCTGCTAGAGTTGTGGGAGGAATACAAGGGTAAAGAAAGGAAGGCACTCCATGAGCTGCTCCCCATAGCCCCACCCCCAACACACACACAGATTAATCTTTCCATTGAATTCCATCAGTGCTCTGATTCTCACAGACCTTTTTCCTCTTTACTTCACATTCGGGTCCTTCCCTCTCTCATTCACCACCCTCAGGCACAGGAAACTCTACCCTCCCGATGCCCTCTCTCGCCAACCCTCCCTTTCCAGTCCATCCATCAGGATACAAGCTTCTTAAGGGCAGGGCTATGTTCCATTTCTTCTTGTAGCCCCCAAAGGGCCTAGCACAGTGTTTTGTGCACAGTAAGCACTCAAGAAATGTCAAGTTCATGAAGGGGAAGCAGTAACATATACTGAGCACCTCAGTTTTTGTTCTGTCTTGGCCTCCAGGGGATTGGAGGATCCCACCCACGTTGAGGGTGGATCTTCCCCCACCTAGTCCACTCAGACTCACACACCAATTTCCTCTGAAAACACTCTCACAGACACACACAAAAATAATGCTTTACCAGCTCTCTAGGTATTCCCCAATCCAGTCAAGTTGACACTAAAAATTAACCATCACACTGGATAAATATAATATGGCGTTATACATCCATACAATGAAATAATGTTCAGCCATAAAAAAGGAATGAAGGGGATGGGAGACATTGTGAAACACTACTAATGGGTTCAAGATTTCTTTTGGGAGTGATGAAAATGTGATGGTATTTTAGGCAGTGGTGACAGTTTCACAACATTGCGAATGTACAAAATGCCACCAGATTACACTTCAAAATGATTAATGTTATTATTAGTAAATTATATTGCAATAAAAGAATTTGTAGTGCTCCCCCCCACCCCAAAAAAAGCAAAATACCAAAAACCACATCAGGGAGTGTTCCACAACAAGGCTTAAAATCCAGAGCCTAGTTGATCTTATCTGCGGCCTTCTCCCAAATCTTCTAGGTTGCCTGTTTTTCCTTTTCATCCCAAATATCTAGATGATATATCTGGTTCCAAAGGCAAACCTATGTGGTACATGTGAGTATGTAAAAATCATATATATTTCTATAAAGTATCTTTGTCACACAATCCCAACAGCTTTGTTATTAATTATACTTTGTAAAACTGGGGAGCAAAAATAAATGTTAGCAAGTTGGAAGAAAAATGAGTGTTTATTTTTAAAAGGGGATGAAAAAAACTGCCAATAAATGATAAATGTGTTGTGATAAACAGCTGCTGTGATGGTTACATGAAATGTGTGGGAAGAACTTCCCGTATAATAAATGCTCATTAAATGTTGCTGGCCATTATTTTTAGAGGGGTTCTTTTCTTTTCTTTTTTTTTTTTTTTGAGATGGAGTCTCGCTCTGTCACCCAGGCTGGAGTGCAGTGGCACAATCTTGGCTTACTGCAAGCTCCACCTCCCAGGTTCACACCATTCTCCTGCCTCAGCCTCCTGAGTAGCTGGGACTACAGATGCCCGCCACCACGCCTGGCTAATTTTTTGTTTTAGTAGAGATGGGGTTTCACCGTGTTAGCCAGGATAGTCTCGATCTCCTGACCTCGTGATCCGCCTGCCTCAGCCTCCTAAAGTGCTGGGATTACAGGCGTGAGCCACTGCACCCGGCCCATTTCTTTAATCTAGAAAATAACCCACCGGCCGGGCGCGGTGGCTCACGCCTGTAATCCCAGCACTTTGAGAGGCCGAGGCGGGCGGATCACCTGAGGTCTGGAGTTCGAGACCAACCTGACCAACATGGAGAAACCCCATCTACTAAAAATAGAAAAATTAGCCGGGCATGGTGGCACATGCCTGTAATCCCAGCTACTTGGGAGGCTGAGGCAGGAGAATCACTTGAATCTGGGAGGCGGAGGCTGCGGTGAGCCATGACTGCGCCATTGCACTCCAGCCTGGGCAACGAGAGTGAAACTCCGTCTCAAAAAAAAAAAAAAAAGAAAGAAATGGAGACTTTAAAACATCAAGTGACCCACCCATCCAATGTCCTATTAAGTGGGAGGAGTCTAATTATCTCTCTGACTTTTAATCCAGTGTGATTTCTTCTGGACTCTGCTGCTCTCCTGGGAGAGAGGAGGTGGGGTCAGATTCAGATCAGTGAAAGGCAGGAGTTGGAAATTCCAGGCAAGGGTAATGATTTATGCAAAAATATGCTAGAAAATAATAAAGCCTGAAATCCAATTGAACTTTTCAATCTTGCAAGTGGAAACTGAAAATCAACTGACAGAATCTAGAACCTTTTTCATTATTGCATGAGGGTATATTGTTTTTGTTCGGAAAGCATCACATACTCCCGCCTCATATTTTTCATTTAAAACCTCAAAACCAATTACAATCCCATAAGGTCACTAAACTTCCCATTTAAATTTCTTTCAGTGTAGGGCTAAATCTCAATTCTCTCCATAACTCAGGATGAGTGCTTTAATACAATGGACTTTTGATGAAAACCAACAGCGAAATTGTGTAGCAACCTAATTTTTCTTCAAAATGAAATTCATAACCATTAAAGGCACTCTGAGAACATCAACAAAACAACCCTTAACAGTGTTAAAATGAGGCCAGGCGCGGTGGTTTACTCCTGTAATCCCGGCACTTTGGGAGGCTGAGACAGGTGAATCACCTGAGGTCAGGAGTTCAAGACAAGCCTGGCCAACATGGTGAAACCCCGTCACTACAAAAAAATACAAAAAATTAGCTGGGTGTGGTGGTGTGTGCCTGTAGTCCCTGCTACTCAGGAGGCTGAGGCAGGAGAATCACTTGAACCTGGGAGGTGGAGGTTACAGTGAGCCAAGATCGTGCCACTGCACTCTAGCCTGGGTGACAGAATGAGACTCCATCTCAAAACAAACAAACAAACAAACAAAAACAGTGTTAAAATGAAGGTTTAATCATACCAGCATACAATGTGCAAAAAAAGAAAACCCTAAAAAGTCAATTTAATGTATGATTGGCACTTTCAAAATCCCAAATCATGAAATTTCAGGTGGAACAGCTCTGAGGCCCCATTCAACCAGAGATGAGACTGCTCCATCTCTCTCTCCACCAGAAAGAGAACTCTGTCTTTATGTTCTTGGCTTTTTCCATTCTACCCATCCAATATGAATCAGTTATTGGGCTTTCATTACACAGATGGAGAATGTATGTGGGTAGATTTCCAGGACTGTGAGAAATGAATCAGTTTTCATTAATCGACACTGGAAAGGGGAAAAATATGCTGCATGGGGGTGGGGGATGGGGGGAATAAAAGAGAGAAGGAAGTGAAAGAGAGATGAGGGACTAGGAAGCCATGAGCCATGTTGGACTGTTTCTGGGGAGAGTTCTGACTAGGAATTGAGTGAGGGAAGGGTTTTGTGTGACTCTTGGAAGGTACAGTGTGTGGGTGTGTCAGTGTGTGTGTGCACAAATAATACTGGGAGCCAGAGGACGAGGCAAAAAGCTGCATATTAGGAATTCATCTTTTGACACTTTTCTAGTCTCCAGTAAATGTACAAATTGCTTTTAATCCCTTTTGACTACTGAATTCTATTTCTTCGACTATTACATGAAGTTCTGGTATTTATTTGGGATACTTATTTTGGAAACAAATACCTAGGCAGGAACTAACCTCAGGGGAATCATATGGTTACAAAGACCTATCAGTGGCCATTTATTCCATTTTCTATCTCTGACAAGAGCAGAACCAGGTGGTTTCAACTTAAATTTGTCTCTCAGGAAGATGCCATTTCTTGCAATAGCTTAATAACTCTTCCGAGCATTTTTTTGGGTGGGGGAGGGTTCTAATCCAATGATTCTCAAGCTTTCGTGTGCATCAGAATCCATTAGAGGGCTTATTAAAAACTGATTGCTGGGCTCTACCCCTAGAATTTCTGAGTTAGTAGGTCTGGGGTGGGGCCTGAGAATTTGTATTTCTAATAAATTCCCAGATGATGCTGATGCTGCTAGTCTAGGGACCACGCTCTGACAATGAATGATCTAATCCATTTCCTACCTGCTATAATTTTCTGAACTGGCTTAAATTTTCTCTTAAATGGTGATAATAAGTCACTATTATCACCCAATTCATTCCTTGCAACGTGCCCCTTTCAAAGATGTCATGATTCATACTTTTGAATGAGGCAAGTCTAGAACTAGGAATTAAGTTCAATAACTACTGACTACTAGGATGAAGGTATAGACATCCAAAAGGTATAGACAATTAAAAAATGTATACAGGCCGGGCGCAGTGGCTCATGCCTGTAATCCCAGCACTTTGGGAGGCTGAGGCGGGTGGATCACTTGAGGTCAGGAGTTCGAGACCAGCCCGGCCAACATGACAAAACCCCGTCTCTACTAAAAATACAAAAATTAGGCGTGGTGGCGTGCACCGTAATCCCAGCTACTTGGGAGGCTGAGGCAGGAGAATCTCTTGAACCCAGGAGGTGGAGGTTGCAGTGAGCCAAGATCACGCCACTGCACTCTAGCCTGGGCAACAAGAGCAAAACTTAGTCTCAAAAAAAAAAAAAAATTGTATACAGATGCCAAAAAGTCCTTGAAAAGAAAGAAGTGGAGAAATAGGGAACTACTTTAAGACTATATACAAATCTACGCCGTTAATAGATTTTTATAAAATATGCCCACTAAATTCCCATAGGTTTCCTTTTAAAACAGCTAACTGAATTACATTTTCCAGAAAAATGCAGACATGTAAGATTATTACTAAACAATTCAAATGATTCCTAAATGATTTTCTTAAATCACAATTGCACAGCTAAGAGAAGGGCCATTTTCCCCACCAAATGTAGAATTGGGCGAAGCCCAAACAATACAAAGTGCATAGTACTTTGACATCAAGGTCAAATAATAATAATGAGAATGGATCCCTCCCCTGACCCCCGACTCCAAAACTTGGCATGTAATCATCACCATTCTGCCACAAAATCCTCTACACACGGTTATCAGAAGAAGGTACAACAGGAGTTCTAGCCGCGCACAGTGACTCACGCCTGTAATCCCAGCACTTTGGGAGGCCGAGGTGGGCAGATCACCTGAGGTCAGGAGTTTGAGACCAGCCTGGCTAACATGGCAAAACCCCGTCTCTACTAAAAATATAAAAATTAGCCAGGTGTGGTGGCATAAACATAGTACCAGCTACTCGAGAGGCTGAGGCACGAGAATTGCTTGAACCTGGGAGGTGGAGGTTGCCGTGAGCCAAAGTTGCACCATTGCACTCCACCCTGGGCATCAGAATAAGACTCTGTCTAAAAAAACAACAACGACAACAACAAAAAAAACAGGAAAGTTCCGCAGGACCTGCTCTAAGCTTCCTCTTCTATAAAATGGAGATAAGAGTAGAACCTATCATAGAGTGAGAATTAAATGAGATATAGGCACTGCTTAACTGTATCCAGCACACAATAGGAGCTCAACAAATCCAGCTATTCTGCGTTGGCTATTCTAATGCACATGCTCCTATTTATTGTTCTCCACCTTCCACTATGGAGGGCCTCTGCACACACACCTGGAAACCTCAATCAGGCTACCTTTCCTAATGGGGGTGATAAGATAGAGTACATTACAACACTGCCAGTGTAAAACTAGGGCAAGGATTCTTTTCCAACAAAAATTATACTAGAAACATGTATATGTCCTCTTCATTTCTCATCTTCTGCAAAGAGTATATCAGTTACCAATCACTGTTTGTTTGCTTGTTTTTGTCTACACATGTAGACACACGCCCTTTATGGTAGAAATGAGAGATCCTGTCTTCAGCAAAATAAGTAATTTCTTATTTAAAAAGTACGTAGAGATGACATCTCACAAACACTAATTATGAAGGTGGTATATGATGATGTTATTCTATATTCATACACATGTACTCAGCCACCCCAGGAACTCCTGCGCCAGTAACTCAATCTGGTAAATAAGCTCCCCAGAACCAAAAGACAACATGCCAAGTTATAAAATTCAACAGTGCCTAGTTTTGAGGACTGTACACGTATTTGTGGGCTAGATTGTCTTTTTCTAAAAATATGAGTTCCTAAGCACCTACTTCTGGCCAGGCATTATTCTCTACAAATATTATTTAATGCTCACAATACTCCTAGGAGGTGGGAGGCACCCCCATTTTATAGATGAGGAAATTGAGACTCAGAGAGGTTAAGAAATCTGTCCAAAGTCACACAGCTATTAAGTAGCAAAGCATGAATTTGAGGCCAGTCTGGTTGACTCTCAATAATGAGAGGGCCTAAAGGGAAGGAGCACTGACAGAGAGACCTAGATATCTAGAAAATGGTAGCTATTCCTACTGGGAAGCACGAAGGATGATGCTAAGAAAGAGGAGTGGGCTCTGCCCAGCTCAGTTAAATCCCTGCTCAGCACACACTAAGTGTGACTTCTGGGGAAGCTTCTCAGCCTCACTTTTCTCAGCTGTTAAACAGCACCTGTGTTACAGAGTAATGTGGAGCTTAAGGAACAATATATGCAAAGCTCTTAGAACATATTAAATGCCTAATAAATATTAGCTAACAGTATTATCATCATTATTACTGGTTTAGATATGGCCCTGAAATGAGATATGTCCTGAGTATCCAGAAAGCATGAGTATTCCTTAATCTCATTACCTGACCACCACCATGTCTACTACCACAGTCTAGAACCAGCCCCTGACCCTCCCTGATCTTTAATCCTTGTTTTCACATCAGCAATGTCTTCAGCTTGCCCCAAGCCTCCAGTGGGGGACCCATTGGGTAGGCTAGGCCCCGAGAGTGTACATATTTGCCAAAACTCATCAAACAGTAGACTTAAAATTTGTGCATTGTAGTGTATGTAATTTATACCTATTTTCAAAGCTGTAACAACTACAGCAACAAACAGAAAAGGCAAAATTCAGTGCTGACCACCTGCCATATGTTGTTAGTGCCCAAAGCTATGAAGAATAACCCGGCAACTCCCAGGTAACCACATCTTCACTGTGGCCCTGTGAAGAAGTGGGGTGTATTTGGACTCCAAGGGCAGCATGGGAAATAGGAGGTATGCCTTCTGCCAGGGCCAGCATGGGAACTGAAGTCACCTGCAAAGGCCCAGGCAGTGGCTGAAGAGAAAGAGCATGGCAAAAAGGCCTAACCTTGCTGGTTACCAGAAGATAAGGAAATCTAAGAAGCTGGTTCGTTGGTCCTGAACTCTTCCTTGACAGCTGTTATCTTCCAGGGTAACTGTTAACCTGACTTTCTCATGCTTTTAACTGTCTCCAGTCTACATCAGATCCCAGCTACAAATGCCCCAAAGGCCTGGTTCTTTCTACAGCTACAGTAAAACTGCCTCAATTGGATTTTCTCCCCATTCATAGATAAAGCTCAGCCCCCTCGGCCCTGAGAGCTTCTTCTTGGCTCCATCCATGTGGCCTGCCCAACTGTATCCTAGTCAAGAGACTGGGTAAATTCCTTAACATCTCAGAGGTTTAAATTCCTCTTCTATAAAATAGGAACATTACTACCTACATCCCAAGGTTATGGGGTAGAGGCAAGACCTTTTGAAAATGCTTGGCATGCAGGAGTATTCACAGTTGGCTCCTTTCCCCTGATGATAGAAGAGAACACAGACAAAACAAGTTGGGGCAGATGACCACTGGGCCCCAAATCCTGGAATCATTTCAGTCTTCCCAAGAACCCCATAAAACTACTCCAGGAAACCCCCCACAACTTCCTAAGAGGTCACAGTTTTCATTCTAAGGCTTTCTCTGCCAAGCTGATAGTTTGCTTAGAAGCTAAGATGAGCAAACTCAAAGGTAGCGAAGGAAGACATAGTCTAGAAAAATTAAACTCAACTGATTATCTACCGGGCACCATGATATGAAAGCTTAGCTCCCACCCTGGATCCTCATCTGGGAGGCAGGAATTACCTAGCTTCCTGTGTTTCTACAATTATATGTAATTTCAAAATAAGCCAATATGCACAGCATATTCTATTCACAGCATGATTTGCTAGTTAAAAGAAACCTATACAGCTAAGCTCAGGGCTCCCTAAGGTAATACGGGTGACTCTATGCTGAGGTCTGTCCTCCCAGCCTTCTTCCCTGTGCGGTGGTTGCAAGATCATCTCTCCTCCACCTTCATGCTCTCCTTTCTGTGTAATTCTGTTCATCACAGTTTTTTGTGCATGCCTGTTCTTCAACAACAAGAATGTGGATTCTACCCACCCTATACAAGGTGATCCCAAAAAACCAACAAGCAAATGGGGCTAGAATGAGATAAGGCAGTAAACATGGACAGGGCAGCAAGGGTAGAGTTTTCTACCATGGACAGGGCATGTAGGTCTGGGCATCTGAACTTGGCCTCAGGTCCTTTAGAGATGGAGAGGCTCTGACATGCAGGGCTTTTGCGTGAGCTTCTGGAGTCTCACCTGATAAAGGGCTCCAATCATGCAGACAAAATGACCCTTGAAGAGCACCCCCACATCCCCCAGCAAGTACAGAGAGGGCAGCTGAGTACAGTGCCCTGGGAGCAGGGGCTCCAGAGCCAGGTAGCCTGGGTTCTAACCCCATGGAGATCGCGCCCACTCACTGGATCACTAGGAGCATTAATTGAGAGGGAAAGGATGCAAACAGGAGGAGGGAAAAGAGGGAACTGCTCAGTACACTATGCGCTACACAAGCACTGCTCAATAAATGTCAGGCATCATTATTCCTCAGCCTAACCCAGCCAGTATTTTCCTGTAATGGTGGGGCAGAGGCTGGCTTTCAGGTTACATATCAGGAGAAGCGGTTGCTCAATGAGGGTTGTGTCATGTGAAAATACAAGCTCCCAACTCACCAATCCAAGACAAGACTCAGAAAGGCTTTGAGCTTCTGGAAAGAGGGCCAAGACACGGGGATAAATGACTCTTGCTTAGAAGCTTGTTGCTTTTTCTCAGCAACAAAGCACAAGAAATGTACAAATATCTCTTTTAAACTGTGGACAGAACCCAGCAGGTAATGACTGGTAAAGAGAAATTACCTGTGGAGTTTCCAGTATTAGCAATGTCATTTGATTTCTATTCATGGTGATGTGTATGTGTGTTTAATAACATGAAAGTAAAAGATGTAAAAGAGTCTCATCCTTCCTATAGGGAGATAGCTAAAAAGAAAAAGAAAGAAAAAAGGATCCCAAAGGCTCACCAGAGACCTTTCCAGCCAATCTCCATGGCACTCCTGGCCCAGATGCCCATAAGGCCCCAGGTCCCTACCATAGGACAAGCTGCACTCTTGAGTATGAGCAAGCCAACTGCAAGCTCTTTGTCTCAAGCTGATTATATTGTCCTCATTCCTTGTTTCTGTTTCTGCACAATTACATGTATGTGGTTGTTTGGGGTCCCTCCAACCTCACTGTTACAGGGTTAACAGGACCCTTCAGACCCCTTCCCTGAGGACAGCCCCTTCTTCCTAGGCTGACAACTCTTCCTTGGCCATCTCACTGGGCATCAGATCTGATTTTTTTTTTTTTTTTGAGACAGAGTCTCACTCGGTCGCCTAGGCTGGAATGCAGTGGCACGATCCTAGCTCACTGTAACCTCTGCCTCCTGGGATCAAGGGATTCTTGTGCTTCAGCCTCCTGAGTAGCTGGGATTACAGGTGTGCACCACCACGCTCAGCTTTTTGTATTTTTAGTAGAGGCGAAGTTTCACCATGTTGGCCAGGCTGGTCTCAAACTTCTGACCTTAGGTGATCAGCCCGCCTCAGACTCCCAAAGTACTGGGATTACAGGCATAACCCACCGCGCCCGGCCCAGATCTGAGCTTTAATCACTGCTGAGCACAAACTACCCAATGTGAACTGCTTGCTCTCCTAGCCCTGCTATTCCAACTTAGCTCATGGCAATTCCAGCCCACAGAAGAGATGGTCCCAGTTACACCACTGAGTCCAGAGGCCACTGACAAGGCTACTGAAGAGCAATGCAAGTCATCAGGGTAGTGCTTAGGCCTGCTCCTACCACCAGCTGGCTTCCGTTTCAAGAAGATTCCTTAGTTTTAAAACAAAATGCAAAGGATAAATAAAGGGGCTAGGAAAAAAAATCACTCTTTTGGGCTGGGAGCAGTGGCTCATGCCTGTATTCCCAGTGCTTAGGAAGAAAGTGGGAGCATCGTTTGAGGCCAGGAGTTCAAGACCAGCCTGGGCAACATACCAAGACCCTGTCTCTACAAAAAATATTTTTTTAATTAGAGAGTAAAACTCTTGGTATTACAACAATTGGGAGACAGGTTAAAAATGATTTTGAAAGTTAGAACCCCTGTTCCATTTCCATTTGTCTCTGAAAAACATGCCCAGCAGAGTTACCCCCATCCTAGGCCTACAGATCTGTGCGTCTGGCATCCTCAGTCCAGCCACAACATAATTCTTAAACAAGGACAATCTTCAAGGGCACTTTGAGGCCTTGAGGAAACAGCTTCATGGCACAAATAGATTATTATTTTTGTATTTTTTTTGAGACGGAGTCTCGCACTGTTGTCGGGGCTGCAGTGCAATGGCGCGATCTCGGCTCACTGCAACCTCCGCCTCCTGGGTTCATGCCATTCTCCTGCCTCAGCCTCCCAAGTAGCTGGGATTACAGGTGCACACCACCACACCCGGCTAATGTTTTGTATTTTTAGTAGAGACGGGGTTTCATTATATTGACCAGACTGGTCTCGAACTCCTGACCTTGTGATCTGCCCACCTTGGCCTCCCAAAGTGCTGGGATTACAGGCGTGAGCCACTGCGCCCGGCCACAGATAGATTATTTTTAAACCACAAAAGCAGAGTACAATGTGTAACCGCATTCAACATTGTTCAGGGCAGTCTGGTTGGCCTTTTAAACAGCCTCGCAGTTATCTCTAGCTTGTCAATTAAATTTACCTCTATCTAACCCACCTCCAGCCTCTAACCGCATCCCTGCTAAAACCCTCTTTGGAAAACAAAAGAACCATGAATCTTAAAGTTCAATTTATTGCTGCCAGTAGTTAAAAGTTGATTTTGAAAATAGTAAAACTACAGATTATGATACAAAAGAAAAGGTAAACCGTGGAACTGAATATTTGGTTCTGGGAAAGATTTGTGAAAAGTAAAACAACGAGGCCTTCAGGGGAGAATTCCCAAGGTTTATGGACATGTACAAGCTTCTCTTTTGGCCATTCCACAGAAAAGGCCACTGCCATTCCAAAATAACACATAGGAAAAGTGCTTTTCCCATGTGCACTACAGGTATGCCTGAGTATGGATGGTACCTGGGCTGTTGTGGCTGTCACTATTTCTTTCCTTTTCATTTCAGGAACATAAAAATAAATGATATATGCATTTTCAAATCCTGTGTGTTGCCATTCATCTGTAAAAACGATCATCAAAGAACAGCAATATGCTGTTGCTATTTAAGCATGCTAGCACATCACAGCAATCGGGTTTTGGATTTACCACATTATTTTAAGTTAGCCAAACTGTCATACTTAAAGGTCAATACATACATTTCTATTATAGCTGACCGAAAACTAGTGCTTCAGATGACCACTGCCTTTAAAAATAGCAAGCTACACAATCCTTACATTCTAATACTGTGGTTCTCAACCAGGGGAGACTGTGTACCCCAGTGCTTGGCAAAGTCTGGAGATATTTTGAGACTCCAAAATATCTCCTGGGGAGGTGCTACTGGCATCTAGTGGGTACAGGTCAGGGATGCTGCTAAACATTCTACAGTGCACAGGACAACCCTCAGCCTCAAACAAGAATCATCCAGCCCTTGGCTCAGGCCTGTAATCCCAACACTTTGGGAGGCTGAGACGAGTGGATCACTTGAGGTCAGGGGTACGAGACCAGCCTGGCCAACATGGTGAAACTCTGTCTCTACCAAAAATACAAAAATTAGCCAGGTGTGGTGACACGCGCCTGTAATCCCAGCTACTCGGGAGTGTGAGGCAGGAGAATCACTTGAACCCGGGAGGCGGAGGTTCCAGTGAGCTGAGACCGCATCGCTGCACCCCCGCCTGGTCAACAGAGCAAGACTCACAAAAAAAAAAAAAAAAAGAATCATCCAGCCCCAAAAGTGAGTAGTGCCAAGGGTAAGGAAGCCTGCTGTAGTAAGCTACACTGCATGTGACGAATAAAAAAACCTTCTTCACAGTGTATACACCTTGGTTCATGCCACATCAATATACGGTAGTAATATAAAACCTCAGAAAACGATAAAGAAAATAAACACGATTCCCATTTGGGTGGCTTTGTTAAAAATGGTAGCAATAATAAAATAATTCTTCAATCGCAGAGAATTAGTAAACTTCTGATAGGTGTTTGACAGCATCAATGGGCATAATTTGTTCCCCTAGGTAGGACTGTACCCTCCCTCCCTTCCTTCCTGTTCCCTCCCTCCCTCCCTCTCTCTCTCTCTTTCTTTCTTTTTGAGACAGAGTCTCACTCTACTGCCCAGGCTGGAGTGCACTGGCACAATCTCGGCTCACTGCAACCTCCGCCTCCCTGGTTCAAGCAATTCTCCTGCCTCAGCCTATCGAGTAGCTGGGATTACAGGTGCGCACCACCACGCCCAGCTAATTTTTGAATTTTTAATAGAGATGGGGTTTTGACATGTTGGCCAGGCTGGTCTCGAACTCCTGACCTCAAGTGATCTATCTACCTGCCTCAGCCTCTCAAAGTGCTGGGATTACAGGTGTAAGCTACCACACCCGGCCAGTAGGGCTGTATCTAAACGCCTTATTAGTAGTGGTAAGGCTTTTAATTATTATGGAATAAACTGCACCAACCTTCCTTTCCCAGATGGCAGTACAGTGAAACCATGGTAGGAACCTGCAAGCGAGGCAAACACATTGAGCTGCCTCACAATCTGGAGTGGGAAGGCTTACTTGGCCAGGCAACCCTGCTCAACAGGCCACCCTGAGGAGGTCAAACACACGCCATCTGCCTTCATATGACCTATACAGGCCCTACCAGGCAAATAAGTCCCCTCCTAAGGACATTAGTATAAATTATACTCTTAGTCATAATCCCTGTTGGTGAAAACAATTCATATTGAGTCTTACAACAAATATCCTGCCTACTTACTGTGGGCACAGGAAAGAGGAGAAGAAGGATGGATGGAAACAGCTTTGATACTTGTAAAAACCCGTAAGTACTGAAAACTGGGTTTACCTGATTTGATCAGCACTAAAAGGAAGTCTGATGTATCTGATCAAAGTTCTTAAAAAAATACAGCATTTCCCTACAGGCACGTTTTTACCATAAAGAATCAGTAAAATGTAGGTTGCCTTACAACCACAGCCACTGTGGCCCTTTTTATAGTAACAAGGAAGGACGTCTGTGTTCCCAAGGTAACCCAACATTCCGCTCATCAATATGGCACTGAGTACTTTCATCGAGCACAGTATCCACCTTCTGAGGTTTCAAAATTGGAGTTCTCTGCTAAGGACAGGGCGTGATGGTTGTATGCACACAATACATAGCCAATATGGTCACTAAATGTAAGAAACAAAGATAAAGAGAAGGAACAGGGTAAAATGTTTTCTCAAGTTTTTTTCTTTTTTCTTTTTTTGTGACAAAGCCTCACTCTGCTGCCCAGGATGGAGTGCAGTGGTGCAATCTTGGCTCACTGCAACCTCCACCTCCCAGGTTCAAGTGATTCTCCTGCCTCAGCCTCCCAAGTAGCTGGGATTACAGGCATCCGCCAACATGCCCAGCTAATTTTTCTATTTTTAGTAGACATGGGGTTTCACCATGTTGGCCAGGCTGGTCTCGAACTCCTGACCTCAAGTGATCCACCTGCCTCAGCCTCCCAAAGTGCTGGGATTACAGGTGTGAGCCACCGTGCAGGCCTGCGCAGTTTTTTTCTAAGTGATCATTCAAGCTGGTAACAAGCCATTTCATCCAATTCACCCAAAGACCTTCATTGTATGCAAAGAGATGTCTGTGAGGAATATGCAAAAGCTAATAAAGGCATTTCAAATACAGGCAGGCCCTAAGGTGTGGCCGGTCCTTCTCAGAGCCGCCTTCTCACTGTCCTTTCCTTATCCTGTCCCTCACACTGCTGATGTCCATGTCCCGCACCCAATCCTGTCTTCCCAGCTGCTCCTGTCCCCTATCCCACACAGGTGGGTCCAGGGCTGGGCCCACGGGAACCCTGTCCTCCCATTTCAGCTACACGGTCCCATTTCAGCTACACGGTCCCATTTCAGCTACACGATAAATGAATAATCCAGATGAGAGGTGATTAGAATCTGAATGGAAAGGAAAGGATAATTCTAGTATGAAAAGGTAGACACTACACATATAGGCAACTGAATGGAGGTGGGGAGGAGAGAGTCAAAGGAGATCTGAAGTTTTCGGCCCAGGAAGCCAGGAGAACAGTGGTTGGCATCGTATGCGGAAATGTGCAGAAATAGGAAGCAGCCTCAGGAGACTTGGGGGAAAAGCCATAAGTTTAGTTGTTAAAGAATTTGGGAGGCATGGAAAATAGCTTAATAAGAGATTTCGACAACAGCCAGTTTAGAGAAATAATGATAATGAGGATAGCAATAATAATGATGATGATAATAATCAACATTGATCATGTCGGGCACAGTCCTAAATGCTGTTTTTTTGTTTTGTTTTGTTTTGTTTTTTTCTGAGACAGTCTCGCTCTGTTGCCCAGGCTGGAGTGCAGTGGCGCTATCTCAGCTCACTGCAACCTCCGCCTCCTGGGTTCAAGCAATTCTCCTGCCTCAGCCTCCCTAAATACTTTACATGTCTACACTTATTTGATTATCCTAACAAATCTATGCAGTAAGTACTATTATTGTACCCATTTTCCAGGTGGGGAAACTGAGACATTAAGACACTTTCCTGAGGTCACAGAACTGGTTAAGTGGCAGAGGTGCATTGCAAACTCAGGCAGTCTGACTCCAGAATAACACATTGGTGGGGGGAGTGACAGTTGCCTAGAGGTGAAAGGCAAGGCCTTGTCTTAAAGGCATGATTTACAAAGGAAAATATATTTCACTTCACAACAGAAACCTGTAACACATATGCTATAGTCTGGATAACTGACGTTGACATTTCATCCCCAAGATTGGTGGTAAAGCCAGGTGGGAGGAGTTTGGGTCATGAGGGTTTGGTGCTATGCTCGTGGTAATGAGAGTTCTTGCTCTGTTAGTTCCCATGAGAGTCCCTCCAGAGCTGGATGTAAAAAAGAGCCCAGCACATGCCTTTCCTCCCTCTCTCTTCCTCTATCTCTGCATGTGGTCTGTGCACATGCTAACTCCCCTTCCCCTTCCACCATGAGTGGAAGTAGCCTGAGGCCCTCACTAGAAGCAGATGCTTCTTGCAGTCTGCAGAATCATGAGCCAAATAAACCTCTTCTCTTTATAAATTACCCAGCCTCGGGCATTATTTTATAGCAACACAAACAGACTAAAACAACATATTCAACTCTGGGCTTCTAATTCATTTAAGGAAAGATTTTCAGAGCCTGTCTTGGCAATAAAACTTCACAAATCTAGCCTTATTTTCAGAAATTACAGTATTTCAGACACATGTGACTATTACTTAGTAAAATATTTAAAATCATTTTACCTCTCTGCTAACCATCATGGTCTAACACACAAGCAAATAGCAGGTCCAGGCTTAAAAACATGTCACAAGTCAACTGGGGAGTTTAAGAAGGTCAAAATTCTTTTAACTTATGGATCCAGCAACTAATTTCTTTTCTTTTTTTTTTTTTTTTTTTTTTTTTTTTTGAGACGGAGTCTCACACTGTCACTGGACTGGAGTGCAATGGCGCTATCTCGGGTCACTGCAACCTCTGCCTCCCAGGTTCACGCAATTCTCCTGCCTCAGCCTCCTGAATAGTTGGGATTACAGGTGCATACCATCACGTCCGGCTAATTTTTTTTTTTTTTTGTATTTTTTTGTAGAGACAGGGTTTTACCATGTTGGCCAGGCTGGCCTCGAACTTCTGACCTCAAGTGATCTGCCTGCATTGGCCTCCCAAAGTGCTGGGATTACAGGTGTGAGCTGTGCCCAGCCTCTGTTCACATCTGCACATTTTTGGGGTTACTTGCTGAGCTGCAAGATGTTTTTATTTGCTTATATTTTATTCACAAGAAGGTTGGTCAATAGTTTTCTTTTTTTTTTTTTTTGAGACGGAGTCTCGCTCTGTGTCCCAGGCTGGAGTGTGCCATGACATCATCATAGCTCACTGTCACCTGAAATTCCTGGGCTCAAGGGATCCTACTGGCTCAGCCTCCCTGGTAACTGGGACTACAGGTGTACCCCACCACACCCAGCTAATTTTCAGTTTTTTTTTTTTTTTTTTTTTTTTTTTTTTTTTTTTTGCAGAGACAGGGTCCTACCATCTTGCCCTGGCTGGTCTCAAACTCCCGGGCTCAAGCAATCCTCCCACCTCAGCCTCCCAAAGTGTTGGGATTACAGGTGTGAGTTACCACACCCAGCCTGGACACAGTTCTTTGTCTGACATTTTTATTGTGAATATTTTCTCCTCATCTTATTTGCCTTTTAATTTTAATGGTGTCTTTTGAAGAAAAGAAGATTTAATTTTTGATGGTTTGATTTATCAATTTTTTTCTTTTATAATTTGAGCTTCTTGTGTTCTAAGAAGTCCTTGCCTATCCCAAGGTGATGAAGGTTTTCTCCTGTGTTCTCTTTTCTTTCTTTTTTTTTGAGGCAGAGTCTCGCTCTGTTGCCCAGGCTGGAGTGCAGTGGCACGATCTCGGCTCACTGCAACCTCCACCTCTCGGGTTCAAGCAATTTCTGGCTAATTTTTGTATTTTCAGTAGAGACAGGGTTTCACCATGTTGGCCAGGCTGGTCTCGAACTCCTGACCTCAAGTGATTTGCCCGCCTTGGTCTCCCAGTGCTAGGGTTACAGGTGTGAGCCACCGTGCTCGGCCTCTCCTGTATTTTCTTCTAGAAGTTTTATGGCTTTAGGTTTAGCTCTATTTTGGAGTTAATTTTTATATATGATGCAAGGTATCAATCACGGGTCATTTTTTGCATATGGATATTCAGTTGTTCCAGCACCATTTGCTGAAAAGACTGTTCTTTTTCCATTAAATTATCTTGATACCTTTGTCAAATATTCAATTACTCATATATGGACTCTGCAGTCTCTTCTATTGATATGTTTGTCTATCCTTATGCCAGTATCACACTGTCTTGATTATAGGAATCTGTGTTTTTAATAAGTACCCCTAGAAGGTTCTCATGATGATGTCCATTTGGGAAATATTGTACTAGATTTTTCTAAAGACCCTTCCAACAATGACAGTATTAAGTTTGTGTATTCTCAATAGCTCAGCCTCAATTTATGCCCTAGTCCTTGCTACTCAGAAGTGAGGTCCACAGACCAGCAATGTCAGCATGAGCTGAAACTTGTTCAAAATGTGGACTCTGAGTCCCTGCCCCAGACCTATTGAATATGAAATGCATTATAAGAAGATCCCCAGGGGATTCCCATCAAGTTTGCAAAGCACTGCCCTAGATGTCATTCCCTTGGAGCAGGAGCTTTCCAACGTTTTAGATCATTAATAACTCCACAATTAGAAATACATATTTACAATGTACATATTTCTGTAGCTGAAATGGGTTTTTACAAAACAATGCCCTCCTATATTTGTGCTTGCTTTTCTATTCCTTTTCCTTTCCTCTCCTCCCTCGTTCCCCCTTCTCCCTTTCTTCCTACTATAGTTTTCTTGAGGTGTAACTTACATACTGTAAAGTTCACCCATTTTAAGTGACCACTGTGAATTTATATAGCCTTGCAGCTACCCCCATAATCAAGTTTTAGAACACTTCCATCATCCCAAAACATTCCCTTTTGCCTCTTTACAGTCAATTCTATGCTATTTACAATGCTGGCTTTTAGCTCTAGTTAAAAGTGGCTCCCTGCTGGGCCAAGAGCCCTGTGACACGACTTCCAGAACTATTTTTGCACAGAAAGTTATTTTTAGTCTATTTCTGCCATATAATAATGTGTCATAAACTTGTAGGAGCTTTAAGATGTACAAATTAGTTGCCGAATCCGGCCGGGCATGGTGGCTCACGCATGTAATTCCAGAACTTTTGGGAGGCCAAGGCAAGCAAATCACGAGGTCAGGAGTTCGAGACCAGCCTGGCCAACATAGCGAAACCCTGTCTGCACTCCAGCCTGGGCGACAGAGTGAGACTCTGTCTCAAAAAAAAAAAAAAAAAAAAAAATGTGAACAAACACTTCACATGGTAATCAACACATGAAAAAATATTGAACATCTTTAATCATCAGGGAAATGCAAGGTAAAACCAATGAGAAACCCATACCATTATACACATACTGGAATGGCAAAAAAAATTTAAATCCCACAAAAAAATTGACTATAGCAAGTACTGGCAAAGGTGCAAAGCAGTTAGAACTTTCATACACTTCAGGTGAGGGTGTAAAAGAATACAACCACTTGGGAAAAGATTTGGCAGTTCTTTCCACAGTTAAAACATACATATGACCCAGCAATCCCGCCCTGAGGGATTTACCCAAGAGAAATAAAGCAAACACAGGACCACAAGGTGGTTTGCACATGCATGTTCACAGCATCTTTATCCATTATTGCTCAAAGCCGGAAATAGTCCAACTATCCATCAGCAAGAGAATGGATAAAACTTAGCCAGGCATGGTGGCACGTGACTATGGTCCCAGCTACTCAGAAGGCTGAGGTGGGACTGCTTGAGCCTGGGAGGCGAAGATTACAATGAGCCCAGGTAGAGCCACGGCACTCCAGTCTGGGTGACAGAGTGAGACCTCATCTTAGACAAAAAAAAAAGAAAGAAAGAATGGATAAAACAGCAATGGAGCAAAAACACTGTGGTATATTCACTGTGAGTGGAACACTCTTTTTTTTTTTTTTTTGGAAATGGAGTCTTGCTCTTGTTGCCCAGGCTGGAGTGCAGTGGCGCGATCTCAGCTCACTACAACCTCCACCTCCCAGGTTCAAGCGATTCTCCTGCCTCAGCCTCCAGAGTAGCTGGGATTACAGGCGGCCACCACCATGCCCAGCTAATTTTTGTATTTTTACTAGAGATGGGGTTTCACCATGTTGGCCAGGCTGGTCTCAAACTCCTGACTTCAGGTGATCCACCTGTCTCTGCCTCCCAAAGTGCTGGGATTGTAGGAGTGAGCCACCGTGCCCGGCCCAGAACACTCTTTAGCAATAAAAAAAACTAGTATTGGCTGGGTGTGGTGGCTCACGCCTGTAATCCCAGCACTTTGGGAGGCCGAGATGGGTGGATCACCTGAGGTCATAAGTTCAAGACCAGCCTGGCCAACATGGTGAAATCTCTTCTCAACTAAAAATACAAAAATTAGCCAGGCATGGTGGTAGCATTTCTTAAACTCCTTCAAAATAAATCAAAAGCCCAAACTTCTTCCCCAAACAGCAGCTTACTCTATTTCTCCCCAAGTGTACTCCAGAATACAAAAAAAGGCAGGACAGATCTTGTTCTAAAAGTACACTGTGCTTCTCTCTGACCTCGCTCAGAAAATTCCACAGCAAGGGCCTGCTGGTACTCGTTTCATTCCCAGCAATACGGAGATGTAATGAAACAGGAGATACATATATGGCATGGAACAAACACTGATGTCTTTTTAACCAAAAACAATCTGTAGATAGACTAAATAGGATCCTGGCTACCTTTTTGGTCAAGGTTATTTGTTTTGAGCAAGATGGTTTGCCTTGAATAAAGCTACCAGTGGCCAATAGTAAATGATAAATTTTTTAAATTATCCACAAGAAATTATAATATCTACAATTCCCAGCAAGAATCTAAGCTTAACCAAACCTTTCCTGTGTTGAGGGTATCTACAGTTAACACATTGTTTTATAAAAATTTATTTAATAAAATATATGGTTCTAAAGAAACAAGCAAAATGTGGATGCTACCAAGTCTCTGCTTCCCCAGTGTTAACCTGCTAAACTCCTGCACATTATAACATAAATAGGGCTTGAATTCCATTCAAGAAGCTTTGGCTTATTTTTCACAAAACCTAACCTGTGCCTTGTATACAGTAGGCTTACAATAAAATATGGCCTCTTAATAACAGTGTTGGGGCTCAGAAGCAGATATCCCAAAATATGGCACTTTGACGTACTGAACTGAAGAAGCCTCAAGGTCTCTCTGACCTTCCCCCTCCTCCCCCTACCAATGTCTCTCCCAAAGCAGGACGAAGTTGAAGTTCCTTTATGTGCCTAAAGTCCAGACCCACCAAAAGGAACATTTATTTTTTTCTTCCCCTCCTTGTAAGACCAGGAATGTAACCACACCTGAAAGACCCGTTCACAAGATAGTATACAAGTTATCTTGTCCACTTATTCTCCCTAGTGATCCTCTCAACAGAATTCCTCTTCTTCCCCCGTCTTATAACTTATTTTGCCAGGATGGTATATAAAGCCTCTGAACCCTGTTGGAGGTAGGTAGTCACTCATGGTTCTCCCTGTATAAACGTGAATAAAATGTGTATGCCTTTTCTCTAATTAATCTGTCTTTTGTGAGTTCACTTTTCAGCAAAACTTCAGAGGGCAAAGGGGAAGTTTCACTGAGTTCTGACTCTGTACCAGGTACGAGTAACAGTGCTTCTCAAGTTAAATACTGATATTTTCAGACTGTAATTTGTAAACTGATTTTGAAACTGTAATTTGACTATTAAATGTTTCTGTTGATAGGAGGATCCAGTGGCTGAATTTATACATCTGGACACTACATTTGTAAGGCAAGCATTTGATTTCTGTCCCAGTACTCACTCACATGGGCCACACACTGAAATCTCAGTTCATTGCTCCCCAGGCTGTGTGACTGATCAATCTGAGACCAGCTTCCACCCAGTTCTCTCTTGCTGGCCTAGCTCGCAGTTCCCACAGCCTCCCAGCCAGTGAAAAGAAGGCTGGCCTCATAGTGACAGAATGAAGGCAGATGACTTGGAAGGGTGTTCGAGGGCTCAAACACACTATTTGTCCATCCCTGGTTTGTTGGATGAATTCCTGCAGTTGTGCCACATCCACCAATTCATCCGGTTTGGGAGCTAATTAAGGAGAATTTAGAGCTAACCTGCTAATATCAGAAGAGGGGAGGGAGGGAAGGGGAAAAGACAAAAATGGAACAGAGACGGAAAAAAGGGTGGTGGCTTATATTATAATTTAGAGAGGAAGAAAGTCACCATTAGCCTGGGCGCGGTGGCTCACGCCTGTAATCCCAGCACTTTGGGAGGCTGAGGCAGAAGGACTACCTGAGGTCAGGAGTCCAAGACAAGCCTGGTCAACATGGTGAAACCCCGTCTCTACTAAAAATACAAAAATTAGTTTGGCGTGGTGGCACGCACCTGTAGTCGGAGCTACTCAGGAGGCTGAGGCAGGAGAATCGCTTGAACCCGGGAGGCAGAGGTTGTAGCGAGCCATGATCGCGCCACTGCACTCCAGCCTGGGTGACAGAGTGAGACTCCATCTCAAAAAAAAATAAAAATAAAAATAAAAAATAACCATTAAACAAGAATGCAAGAACGCTGGTCAAAAATCTATAGAGACTGAGATTAGTAGTTGGGTGGCCTAGGGCAGGGGGTTGGGGTAAAACAAGTAAGGGATTTCTTTTTGTGGTGATGAAAATATTCTGGAATTGATTGTGGTGATGGTTGCATGACTTAATATGCTAAATCCACTGAACTGAACGCTTTAAAGGGGTGAATTGTATGACGTATTAAAAAAAGAAAGAAAAGAAAACTGGCCATGTATCTGAAAACCACAATAAAACCATGTCCAAAGCACAAAATATTAAAACCACAACTAAAGGATGAGAACAAGTGAAAACCAGAGCACCCTGGTATATGTATAAATGGCTTGTAATAACAAAAGCAGAGGAGTTGTATTCCTTGTTCCAAAGCAGAGCAATATGAATCTGAAAATCAAATATTTAAGGCATTTATTATAAACAACTTGCTTTATGTTTGGAAATGCAAGTAGCTTCAGAATTTAGGACCAGAACCAGAGAAGGAACAGAAGTAGTTCCCTGCTAGGGAAGGGCATGTGACAAAGCTTATAGCACATGAACACCTGTCTGCTCCTATAGAAGCAGGCTTCCAGAGCATTGCTGGGGAGTCTGACCCATTTGTGAGGTTCTTCAACATCCCGTTCCATAAAACAAGGCCTCACGAGTAGCTGAAAATATGTCAGGTAGCAGGGGAGCCTTTCTAAACTTCAGGTCAGAAAGCCTCGCAGTGGGCAGAGGATTGTTGCTAAAGATTATGAGACGTTTCAAGGAATTGGTAATAAAAAAAATACATACATATATATATATATATATATATATATATGTATATATATATATATATATATATATGTATATATATATATATATATATATATACATATATATGTATATATATATATATTTTTTGACAGTCTTGCTCTGTCGCCCAGGATGGAGTGCAGTGGCACGATCTTGGCTCACTGCAACCTCTGCCTCCTGGGTTCAAGCAATTCTCCTGCCTCAACCTCCCAAGTAGCTGAGATTACAGGCATGTGCCACCACACCCAGCTAATTTTTCTATCTTTAGTAGAGATGGGATTTCACCATGTTGGCCAGGCTGGTCTCAAACTCCTGACCTCAACTGATCTGCTTGCCTCGGCCTCGCAAAGTGCTAGGATTAACAAATATCCTGTTTTAAGAGTATTATACATAATCCTGAAAGCTCCCTTCCTTGCACCCAAGCCACTTTCTAGATTCTCCCTCTCCCTTTAGTCCTAAGAGGCTATAAAAATCAGTGACTAGGCCGGGCACAGTAGCTCACGCCTGTTTTCCCAGGCAGTGCAGTGAGCCAAGATCATACCACTGCATTCCAGCCTGGGCAACAGAGTGAGACTCTGTCTAAAAAAAAAAAAAATCAGTGACTAGTGGAGATGATCGCATGACCTCGTGAATATATTTAAAACGACTGGGCTGTATGTACACTTTACAAGAATGAAATTTATGTTATTGTGAGTTATATCTCAACAATGATTTTAAGGTTTTGTTTGTTTGTTTGTTTGTTTGTTTGTTTTTCAATCAGGGCCAAGGCCACACACAGTGGCTCATGTCTGTAATCACGGCACTTTGGGAGGTGGAGGCAGGAAGATCATTTGAGGCCAGGAATTCGAGACCAACCTTGGCAACATAGTGAGACCACATCTCTACAAAAAATTTAAAAATTAGCTGAGTATGGTGACAAGTGACTGTTTTTCCAGCTACTTTGGAGGCTGAGGTGGGAGGATAACTTAAGCCCAGGAATGTGAGGCTACAGTGAGCTACGACTGCACCAGTTCACTTCAGCCTGGGGAACAGAGCAAGACCCACCCTGTCTCCCCACTTCTCCCCTGGCACAAAACAGGGTCAAACATAGCATTTCTATATGATCCAGTAATTCCACTTTTGGGTATATATCCAAAAGAATTGAAGCAGGGACTCAAATAGATGTATGCACACCTATGTTCACAGCAGCATTATTCACAATAGCCAAAAGGGGGAAGCAACCCCAATGTCTACTAACAAAAGAATGGATAAACAAAATGTGGTATATCTATGCAAAGAAATATTATTTGGCCTTAAAAAGAAAAGAAGTCTGGGTGCAGAGGCTCACGCCTGTAATCTCAGCACTTTGGGAGGCTGAGGCAGGTGGATCACCTGAGGTCAGGAGTCCAAGACCAGCCTGACCAACATGGCAAAGCCCCATCTCTACTAAAAATACAAAAAAATTAGCCAGGCATGGTGGTGGGCACCTGTAATCCCAGCTACTTGGGAGGCCGAGGCAGGAGAATCACTTGATACCGGGAGACGGAGGTTGCTGTAAGCCAAGATTGTGCCACTGCACTCCAGCCTGGGCAACAGAGCAAGACTCTTCCTCAAAAAAAAAAAAAAAAAAAAAAAAAGGAAAAAAGAAAAAAAGAAAAGAAAAGAAAAGAAATTCTGGCTGGGTGCAGTGGCTCATACCTGTAATCCCAACAATTTGGGAGGCTAAGACAAGAGGATTGCTTAAGGTCAGGAGTTAAGATCAGCCTGGGCAACATAGGGAGACCCTGTCCTTTTTTTTTTTTTTTTTTTAATTAGCCAGGCACAGTGGTGCACGCCAATAGTCCTAGCTACTGGGGAGGCTGAGGTGGGAGGATCACTTGAGCTCAGGAGTTCGAGGTTGCAGTGAACTATGATCACATCACTGCACTCCAGTCTCCGAGACAGAGCAAGACCTTGTCTCAAAAAAAAAAAAAAAAAAAGAAAAAAAAGAAATTCTGACACATACTACTTATACATACAACACGAATGAACCTTGAGGATATTATGCTAAGTGAAATGAGTCAGTACATTGGATAAATTTTTTATGATTCCACTTATATGAGGTACCTAGAATAGGCAAATGCAGGGAGACAGAAAGTAGACTGGGGGGAGGTGGAAAGGGAAGTTATTATTTAGTGGGTATATGTTGTATTTGGGATGATGGAGAAAGTTCTGAAAACAGATAGTGATAATGGTTACACAACATTGTGAATGTATTTAATGCCACTAAATTGTACACTTAAAATGGTTAAAGTGGTGAATTTTATGTTATGTATATTCTACCACAATAAAAAACAAATTAAGGTCCTCACCTGTAAGAATCCACACTTGCTATCTACTTCAGGGTAATTCGGCAGCACAAAAAAGACTTCAGAAAATGAATACCCTTTTTGTATTCAAATTTAAGAAGGTTAAAATATTTTAATTGCATTAGTTGATGAGATTTAAAGCTTAGACATTCAACTTGGGTCATTCAGGAGGAAAATCTAAACCACTGAAGCCTGAATGAACATCTATCTTTCCTATTAGTAGCCTACAACTATAAGGCAACCCCCTAGACCGGCACTGTCCCATGGAATTTTTTGCAATGACAGAAGTGTTCTATATCTGTGCCATCCAACTGGGCTATGGAGCACTTGAAATGTGGCTTAGTGCAATCAAGAAACTGAATTGTTACTTTTATTTAATTTTAATTAAGTAGCCACACATGGAATTAGTTACCATATTATCCAGTGCAGAGTGTAAACTCTTAAACTTAAAAACTTATAGCACACCACAAGATTCTCTTGCCAAAAGCCATGTGCAGTTTCCACAGCTCCAGACAGTCAGATGACCTTCTCTTAAGCTCTGGGCCAATGTGTGGGGTGAAGCACCTAAGTAGTGTGTGCCAAAGAGGGGTGGGGCCAAAAAACAAGAGTGCTCTTTTCTTCTTCTATGTCTGTGGAAAAATACTAACTGCACAAAGTGGGAAGAGAAAGCTCACCTAGGACAGTGAGAACTAGGACCTAGGATAAGAGACTTTGACATACTTATAGGAAGAGAAAAATGAACGCTACTGTCAGTGTTGCATTAGGCAACGAATAAAAAGGAATGCTACTGGCTGGACAGCCTCCTGAATAGGGCATCACTGGATACTTCAAGAATTTCAATCATAAATTAAGCACTAGGTGGGAGAAAAAGAAATGTCATTTCTATGCAGAAACTGAAGAACGTGGCCAAAGATAGAGGCCACTTCCAGGTGGGAAGTGCTGTCCTGCTAACCATGGGCCACCAAAGTATAAGTGACTGTCCCTCCCAAAAAAATCACTTGCCTTTGGGACTCATAAATGCACAAAAACTGACCCCAGCTCTCAGCCAGAATGAACTGTTCATCTATAGCCTTATGGTCCATTTTTCTATTTTCATTTATGGTACTTATCAATGCTCAACTTGGATTACAGTAAGTTAGAGACAACCTATCTCACTAGGTTACTAGTTCCCTGGAAGGCAAAGACCATACATAAATATATCAATATGACTATATTGATATAAGTGTACACTATAACAAAAAATCTTTTTTATGTCCACAGACATCCAGCCTAGGTCCTCGTACTGGCTACACGGATGATAAGCTCCCCTCCTACTTAACAGAGTACTACCTCTGTGCAAGACACTGCACTACAAACACTTTCCATGCAACACTTCACAATCCTCCTGTCAACCCCATGAAGTATTTCAGATATGTTCCCATTTCACAGGTAAAGAAGAGGCCAAGAAACTAACCTGTGGCCAGGTCCTATAGCTAGTTAGTGGCCAAGCCAGTAGGTGATCAGATTAAGTGGGAAATTCTTAACTGAGATGAAAGGGCTCACTATGGACAATTTGTGCAAACAGTTAGAGAAGAGAGACACCAATGTCACAGGAGTAAACTCCAAATAAAAAGTTACACCAGGAGGGTTTAAACAACTGGAAGTGGTGTAGGCCACAGAAAGGCTCTTGGTCCCCACATTTATGGAGACTTAGAAGTTCTGTGAAAAGGATGCCAAGGGGTTGTCCGCTCTCTACACGGTGGGGGGGGGAGCGGGTAGCAAGAGGAGACATGTTTCTATCAACATAAAGAGCTTCCTGACCCAGGAGGTGAAGGGTACCCCTCCAGCCCCAGAGAATGTTGAGCGGAGATCCAGTGCCTGTCCTGGAAAAAGTGAACACCCATCTGATTACAGAGGACAGCTCACCCCATATTCTTTCTCGAGATCACCTCCAGACCTGGATGGCAGCGAGTAAAGAGGGAGTCCAAATCCCAGGGGGACAGTTCTCAGCATGAATGCTGCCACCTGACATTTTCCACATCTCAAACACAGCAGGCAGAGATAAGTGGATGTCTAAGAAGTCAGCAGCACTCCATAAACACACGGCCACAGTTTGGTTCAGGCTGTCCCAACCCTCATGGTGTGTGTGCCATCCACACTACTCAAGGTCCAGGTGTGACCCACTCTGGCACAGCCAGCTTGTTTCAGATCAGCCTGTGAACCACACATGTACTTATTAAATTACTAAAGCTGTGACACTGTCAGTACATTTTTAAACAGGGACCAATAACTCTGGCACAGGCCTGTCACAGTACCTCCTATCCTGAGATAATGCTTTTCTTCAAAGACCGACTCCCTTTTGATCCAAATACCAACCAGCCAGGTTTTGGTTGACCTTGTGAGGGCCAAGGAAGTCCTCTGCCACACTGCAAGTTTATACTCTCTCTCTCTCTCTCTCTCTCTCTCTCTCTCTCTCAGGTCACAGCAATGCCAAGCTGCAGGAATGCTGCTAACACCTCGGCAGCCTAGAAAGGTAAGAATGAAGCCTAGAAACCTTACAGCCCTCATGAAACCAGGTGTGTGCCCAGCAAAGTAAACTAGGGAATGAAACAGAACCCAGAAAGTGCTTATTTGCATCAGGATGCTCCCGAAAGAAGCCATCATCCTGTCTGCCTTTTATCTAATACTAATCCCACCTTCCGAGATTCTTTTCTAGTACGAAGACATCTGTGCCCACCATCCTGTGTCCAGGGGCATTGGAAATTCATCTCTACTCTGGCTTCACTTTCTGCAGACATTCCAACCTCAAGTTTCCAAGGTGGGTTTAAGTCTACACACATGACAGACATTCCCTGAGATCAAGAAAGCATTACTTACCTTGGAGTCTTTCCTTCTGTAAGTAAGAAGCTGCAGTATGTTGCTACATGAGCAGAGTCCAAGGAAAAGGAAAACCTGAGTCCCTGCAAAGGGTCCAAGATCAGACTCCCCAGTAGCCAGCTGGAACTGTATTTTCCTCTCATTTACATATACAGTGAAGTCATTTCCAACCAACACCCATAGGAGTCAAGGCCCAAATTTCCTTCTAGGGCATTACTCACTTATAGATTAACTATCTTGGGAAAGACAACAGTGTGCAGAAGGTGGAAGCCAGGTTCTTTGCTCTACTCCTATTTTTATTTGAGGGAAATCCTACTTCCCTCAGATCCTGGGGGCTGAGCAGAGTTGAGACTGGAAGCATGGGCTTTCATTTATATCTTCAGCTCTGCTTCCCTGCTCTGCTGAAAACTGCCCTCAGTCAGTTCTTCGCATCCAAGGACCTTTTATTAAATCAACTACTATATAGCCTGCTCATGAAGTGGTGCTTAGTTTGGCTAAGACAGAGGAATGTAAATACATATTCATAATATAATGCTTATAAGTTGCAATAAAGCTATCACTGGAGCAAAGGAGGATGCACTGCCTGGGGTGGCAGCCTTGGACTTGCCCCTACATCTCCACCAGTATAGCTACAATTCAAAAGACTGACCATACCAAGTACTGACAAAGATGGAGAGGAACTAGAACTCTCATGCACTGTGGTGGGAATACAAAATGGTACAGCCATGTGGCTGGCAAAATATTGGCCCCAAGCTGTCGATGTTCTAGCTCCCAGAACCTGTGAATATGCTATCCCATATAACAAAAAGACCTTTCTAGATGTGATCAAGTTAAGGCTCTTGAGATGGGGAGATTATCCAGGATTTTCCAAGTAGGCCCAAGGTAATCACAACAGAGGTAGGTGAGTTAGAGAGAAGAGATGTAACAGTGGAAGTAGAGCTGGGGGGGAGGGAGGGGAAGGAGCAAGAGAGAAAGAGATTGGAAGATGCTATGATGCTGGCCTTGAAGACGGAGGAAGGGGCCATGAGCCAAGGAATGCAGGCAGCCTCTAGAAGCTGGAAAAGACAACCGGGCGTGGTGGCTCAAGTCTGTAATCCCAGCACTTTGGGAGGCTGAGACAGGCAGATCACCTGAGGTCGGGAGTTCGAGACCAGCCTGACCAACATGGAGAAACCCTGTCTCTACTAAAAATATAAAATTAGCTGGGTGTGGTGGTGAATGCCTGTAATTCCAACCACTCAGGAGGCTGAGGCAGGAGAATCGCTTGATCCCGGGAGGCGGAGGTTGCGGTGAGCCGAGATCGCACCACTGCACTCCAGCCTGGGCAACAAGAGTAAAACTCCGTCTCAAAAAAAAAAAAAAACAAACAAACAAAAAAAGAAGTTGGAAAGGACAAGGAAACAGATTCTCCCTTAGCACATCCTGAAAGGCTCTGCTGACACCTTGATTTTAAGACTTCTGACGTCTGGAATTGAGATAATACATTTATTTTGCTTTAAGCCACTAAAGTTTGTGATAATCTGTTATAGCAGCAATAAGAAATGAATACAAGCCACTTTGGAAAATGGTTTGGCAATATCCGCTAATGCTGAAGACATGCCTATCCTATCACAGAATGGAACCTGTGTTTTGATTTACCATGTTGGAAACACTCTTTTTGTAGAATCTACGAGGTGACATTTCTGAGCCCATTGAGGCCTATAAGAAAAAATCGAATATCAAGCGATAAAAACTAGAAACAAGCTAACTGTGAAAATGCTTTGTGATGTATCATTTTATCTCGCAGAATGGAACTTGTGTTTTGATTCAGGAGGTTACAAACACTCTTTATATAGAATCTATGAAGTGACATTTCAGATCCCATTCCACTTCTAGGTATGTACCCAACAGAAATGTATGGGCATCAAGGTATCTGCACAAGCATAACGCTCATAAAAGTTTTAGTCAAAAGAATAAAAAGCTGGAAAAAAACAATGTCCATCCAGCAAGAGAATTGATAAAACAAATTGTGATACAGTCACACAAAGTACTACTACTCAGAAATAAAAAGAAATGAACCACTGGTACCTGTGACAACATAGGTGAATCTTGCAGACATAATGTCAAGTGAAAAGAAAACAAAAAGAGACACAAAGAAGGATATACTTGATGAAAAAGTTCTGGAGATGGATTGTGGTGGTGGCTGCACAACAACATGAATGTACTTAATGCCACTGAACTGTACACTTCAAAATTGCTAAAACAGTAAATTTTATGTTACATATATTTTATCACAATAAAAAAGTATCTCCTAAATGAATCTATTTTAATACAATTTAAAAATAAGCAAAGCAAATCTATAGTGAAAAGAGGTGAGAACAGTGGTTACCTTTGAGAGAAGTATTGACTAGGAGGAGGCATGAAGGAGCCTTCTGGGTACTGAAAGTATTTAACATCTTGATCTGGGTGTGGGTTACATGGTTGTATACATAATCAGACTGTGCACTTAAGATTTGTGTACTTTAGTTTCCAAGTGCCAGTCCCAGTTTTATTTGCACATGGTTTATCTGCATTTTCATAATCAATGCTGTAATGGAAAATGAATAAGAAGGGAAAAAACCATCAAAAGTGTGTGTGGTTGGGGAAGGCTTCAGAGAGGAGGTGAGGTGTGAGCCAAGTACTGAAAGATGAACAGGGTAGACAGGAATGAAGATGGCAGACACAGAGAGGAAAAGAATTCCAGGTGAAGAGAACAGCATGTACACAAGCAGTCACGTGCAAAGTGTGCTGAACATTCTGAGCGGGAGTGGTTACAGGCCAGAGAGATGGGGGTGGAGGGGTAAATTGGAGCCCCATTCCAACATGCCTGAAAACTCCAACAGCAGTTTAGAATATACTCTTTAAGAAGTGCTAGGCAAGTGTCAGAGGAGATTAAAGCAAGAGAATGACATGAAGGATCCATGACAGGGACGGTGACCTGGACGGACGGACAGAGATCCCTAAGGTTCTTCTGATACTGGTGAGGCTCTAGATGACAGAGTCTGACCCAAAGCACTGGCCATGGGGATGCGGTCATGAGAGATAAAGAAGGCAGAACCCTCGGGTTTGGCTGTAATGGGCGGGGTGGGGGGGAGTCGTTCTAAGCTATGTGGCTGGTGATCCCACTAATGAGAAGGGTAGATAGCAGCCATATGCTTCCCTCTGCTTCCTAGGCCAGCTGTGGAGGATCACAGCATCACAGAGTTGGAACGCACCAGTAAGATCACCTTGTGTACAATCTCATTGTACAGACAAGCAACTGAGTTCTAGGGGCCAATGTCTGAGGCCGCAGTTTGTAAGGAGCAAGCTAGAATGAAAGAGCTGAGACTTATCCATTTTACTGAGTACTTGCTAGAGAACAGGGAACACGATTAACTCAGCAAAGGCATCCAATGCCCCCACCAACCTCACTTCCTGCCACGGGGTTCTCTGGCCTAGGGTGTGGTTGAGGTCCCTGCCAACCTTTTGCTGGAAAAGCTCTGCCCACAGCTCACCCAAATCCTGCATAGCTAGCTACTGGTTTTATCTAATGGTTTGGTAATGGCTTGTAAGTCAATCTGGTTTCTCCAACCAAGTTGTGAAACTAAAGACCCTGGCTCCAGTTTTTACTCTTCAGTTGTGCCAAGTTGAAAAGCTGAGACAGGACAGAGAGGATTGGCTGACTGTGGGCACTCCAGGGCCACCACGGAGCCAGGAACAAGTCTTGTCTACCAGTTCGATCACTGTCCTACAGACCTGATACAGTGTCAAGGAGCTAACTGCTGGTTCTGTTCTTGGTGGCCTACCAGCATCTGAGAGTGGTTGAATGACAAGTGCCAAATATCAAAGCCTGTACAGGAGAAACCAAGAGTAGGTGGGTTTGAAGTAACTTTGTTTGAGATCTGAAACTCCTTCCTCATTCCTGATCCTAATCTGTCGAGGTTAGTCAACAGCTAGTTAATTGTACAGTCCAATACAGAAGCTACTACTATATGTGCTGATATAAATTCAATTTTTTTAAATTTAGAAACAATTAAAAACTCAGGTCTTCAATGCTCAACAGCCACATGTGGCTAGTGGCCATCATATGGAACAGTTCAGACCTAGAACATTTCCAACATCACAGAAAGTTCTACTGGACAGTGTTGTACCTTGCATGTCTTATCTCTGCTTGAATTAAGAGCCATTTGCTCTGATATAATCTTTACATGCCAAAGTGTAAATAATCCTTTTGATTTTTAAGCAGTAAAGATAAAACTATGTACCACAAAGGACATTCAACACTCCCCAGTAGAAAGGCACTGAGAACCCTTGGGCCTCTTGGTTGAAACAGAGAAACTAAAACACAACTAAGAGAAATTAAAGTTGAACAGGGTATAGTGAAACAGTCCATTTTCCTCACTTAATTGTTCTTCTATAAAAAGGGTTAATCTCATCCCAGAAGATTAGGGATATGTGGAGCTCAATGGACTATTAATAAGAAGCAATTATTCTTCAGAAAAAAATTTGTGACTGGCAAAAGTAAAATCAAGTGAAGTGGAAATTTAGGTGGGTGAGGAGAGGAAAAAGGGAGAGCAGGAACATGTTTTGCAGTAAGAAAATGGCAATTAAAATGCATAATTTTTAATGTTTAGTTTATGATGTTTTTGAGACAGAGTCTCGCTATGTAGCCCAGGCTGGAGTACAGTGGCACAATCTCAGCTCACTGCAACCTCTGCCTCCCAGGTTCAAGCAATTCTCCTGCCTCAGCCTCCCGAGTAGATGGGGTTACAGGCGTGCGCCACCACACCCGGCTAATTTTTGTATTTTTAGTAGAGAGGGGGTTTCGCCATGTTGGCCAGGCTGGTCTCGAACTCCTGACCTCAGGTGATCCACCCCTCTCGGCCTCCCAAAGTGCTGGGATTACAGGCATGAGCCACCACGCCTGGCCTAGAATTAGTGATTTTTTTAAAAGAGCTTTTGGTCTGTAGACATAACTACAACTGCTTAAAAATATTGATTATCTAGCTAATGAAAATGATCAATGCTAAATTTTATTCATAACACGTATCTCCACCAGGGGAAAAATTACCCAGGTACAAGGAAAGCTTCCACTGAAGGCTGTCACAGTATTTCACCACCCACTGTCACCCCTGACTGGTGATCAAGAAAACTAAACAAATACAATTAATAGGGTAGAAAAGAGCAACACCTGCTAAGAGGTGATGCTATCCCCATGAACAATACACTTTCCCTCTGGTAAATGTAGTGCTGAAAACGCGCTAGGTATTGAAGGAAGAGAACATACAGGAATCCCATGGGGGGCTGTTTTTAAGAATAAGCACATCAGCAGAATTCGGTTTTGCCCAGTTTACGATTCAGACGGTTACTTCAAGTTAATAGCACATATTAAGGTGTTGTTCTGAAACAGGGACATAGAGCACTGCTTAATAAAGGGCTGCAGGTGCCTGGTGAGACTCCAGCTGCGAGGTCATTTCCTGCCCTCCCTCCCTCCTTCCAGAAAAGATTAAGATTGCTTATATAAAATACAGTAGAAATAAATACAGAAAGTAGGAGAGAAAGAGAAAAACAAGGGTAGGGATAAAAAATGGAGCTGAAAAGGACGTTAATCCCATACATCTACCACAGCAACCAGAGTACCACACTGGTTGAGTTGCTAAACCAAGAGTCAACTCTGAAGGAATCAGTGACCAACGGTGAAGACAGACCAACTGCTCAGGAAGGAGACAAGCTGGTCTGGGAAGGGGTTCATCCTGCAGGCCCTGAAGCAGGTGCTGGGTAATCAGTCCACTAAGGCCATCTGTAACTAATGGCAGCTCTTTCACATCAAACCTAGAAAGATGGAGGCAGAACCAGCCCAGATACACTGGAACTTCCCTGTTTAATGGTGTAGTTCCCAGAGTTAGGGCATCTGTCCTAACAGTCAATCAGTACCTATTGGTCAGAATCAGCAAGTGGCTTCTGTGGACAAGGCACTAGGAAGACATGACACCAGCTGGGGAAGATGACCAGATCGAATCTCACAGAGCCCATTGAATCCCGACTCAGCAGACCCTACCCAGCAGCAGGGATTCCTGACCCCGACCCCAACACCAAACCCAGGAGATCCTAAGCTGGCTAATACAGCTCTCTCCTCCCACAGTTATGGTTCCATGTTTTTTCAATACCATGCTTTCTGTCTTAGTCTGTTTTCAGTGGCTATAACAGAATACCACAGACTGGGTAACTTATAACAAACAAATTTACTTGGCTCACAATTCTGGATGCTGGTGGTGTCAGCATCTGCTTGGCATCTGGTGAGGGCCTTCTTCTTGCATCAAAACATGGCAAAAGGGCAAGCAAGCCCATGATACAGAGAGAGCAAATGGGGGCCAAACCGAATCCACTATCAACAATAATCCACTCATGAGGGCAGAGCCCCATGGCCTACTCACTTCTTAAAGGTCCCATCTCTTAATGCCATCACAATGGCAATTTTGACATGAGTTTTGGAATGGACATTCAAACCTTAGCACTTTTCCTCGATGACAGCTTAATAATTCCCACAAAGCCAAGTCCATCCCCTTTCCACAGTCTATCAGGTCCCCAAGACAATAATCTGTGTGAGGACCCACTAGTCACAGCCTTGGTGCACTCCCTTCACCCAGGCTGGGGAAAGCAAAATCAGGATATCCCTTCAAAAGCCTGGGGAATCCGGGCCTGCTTTGCCTGATATGGGGGAGCCCATTCCATCAAAGTGTGTTTCCATTTCCTCTACATTCATGAAGAAGAGATCCAAGCTGGACTCACTACCACAGCACACATACTGTGCTTCACGCCATACTTGACAGCACAGTCATCACACTGAATACTTAGTCACCATGAGACTCAATGTAGACCACAAAACTCCCTGCGTGATGGAAATGCTCTAGGTCAGTGCCGTACAATACAGTAGCCACTAGCCGCAGTTGGCTATTGAGCACGTGAAACGCAAACAGTCCAAATGGAGACACACTAGAAGTGTAAAATAGACATGGAATTTCAAAGACTTGCTGCAAAGAAAAGAATGTCAGATATCTCATTAATAACGTTTAATATTAATTACATGCTGAGGCTAGGTGAGGTGGCTCATGCCTGTAATCCCAGCATGAGACCTGTCTCTATTTAAAAAAAAAATTCAAAAATGATCCAGGCATGGTGGCACTCACCTGTGGTCCTGGCTACTTGGGAGCTGAGGTGGGAGGATCGCTTGAGCCTGAGAGGTTGGGGCTGCAGTGAGCTGTGATGGCAGCACTGCACTCCAACCTGGGCAACAGCGCGAAACCCTGCCTCTACAAAGAAAAAAAAAAAAAGGACTACACACAGAGCTGATGAACTTTGGAGGTTTAGTAATGACGGCAAGGGCGGTAGGCTCGGGGTAGCCCACAGCAGAGGGCGGTGGGGAAAATGATGAAATCTAATGTGCTGTCTGGTTCTTTCAGCAGAGACAGAAGGAATGCTCATCCTTGGAGAGGATTGTGAGGGACCTGGTTTCACACAGGGGAAGCCAGGATTGGTTGGTTGTTTTGCCAAATTTTACCTACTTTAGGGAAGGAAAGTGTGGTTAAGGGAGAGAACTTGGTACATAAGAGGATGAAGGGGCTGGGCGCGGTGGCTCAAACCTGTAATCCCAGCACTTTGGGAGGCCAAGGCAGGCAGATCACTTGAGGTCAGGAGTTCAAGACCAGCCTAGACAACATGGTGAAACCCTGTCTCTACTAAAAATACAAAAATTAGCTAGGCGTGGTGGCATGTGCCTATAATCCCAGCTACTTGGGAGGCTAAGGCATAAGAACCGTTTGAACCGGGGAGGTAGAGGTTGCAGTGAGCCAAGATCACGCCACCGCACTCCAGCCTGGGGGATAGAGAGAGACTCTGTTTCCCGCCCCCCCCAAAATTAATTAATTAATTACATGCTGAAAGATAATATTTTGGAACATACTTGACTAAGTAAGTTGTATTATATTAATTTCACCGTTTCTTTTTCTTAATGTGTCTACTAGAAAAATTAAGATTACATATGTGGCTAGCATTCTGTTTGTATTAGCCAGCACTGACTTCTATTATTTGGTCTTTTTATTTTTAAAATTTTTTTCCTAGACGCCAGGCCCAGTGGATAGTCTTTTTCTTTAAATTGACTTATTTTCGCTTAGTTTTTGTAGTTTTTTCACTTTTTACTCATTCTGAAAATATTCAGAAACTGTAGCATGATGTACTAGTTGTAGTTTTAAAATAAATTGAAGAATCAACAGAACTATTAATCTAAAGTTAAAAAGATAAGTCTGTCCACATGCAATCTAAAACCCTCTTATGTACCATACCCTTTGGGAAATACTGGCCCAGGGCAGAGCTATTCAAAGTGTGTCCTGTGGACAGGTGCCAGTCTCTCTTTTTTACGTTTTTTTTGTTTGTTTGTTTTTTTCTTCAGGAAACCCTGAGCAGCCTAACCCTGATGGGCTGTGGGGAGGGAGCACAATCTCTTTATTATTCATTATCAATCTGCAATAAAGAATAAAGGCATAAATTGAGAGCATGCTTCTTTTTTATTTTATTTTTTTTTTTTTGAGACAGAGTCTCACTCTGTCACCTAGGCTGGAGTGCAGTGGCGCCATTTCAGCTCACTGCAACCTCCACCTCCCTGGTTCAAGCGATTCTCGTGCCGCCGCTTCCCGAGTAACTGGGACTACAGGTATGCGCCACCACATCTGGCTAATTTTTGTATTTTTAGTAGAGGCGGGGTTTCGCCATATTGCCCAGGCTGGTCTTGAACTCCTGACCTCAAGTCATCTGCCTGCCTTAGCCTCCCAAAGTGCTGGGATTACAGGTGTGAGCCACTGCACCCCACCGAGGGCATGCATTTAGAACATTTACAGCAACTGGACAGAGTATTCTGTTACTTAATGAGCTCTTTAAATCTAATATTAATCTAACCTGATATTTAAAAATTGGGACTTGTATTTTCCATGTCTTTCATATATTTTTCTTTACTGTGTTTTACCAAGATACTGGTCAACAGCAGATTGGAAATTTACAAAAAAAAAAAAACAAAAAAACTAAAAACTGCTCCTTTACCAGAGTTAGTTTGAGACACACTAGCCTAGAGTATCAGAGAATCTTCCAGGGTCCTTCTAGAGCAATGACCACAGTTAACAGCAAGAACCTCAATCATACCCAACACAGTGTCCTAAGGCAGGAAGCCGATTAAGGGTATCTTCAGATCCTTAACAATAATTGTGGGCACAGAGAGGATGGGGGGTTCATTCCTGGTAAACTAGGAAATTCCATTAAATGGAACTTATCTTCCTCTAAGCATTTTAATAACATTTTTGCTGTAATTCTAAGAAATGAGATCCCCATCGCCTTTGGGGAGAAAAACAACTGTGTACTAAGTAAAAGGCATACAAGATCTTTGTAAGATGTGGCTAGATAGTACTGAGCTAGATCCTCAGAGGGGTATAGCAGATGTGGGAGACACAGCTCATGCGCGAAAGGAGTTTATTATCCATCCGTGGAGGCACAGTGGCACGGGGGGTTAAAAATTCTCAGCTCTGGGTCAGTCATGGTGGCTCACGCCTATAATCCCAGCACTTTGGGAGGCCAAGGCAGGTGGATCATAAGGTCAGGAGTTCGAGACCAGCCCGGACAACATGGTAAAACCCCATCTTTACTAAAAGTACAAAAATTAGCCGGGCATGGTGGTGCACGCCTGTAGTCCCAGCTACTCGGGAGGCTGAGGCAGGAGAATCGCTTGAACCCAGGAGGCGGAGGTTGCAGTGAGCCAAGATCATGCCACTGCACTCCAGCCTGGGCAACAGAGCAAGACTCCGTCTCAAAAAAAAAAAAAAAAAAAAAAAAGTTTCTCAGCTCCGAAGTCAAACACACTTGGGTGTGAAGCCTGGTTTGCCACTTACTGTGTGCCCTTGGGCAAATAACTTAACCTTTCTTCTTTTTTTAATCTCTCACCTCTCGCTGAATACATAACCTTTCTTAATTAAAACATATAATCAGCCCACTGTATTCAAGGGTTGCATATCCAAGGATTCAACCAACCACAGACTAAAAATATTCAGATTAAGGCTGGGCGTGGTGGCTCATGCCTGTAATCCCAGCACTTTGGGAGGCGGATCACCTGAGGTCAGGAGTTCGAGACCAGCCTGGCCAACATGGTGAAACCCCGACTCTACTAAAAATACAAAAATTAGCCGGTTGTGGTGGCAGAGGCCTGTAATCTCAGCTACTTGGGAGGCTAAGGCAGGAGAATCACTTGAACCCAGGAGGCAGTGGTTGCAGTGAGCCGAGATTGCACCACTGCACTCCAGCCTGGGCAAGAGGGTGAGACTCCATCTTAAAAAAAAAGAAAAGATTCAGATATTCAGATAAAATAAAGTGGATGGTTGCACAGACTTTTTTTTTTTTTTTGGTCATTATTCCCAAAACAACGACACAGTATAGCAACTATTTGCATAGCATTTACATTTATTATCAGTAACCCAGAGATGATTTAAAGTGTAAGGGAGGGAGGGGCACGGTGGTTCACGCCTGTAATCCCAGCACTTTGGGAGGCTGAGGTGGGCAGATCACTTGAGGTCAGGAGTTCAAGACCAGCCTGGCCAACGTGGTGAAACCCGATCTCTACTAAAAATACAAAAAATTAGCCGAGCGTGCTAGTGCATGCCTGTAGTCCCAGCTACTTGGGAGGATGAGGCAGGAGAATCACTTGAACCCAGGAAGCGAGGTTGCAGAGAGCAGAGATCGCACCACTGCACTCCAGCCTGGGTGACAGAGCAAGACTCTGTCTCAAAAAAACCAAAACAAAAACAAAAATGAGCCAGACATAGAGGTATATGCCTATAGTCCCAGCTCCTTGGAGGGGTTGAGGTGGGAGGATTGCTTGAACCTGGGAGGTCAAGGCTGCAGTGAGCTGAGATCGTGCCACTGTACTCCAGCCTGGGTGACAAAGTGAGACTCTGTCTCAAAAAAAAAAAAAAAAAAAAAGTATAAGGGAGGATGTGCATAGGTTACACGCAAATACTATACCATTTTATATCAGGGACTTGGGCATCCTTGATTTTTGGTGTTCTTGAGAGGTGCTGGAACAAATCCCCCATGGATACCAAGGAACGACTGTACTTGCCTATTACAGTAGATATTCTCCAAAAGGGCCACTAACAATTTCTCATTTCCCAGTAGGTGCATGCTGCCCTCACATCAACAGGTGGAGTCTATTTCCTCTCCCCTTGAATCTAGGCTGGCCTTGGGACTTGCTTTGACCACTGAACACAGCAAAAATGACATTCTGGGACTTCTATGTGCAGGCCTTAAGAGAACTGGCAACTTCTGCTTCCTTATTCAAAGCACAGCAGCCACGCTGTTAGAAAGTCCAGGACAGACTCTCTGTGATTAGGTACCTGGACAATGAGAGACCATCTTGGACATTTCGAGCCCAACTGAGCTCCCAGCAGACCAGCAGACTGTACCAGCATGAGGGACTCCAGGTGACCCCAAATGGAGCAGCAGAACTTCTCCAATAAGCCCAGGCAACCCCCAGAACTATGAGGGTTGGCACATAAGTGCTCAACAATTAGCGGCCATTACTGTCTGGGAAGCTAAAATGAACATGTGCAGTATATAACTGCAGACCGCTGTGTACATTACATTCAGGTTCTGAGCGCTTTGCAGGCCCTGTGGAGTGGGAATGTACAGGAGGTGAAAAGGCAAGGCTTCAGGGTAAAAGCGCGTCTTAGACCTGAAGGACAGAGTATGCAGAATATTGGTTTCTAAACCTCTAATGCATGAAGACCCACCCACAGACTTCTAGGCAATTGCAACGCGTGTCTGCACCAAAGGCTGAAGACTGTCCCGGCAGAAGTCTCGTGGTCTCTATATAGACAGATGGGTAGTTGTGAGGCCGGGGGAATGAAGAATGTCAGTGAGTATGGGGATTCTTTGTGGGGTGGTGAACATGTTCTAAAATTGATTGTGGTGATGGCTGCACAACTCTGTGAATATACTAAAAACCATCGAATTGTGCATTTTAAATGGGTGGACTATATGGCATATGAATTTTATACAGATGATAAAGCTGTTTATTTTTATTTTTGAGTCAGGCTCTCACTTTGTCACCCAGGCTGGAGTGCAGTGGCACAATCTCAGTTCACTGCAGCCTCGACCTCATGGGCTTAAGCAATCTTCCCGCCTCAGCCCCTAAAGTAGCTGGGACTACAGGTACGTGCCATCACGCCCAGCTAATTTTTCGTATTTTTTGTGGAGACAGGGTTTTGCCATGTTGCCCAGGCTGGTCTTGAACTCCTGAGTGCAAGCGATCTGTGGGCCTCAGCCTCCTGAAGTGCTAGGATTACAGGTGTGAACCACCACGACCAGCCATAAAGCTGTTATTACAGAAACACAGAGGGTGGGACGGATGAAGCGGGTGAGATGACAAAGGAGCAAGGAACATTCCAAAGGGTTGCCTGGGGGCTACAAGGCACCAACCTATTTGGCACTGAGAGGAAAAGCCAAGTCTTTTTAGGTGGTGAACGAACCCAGCACTGGTCAGAAGCTAGGAGCCCTGGGGACAGACCCTGTCATTCCAAGGATCTCAGGCATTTGGCATCACTGCTGTTGCCTCAAATGCTTTGCATGCATGCGGCTCACTCATACCTGTTTTCCTTTCGCTTAAATGACAACCCAAACTCTGCTAGTCACAAGGCTTTTAAAAACAGAAAAAGTTCCTAGGCAAGAGGAAAACAAATGCTTCCCAACAGAAAAGCAGATGGGGGCTTGCATTCAGACTGACCTCAGAGGCAGACGAGGCGGGATCCCAAGGCCTAGTCAGACCCAGAGCCTCAGATGCCAAGACGGTAAACTCCATATTTAAATGCGGCCGACTCAGATGTGAGGTGGACAGTGGACACTCCCTCCCTAAGGGCGGCTGCCCTCTACTACCCCCTCTTCCTTCTTCTGGTGAAATTCCTTTCAAAAGGGACCGGAGGGCAGGGCCATGGGAAGTTTTCAAATCTTGGAACTGCCGCCTGAGCCAACTTAGCACATGAACAGCCCCCTAAAACCAGGCAGTATCATTGTATCACCAGCCAATATATCTCATCAAATCCTCTCAACAAGACCCACCAGGATATTTACCAACAGCCCCCAGAAATCTCCATCTCTCGCCTGCCCAAATCAACCTTGTGAATCCTTCTGTTTTGTAAGGCAATCAATGTAATTACAAGAAGACAAAGTGTTCTTTTAAAACACTAGCCACTGCAGAAGATGGGGCACCTGAGAGGAAAACATCCTTTCATGTTGGAGAGGAAGCAGGTTAGAAATGACAGACTTTGAGCAGCTATGTCACCATGGCTAGGATATGAGAAGAGAAATCACAAAGACTTTCAGCAGTTTGTCCTGAAGGTCCTGCTAAGTCTAAGTCCTATGCTGCCATCAGTAAAAAAAGCCAGGAGCCACAAACCAAATACAACTTTGTAGGAAGTTTGTGGTCCTTCCTACTACCAAAGAGACTCTAGAGGCACAAACTCAACTTGTTCTCTTGTTCTTCTTGATCTGAACACTTTTTTTTTTAAGATCGGAGTCTCACTCTGTCGCCCGGGGTGGAGTGCAGTGGCTCAATCTCTGCTCACTGCAACCTCCGCCTCCCGGGTTCAAGCAATTCCCTGCCTCAGCCTCCCGAGTAGCTGGGATTACAGGTGCCTGCCACCATACCTGGCTAATTTTTGTATTTTTAGTAGAGACAGGGTTTCACCATCTTGGCCGGCCTGGTCTTGAACTCCTGACCTCGTGATCCGCCCGCCTCGGCCTCCCAAAGTGCTGGGATTACAGGCGTGAGCCACCACGCCCAGCGATCTGAACAGTTTTAGGATTAAAGCGTTCAAGAATGGTTTTAAACACAACTTTGAAAAAGGATGAAGAACTCCGATTTCTTGGGGACCCAATGCCTTTGCTACTCGGGCCCACTCTACTTTTTTTTTTATTTTACAATTTTTAATTTTTGTGGCTACATAGTAGGTAGTAGGTGCATATATTTCTGGGGTACATGAGATGTTTTGGTACAGGCATGCAATATGAAATAATCATATCATGCAAAACAGGTTAGCCATCCCCCTCAAGCATTTATCCTTTGTGTTACAAACAATCCAGTCATACTAGTAGTTATTTTTAAATGAACAATTAAATTATTATTGACTATAATTACCCTGTTGTGCTATCAAATACCAGGCCTTATTAATTCATTCTATTTTTTTATACCCATTAACCATTCCTACCTCCTTCCCACCCCCCAGTACCCTTCGCAGTCTCCAATAACCACCTACTCTCTATCTCCAGGCCCCACCCTATTTTGTTTTTCTTTCGAGACGGAGTCTCGCTCTGTCACCCAGGCTGGAGTACAGTGGCGCGAGGTCAGCTCACTGCAACCTCCGCTTCCTGGGTTCAAGCGATCCTATGCCTCAGCCTCCCAAGTAGCTACGATTACAAGCATGCGCCACCAGGCCCGGCTAATGTTCGTATTTTTAGTAGAGATAGGGTTTCACCATGTTAGCCAGACTGGTCTCAAACTCCTGACCTCAAGTGATCCACCTGCCTCGGCCTCCCAAAGTGCTGGGATCCTGGGCATGGTGGCGCAGAAGTTGCAGTGAGCTAAGATTGTGCCACTGCACTCCAGCATGGACAACAGAGTGAGACTTCATCTAAAAAGAAAGAAAGGAAATATGGTTGAGATCTGGTGATTCTATCTGCTGGTTAAAGGTTGTTAAGCAGATTGAAACAAGCACTTGCTCATTTGTTATACTATGTGTATCAGACAAGCACTAAAATGGACAGTAGATCTGGTAATTTCTATTCAGAGGTAATTAAAAGGAAAGAAAGAAGGCATCACTAGGGGGTAATGGGAACATGCACAGGATTTCAATATCGGAAGAACCTGTTGCTAGAGGAAACCACCAGCGGTATTTCCTTTCCGTCTTTTACACAGCTCCCAGGAAAACCACTTGCCAACTCATATCCCCTAAGTGTGCAACACAAAATTGTTGGACAGCCTAAACATCTCAGGTCTTTCTGTATTTTGCAGCCTTGACAGCACCCAGCCCAAGCTTAGGAACAATGGTTGACTCTCTAGAAAAGCAGGTTAAGTCTCATTAGGAATGGGTCCCAAATGCTAAGGGCCTGGGTAACCAAGAATGATCAGTATCCAGGACAGATAATTATAAAACCTCAAAATCATAATTTTTCTAAGGAGACTTTACTTAAGTACCTGGCCTTGCTAACTCCCCCAAACAACAAATGGTGGTATCACCTGGCACCTAAATTAAACATTCCAATTTTACCATACCAACCTTAATGCACATAGGTGCTTATTTCACATTTTAAACCTTCACACATATTTTTCTATATTTCCAATTTCAAATGAAGGAAGATATCCTTAAGCTAATCTTAATATCAGAAGAGTGCATTAAATGATTCTACAATAGTTTCCAAACAGAACTTATTAAGAATCTCCCCCGCAAAAGTACCTCCTCCCCTTCCCCAATTTTGTTTCCATTAAAAAAAAAAAAAAAAAAACCCCTTAAGTTCCTTCAAATAAAATCCAAGATACACTGAAAACCCAATCATACCGCCCCTCCCCACCTCTCATGAGTACAACAGAACATCGAAACAAACTATTATTTAAGCTCTCAACCAAATAAAAATGCAAACTGAAACAACCTCTCCTTTTCAGTGTTTTATTATACAAGGTCGCCTCTGCCACGGAGGGTCGTTCTGGTGGGTAGTTTCCAGGTTCTTCCCTAGCAGATGCAGCTTGAGTGTTTCAAGCAAAAAGGATAAAAACAAAAGCACACATTTCAAAGGTAGTTATAACGTTATCCTGTGACAGTTAATGAATTCTGCCTTTAAAATAGCATAATGAAAAATACAAACTGGAAATGATTTAAGCTATCTCCTCCTCCTAAGAATGATGCAACTGAAGGCCCAGTCAGAAAATACTACCTCGCCCCCTCAACCCCAGTGAAAAAGCGTGTTTTAAGAAGATTTCTCTTGATTTCTTTCCTTTTCTTGGCCCATCGTATATAAAATACTCCCATCTTCACTATGTGATAATTCATCGAATTATAGTTTTGTGTGGTTTTTTAAATGCATATTAGACTGCAATAAAAAATGTTTTAAAAATAGCCTGCCTTATTAACTAAAAATAAAAAAGTTGTTGTCAGGAAAAACAGCATGAAATCGGTTTCCATGCTGCTTACACCCCCGCACTACCTGCAACCACTTTACAGAACGTTAGCATCAGACCTGCTTATCTAAAATCCTGCCAAATGTCCTCACAGTCTCCTCCGCTGCCTCGCTGGCTTCTGGGCAGCCAGGGACCAGCCCTCCATGGCTCCCAGCATCGGCAGCCTCGAGGGCTGAGAGCCTTGTTTGCCCCGCTGCCTCGATTGAGGGCCGCGGCCCGGCCACCTGAGCAGCGTTCCCAAGACAGGGAGCGCATCCGGGCGGGAGGAGCACCCGGTCCGGGGCAGACGCCTGGCCGCCCGGGCGAATCTGCCTCTGCCAATGGGTGACACGCCGATTTTGCCCCCTGGAAACGCCAAGAGGCGCGAAGCTGGGCCACCTTCGCCGCGGGCTGCAGCGGCGCTCGCGCGCGTTTCCCAGAACGCAGAGAGAGCGCGCGCGGAGGCCGGGGCAACCCCAGAACCCCGCTCGGTTTATCCTAACGACCCCCATGCCGGCTGCTCCTCGAGGACGGGGACTGGACCCGCAGCACCCCCTCAGGCACCTCCATCCCAAACACACCTGCCGCCCACCCTAAGCCACCCCCCATGTGTACCCACTCACCCAGGTCGCCCCAAGAAAGAACCCCGCCACTCGCACAGAGAGGGGTGCGGCCCTTGGATGCACGTCCGGACGATCCTGGGCCAGGGAAAGGGCGTTTATCTCAGCTCTGCGCCGTGCCCCTTCCCCCCACGCTCGAGGACCTTTGCCCTGGGCCGCCGGGCCCGCCCCCCCACAGGAACCCGAAGCCCTCGGGCGCCCGCCACACTCTGGGGATAATACCTTGAGGCCGGTAGTTGGGCTGAGAGGTCCGCACCGCGCCCGGTTCTGCGATCTTCCCTGGGAGAGAGGTTCCCCGCGCAGTCCCCTCAGGCCGGGATCCCGTCCCGGAGCCGCCGCCGCCGCGCTCCATCGGGATGCGCCGGCCGCACAGGCGCACTGCCAAGCCCGCCGCGCCGCACCGAACCCGCGCGCGTCCGCATGCGCACGCGTCCTCACGCAGCACGCGCGCAGGGCGTGCACGTGCGATAAGCGCACCGGTTACCACGCACAGCGCACGCAAGGCGTGCACGTGCGATAGGCGCACCGCTTCCACGCACAGCGCACGCAGGGCGTGCACGTGCGATAGGCGCACCGGTTCTCACGCGGCGCGCGCTTGTAGCGTGTGCATGCAATGTGCACAACAGTCCTCACACAGCGCGTACGGGCGTGCACGCGTCCTTACACGCTGCTGTACACAGTGCACACACAGAAGGCGTGCGTACGCACACAGTTCTTCATACGATGCTTACATGCAACATGCACACACAACGTGCACACCCAGCGTAAATGCATCTTCTCACAGTAGCAGATACACACTCAAAGCGTGTGTAGATGTAGGGTGCAGTTTCTCAGACACCGTGCACACACATCCTCACTCAATGTGTGAACACAGAGCACATAACGCGCACACACGTGCTCACTCAGCACGCACACGCTTACACTCACTGGGTGTCTGCATGCAAACTCAGCAATGCAGCCTTGGGAACAATTTCTGGCTAGGCCCCCAGGTGGGTGCCAGTTGGGCCAGTGACATCTGTGCAGACGCCAGAGGACCCGCCCTCCATGCATAGTTAGGTTCCAGTTTTCGAGGCGCACGGGTAATCAGTGTTTAGTGACGCCCCACCCTCAGCGTGCGGTCACCCAGAGAGGGACAGCAGCAAGCTATTGGGGTCGATCTTCAACTAAGAGGCAGCGGCACGCGCCGTAGGCCGACCTAGGCCTTTCAACGACACCCTACTCCGCAGCCAATTTGGTTCCTCTTCTCCTGAGGCGTAAATAATGCTGACTGAAACCTCCGCGATGCCGGGTGTGGTGGCTCCCGCCTGTAATCCCAACACTTCGGGAGGCTGACGCGGGCGGATTGATTGAGCTAAGGAGTTCGAGACCCCCGTCTCTACAAAAAAATTTTAAAAATTAGCTGGGCATGGCGACTCATCTGTGGTCCCAGCTACTTGGGAGGCTGAGGCGGGAAGATCGCTTGAGCCCGGGAGGTCGAGACTGCAGTGATCACGCCACTGCACTCCAGCCTGGGCGACAGAGACCTTGTCTCAAAAGCAAAATAAAACAAAAAACCTCTGAGGAGGATCTCTCCGAGAAGACACACAAGAAACTGCTAAACGGGTTGCCTCCTAAGTAGGCACTTTTACCACTGCCATGCACATTTATTATCTTTTCAAAAACATTGAAAAAGACATCTTGGCAGGGCCGGCTCAAGCCTTTTGTTTACCCAGGCCTGCCAAGTGATAACCCGTTCCCATGGAGCCCCAGGCTGCATGTTTTTTCTCGTTGGAAGGTGACCAGCCTGAAAGTTTTATTACCACTCCTGGGGGGAGATATACACGATTAAAAATGAAGCTGAATAATGGGTACAGGTTTTCTTTTTTGGATGAAAATATTCTAGGATTATGATGAGTGCACAACTAAGTATACTAAAAACTATTGAATTGTACATTTTAAGCGGGTGAATTTTATGGTCCCTTAATTATGTCTCATTTTTTTTTTTTTAATGTGAAGCTGAAACTCTCAGGAATGGGCACCTGTACTCTTGGCCAAAGCTGGGAAAGTCCCTTTGTGGCACAAAAAATGTTTGTGATGAACGTGTTCCTGACACGCCCAAAGGTGTGCCGGGAGTAGGGTTCAAGTGTGGTGAGAAAGCCAGGAAGTTTAAACATAAATGAGTAGGAAAGTGAGCAGGTGGGGGCTGGTACCCTGAGCTGTAATGAAAACTCGAACACATTGAGATTAAGCCAAATTAAGAGCGTGGGAGCTGTCACTTTCTCCTCCCTTATCTTAGGGACCTTTGGTGAGTTCAATTCATCCAACTCTTGAGCTCATGGACATGTGTGTGTAGCATCCCTCTCTACTTTTATTCTATTTTTGGGGTCCTTTTACTTTCCATTCCTCTCCCTAATTATAAACACCTCCTCTGATATCTTTGCAGCTGCAATTTTGAAATACTGTTTTGAAGATACGCATGTATTTTAATTGTATATAAATGACACTGCATAAAAGCTATCATTCTATTTGTTTTTCCTCTCTTGGCATTGTTCTCAATCTACACAAAATGATTAGCCATTCTATCTGGTTTACCCTTCTGTAAATTCCCTGTTCAATCCTTGCCCACCTTTCCACTGGGCTACTCTGGTTGATTTCCAGGAGTTTCTTGTATTCTAGATAATTTCTGGTTTAAATGTTGCAAATATTTTATCCTAGCCAACTAAGCTTTTTAAGATTGGTAAAATTTTCCTTAATTTTTATGACAAAATCCTATTAACATGTTTACTCCATTTACAATATTGCCCTATTTTTTATCAACTGTTTTTGAAAGTTACATTACAAATACTTCCATGTGTATTTCCTAAGATTATGAATGTTCTGTTACACATACTAGAGTTGACTACCAACTTAAGTTTCACATGGATACAGTAATTTTCTCTCCATTGGCTGTTCCTCCACCTTAGAGGTAGTTTTCCTCTTGCAAAATGCACTGTGGTGAGGCACCTTAAGGCTATGCAGGTACTTACTCTTCGTCAAAAATTCTCTCTAGATTTAGCATCCATTGATGGTTCTTGCTTGATCTGATCTCATAATGATTACGAAGTGATAAAATCCATAAATTTTTCACCTTATGGTTTGCATTTTAAGAAGTCTTAATACGAACTTCCCTAGTCCCAAGATACTCCCCATTGCCCTCATGCTTATAGTAAAAAACGTAAAAAAAAAAAAAAAAAAAAAAAAAAGTAAAAAATGCTTTACTCTTAAGCAATTTTTCTGTATAGGGTGAGGTAAAGAGCCAAATCCACTTTTCTCTCCGAAGTGTAGTTTGGTCAGCACTACCTGCTTACCTATCCTTTCCCCAGTAATTTTTGAAGCCACTTTTTAAAAAATCAAGTACCTAATTTCCATAGTAGGTGAGATAGCTTCTGAGCTATCTATTCTGATCTTCCTGTTACTGCATCTATTATTCACTACTATGGCTTAGGGTGCAATTTATTTGTTGAATTCCCTCTTAGCAGTGTTTCTAGAATTCTTTGAAATTCAGTATTTCCACATGAATATATTTTAGGATGTTTTTGCAATCTCCCACCAAGGCCTGCTGTAATACTAAATGTAATTATATTGAAGTCAGAGGTTAATTTGGAGAAAATTGACATTTTCGACATTATGACAGAATATCCAATAGTGTAATTTCTATTTAAGCTTTTAAAAAAAATGACTTTCGAGTTTTCCGTGCTTTTCCCACTACACTAACTTCCTATAAAAATCTATAGCATGGCCGGGCGCAGTGGCTCACCCCTGTAGTCCCAGCACTTTGAGAGGCTGAGGCGGCCAGATCACCTGTGGTCGGGAGTTGAGACCAGCCTGACCAATATGGGGAAACCCCATCTCTACTAAAGATACAAAATTAGCCGGGTGTGCTGGCGCATGCCTGTAATCACAGCTACTCAGGAGGCTGAGGCAGGAGAATCACTTGAACCCAGGAGGCCGAGGTTGCGGTGAGCCAAGATCGCGCCATTGCACCCCAGCCTGGGCAACAAGAGCAAAACCCTGTCTCAAAAAAGAGGTTTTTGGCCGGGCATAGTGTCTTACACCTGTAATATCAGCACTTTGGGAAGCCAAGGTGGGAGAAGCACTTGCATCCAGGTGTTAGAGACCAGCCTGGACAAAACTGTGGGACCCCCATCTCTAAAAAATAAAAACAAAACATTCGGGCTTGGTGGTGCACCTGTAGTCCCCACTACTTGGGAGGCTGAGGTAGGAGGATCACTTGAGCCAGGGAGGTTGATGCTGTAGTGAGCTGTGATATGGCGTCACTGCACTCACCCTGGGCAACAGAGCAAGATCCTGTCTCTAAATAAATAAATAAATGAATGAATAAATAAATGGCTGAGTGCAGTAGCTTACATCTGTAATCCCAACACTTTGGGAGGTGGAGGCGAGTAGATCACTTGAGGTCAGGAGTTCCAGACCGGCCTAGCCAACATGGTGAAACCATACTAAAAATATAAAAATTGGCCAGGTGTGGTGGCGCATGCCTGTAATCCCAGCTACTTGGGAAGCTGAGACATGAGAATCGCTTGAACCCGGGAGGCAGAGGTCAGTGAGCTGAGATTGCACTATTGCACTCCAGCCTGGGCAACGGAGACTCCATCTCAAAAAAAAAGTTAGTGTCTCTGACAATGCAATAAAAATTTATTAACCTGAAGAGATTAATCTCATACACTGGTACATCCTAACCTTTGAGTACACATCTTTTCAATATTTCATGTGACAAAGTGGGGAATACTACACAAACCTCTTCTGCATACCAATGTACAGCAGTTGTCTCAAGGAAAAGCATTTGTGATAATTTGTATTCCAAACAACTGGACACTTTCATGAAATATCATTTTTACTTGAAAGAAAAGCTGATAAGCTGGTAATTCAAACTTGGATTTGTGTTCAACATTTTTGCAAAAACGAATAAAATTAGCCTGACACTTCAAGGGAAACAAGTGACCATATTTGTTGGTGGTGATAAAATTTGGGCTTTCCAGCATGAAAAAAGTTTTACAAAACTAGTATCTGCTACCATTAGCTTGACAACTTCACTAAAGTAAGAACTTTTCTGAAGAGACAGTGACATTAATGAAATGTGGCATCTTAATACTGTAGAATGAAAAGGGTCAACATATGGAAGATCATACCTCTGTCAGTTTTTTCCAAGTTTTCCAGGTGTGTGAAGTTACAAAGTCCATTCATAGTTCAAAATAGACCAATGAATTATAATGTAACAGTATGAAACGTTTGTTGATTTGGTGTTAGATTCCACAGTGCAACTTAAGAAATCACCTCTTGTCAAGATTGTGTGTAGTATCAAAGAACATACAAGTATCTGAAAAGACTATTAAAATCTTCCTTTTCCAACTACATACCTCTGAGGCCAGATTTTCTTCATATGCTTTAACCAAAACTTACTAGGACACATTGAATACAAAAGCAGATATGAGACTGTCTTCTATCAAGCTGGTCAAGATTTGCAAAAATGTGCAACAATGCCATCTCAAATTTTTGTTTCTGTTACTCCTTATTGTTTATGCTAGGCCGGGCGCGGTGGCTCATGCCTGTAGTCCCAGCACTTTGGGAGGCTGAGGCGGGCGGATCATGAGTTCAAGAGATCGAGACCATCCTGGCCAACATGGTGAAGCCCCGTCTCTACTAAAAATACAAAAATTAGCTAGGTGTGGTGGCGTGCATCTATAGTCCCAGCTACTTGGGAGGCTGAGGCAGGAGAATCACTTGAACCCGGGAGGCAGAGGTTGCAGTGAGCTGAGATCGCACCACTGCACTCCAGCCTGGTGAAAGAGTGAGACTTCGTCTCAAAAAAAAAAAAAAAAAAAAAAAAAAAATTTATGCTAATGCATTGGGTTTATTCTTGAATTACCATTTTTACAAAATCTATTAATACAGTCAACATTGACAGACAACTCACAAGCAATGTTGCCATTTCAAGGAAAATTGACAGTATTTATTGCCAGTGCTACATTTATACTTTCAAGTAAAAATTAGTTTTAGAAATTTGATCTACCAACATTAGCCAGATAAAAGAGCTCTGTGATTCTTCATTTTTAAGTATAAAGTAGGAGTTGGCAAACCCCTTTCTACAAAGGACCAGATAGTAAATACCTTGGGTCTTTGCAGGCCATCTGATCTGTTAGAACAACTCAGTTCTGCCACCGTAGTGCAAAAATAGCCGCCACAGACAACACACACAAATGAGTGTGGCTATATTCCAATAAAACCTATTAACAGAAATAGGTAGTGGGACGTACTTGACCTATCTACTGTAGTTTGTTGCCCCTTGATATAAAGGGCTTGAGACCAGATAATTTGAGACCTGCACAACAACTAAGTGGTATAGTAGATTTTAAGGTACTATTCACCCATACTAGAGCTTTTTTTTTTTTCTTTTTTAGACGGAGTTTCGCTCTTGTTGTCCCGGCTGGAGTGCAATGGTGCAATCTCGGCTCACTGCAACCTCCGCCTCCCAAGTACAAGCTCTTTTCCTGTCTCAGCCTCCCAAGCAGCTCAGATTACAGGCATGTGCCACCACGCCTGGCTAATTTTTTTGTATTTAGTAGCAACGGGGTTTCACCATGTTAGTCAGGCTGACCTTGAACTCCTGACCTCAGGTGATCCACCTGCCACCTGCCTTGGCCTCCCAAAGTGCTGGGATTACAGGAGTGTGCCACCACGCCTGTCCAATGTTTTTTTTTTTTTTTTTTTTTTTGAGACAGAGTCTCGCTCTGTTGCCCAGGCTAGAGTGCACTGGCACGACGTCAACTCACTGCAACCTCCACCTCCCAGGTTCAAGTGATCTCCTGCCTCAGTCTCCCAAATAGCTGGAATTACAGGCACCCGCCACCACGCTTGGCTAATTTTTGTATTTTTAGTAGAGACAGGGTTTCACTATGTTGGCCAGGCTGGTCATGAACTCCCGACCTCAGGTGATCCGCCCACCTTGGCCTCCCAAAGTGATGGGATTACAGGTGTGAGCCACTGCGCCCTGGCCCCAAAAACCTTTTTTTAATTGCAAGTTTATTTCTATGTTTGCCTTTGGTAGATAACCTAAGAAAATTCCCAACCGGGCATGGTAGCTCACGCCTGTAATCTCAGCACTTTGAAGGCTGAGGCGGGCGGATCACTTGAGGTCAGGAATTCGAGACCAGCCTGGCCAACATGGTGAAACCCCATCTCTACTAAAAATCCAAAAATCAGCTGGGCGTGGTGATGCGCGCCTGTAATCCCAGTTACTCGGGAGGCTGAGGCAGGAGGATTGCTTGAACCTGGTAGGCAGAGGCTGCAGTGAGCTGAGACTGCACCACTGCACTCCAGCCTGGGCGACAGAGTGAGACTCTGTCTCAAGAAAAAAACAACAAAAAAAAATCCCATTGTTAGATTCCTAAGACAGGTTTAAAATTGTAAATATGTATTAAACGTTATCAAATCTGCGAAGTCCAACTAATTTTGTATCTGACAGCACAGAAATCAGCAATGGGACTTGACTCGGACTTTGTCCCTACTTTCTGATCTACCAACATCAAGTTGTGAACTGAACAAAACAATGGACTGGAATGGCAGTACAGACTGGGCTTTTAAAAGGGGGCAAGTTGGCCAGAAGTGTAAGTATTTACTTCACCTATAGGTCTCTGCATCGTATAAAGTAAAGGTCTGTTGAATGTGACTTTGCAATCTGAAGTCACTCTGCTGAAGTGACTTACCATTAGAAAATGCCTTCTTCAGCACAGATTTGTGACAAATTCACTTGCTGAGAAAATGCAACCCCATATCTGGAATATGGCTAAATGGATTCATTCAGATCAAACAACCAAAAACAGACAAAAATAAAAACAAGGTATACCTTTTCCTTATATATCACAATTAAGTTTTAAAAACAGCAAATTTTTGGAAAAGAGTCATATGAATAAATAGTTTAAAATGTTATAAAGTTAGAAAAGAATCAATTGTATACATTGTTGAAAGTTGTTCATATTTTATTTTCTAATTGCAGTAGTTTGTATCTGATTTCTTTACATCATTCCATATGATGGGAAAGGAAACCTCTAAATCAGTTAGTACTAATTAGCTGTCATGAATCTATAGTAAAAGGAATCACTGAAGATTTAAGAATAAAATATTATCAGAGGTATCAATATTAATAACTATAATCTTTTTCTAAAGAAATATAGAACAGTTGGTATTTTGTAAAATATCTTCAAGCAAATGAGAGACTTCATCTGTTAGTCTTATGCCAAATTAAATGAGTTTGGTAGCAATTTCAAATACTATGTTGACATGAATGTACAAATATACATTCTACGTGTTCCTTCTATTGTACGAATCAAAGACTGCACGCAAAAGAAATGGGAAATACAGAATACAGAAGACATGCACCTTCTATCTTACATAGTACTGGATATCAAGTGAAAAGAGCAGACACTGATCTAAGTACATTACATGTATAAACATCTAAATTATCAATCCTCCCAACAATTCTGCATGACAGGTACTGTTTTCATCATCCCCATCTTAGAGGTGAAGAACCTGAAGCTGAGACAAGCAGGAGAATGTGCCAGTGGTCACCTGCAGGTAGAGGGCCAAGTAAGGGTGGGGGCAAAGGCCCTTTGACCCCAGGATCCATGCTCTCCCCTCTCCAGTACACTGCCTCACAAGTACCTAGCAACTTGCAGGGCTAGGAGGGGGGAATAAGAGAGGACAAAGTCCAATACATTCTCCAAATTGCTCAGTTCATTCTATACCTGAGAGTCTTGTGTCTTTTCACATTTTGCTCTTTTCTGAATAGGAAGAAAAAAAGCAAAGATAAAAAGGATGGTAGTTTAGGGTAAACCAAAAACACAAAGCAGTGTGCAAAAGTTCATGGGAGTCCAAAGAGTATAAATAAAACTTACCCTTACGAAGTAGAATAAAGATAAGCATTTCATACCAATACAAATCATTTTCATCTTTATGACAGTCAGGTAACATCAAAAAAACCTTGCTTTCATTCTGATACTTTAGCTGTCAATCCAGTCAATACCGGTTGTTGTTAAGTCTGTATACAAGTAAAGTATAAATCTAGCTATTTTACTCAAAACATGCTTTTACCTATTTGATTACTCAGAGTTACTCTGAAATCAATAATGACAGCAGTTTATACCTATGGAAGATGTTACTGAACATCATAATCTAATATTTACATTAGATGAGATTAAGTTAAATTACAAGTCACAAAGAGTTTGTAAGCAAACATTTATAGCCATGATTCCACAGATGTGGTGAGTAAACCAACAGCCATTCCTAAATAAAATACAAGAATTTCCATCATGCATAGTTTACAGGCTTGGTAAGAAGCGGTCTCTTTAGGGGCCAGATGCTTAAGAAATATTCAACAAACAATGAAATCTTGGCTTTTTTTTTTTTTTACACAAATGTTTGGTTATTTAGCCACACTAGTGATAAAACATATTCATATTCTAACTGCAAGTGGAATAAACATTGCAACAAAAATGCAACCCAATCAAAATCATTAGTAATAACTATTACTCCCTCTTAGCAGTAAGAACCATTATTCTTGGATTTCAAACATTTTATTTTCTGTGCATAGCTTATAGCACTGTATTATAGGAATCAGAGTGTATAAGCAAAAAAATGAAAAATAAAACTTCTTGGAGACCATTTCCATTATTTATGATTAAATCAATGAAACTATACAATTTCCACATTAAATACAAATTAGTAGAAGAATTCCTCCAAGTAGTATTGCATATAAGCTACAACTTTACCCCAACTATTTTAATCACTATGATTCGAGATTTCCTAGGATTTAACAGCCCAAGATTGGGCTGTTACTACCTCAGCAAGAACAATCACCAGTAAATACATGAACTGGGGTTATAGCTGAATTTTTAGAAACTCTCCAGACAAACCACGTGTTAGAGGAGGTAAGTAGAAAAACTAATGTTTGAGCTGTGCTATTCCTACCAGGAACTATATCAAATATGCAAAGTTCAAACATTCTTAGTAAAATAATATGAAAGGATCTATATATACTGTAAATTTAGCAAAAACACTTTTATGTACAGAAGCCTAAATATCTTAGGAGGTTTAGAATACCAATGAAGAGAATTGTTAATTCTTCAAGGCTGGTTTCTTATGAGGATTAAAAACCAGCCCTTAGTCTCAGATGCATTCCACCTAGATGTGTTCACGAACTCCATAGAATAAGAAATATAAACCATGAATACGTACTCTTAATTTCCATTCTTCAACTTAATGTTCTATAGTACTTCAGATTTTTAAATCCAGAGTTTGGTGTACACTTAGGAAATTATAGTAAGAGTAGATTAGAGAAGATTTGCTTGTTTTCCTTTTGAAGCCATGTGAAGGTTTATTACCCTGTGTATTTTCATCACTGAAAAGTTCCCCGGTGACTAATAAAATAAAAGTGTCACAAGCTACATGATGGATCTCTTCTTTTAATGTTGCATAGAGTTTCAGTTTGGCTAGTGAGGGCTAACTAGCTCAGCCCTAGTTTCATTTTATTAGAGTTGACCACTAAAAACTAAATAAGGAAGTTACCAGTAAAGCTAATTCCCAATACAAGCAAAAAACAAAAACAAAAAACAAAAACAAAACCATTCACATAATAAAATATATCCTTAACACAAAATAAGGGTATAACATATTCTGCAGCATGACATTTTATTTTATTTCTCAGCTGTAGCTTTTTCATTCAGAAACTGGAGACCATCTTTTCACTGAGTTGTTATTCCTTCCTCTTCCCTTAGCTTAGGGATATGTTGAAAAAGGCTTTTCAACAAGTATTTTATTTTTTACAAGTTGCTATGAAATTAAAATTTATATATATATCTTAAGTGTTTATAAAGCACTCAAAATTGTAGCTTACATGTATATGACTTCTGAAAATAAAAATCACACTTCTAACATAATCTTTCTGCTCTGCAAAAATATTCTACATACATGCATATGATCAAAACAATCTTTTCATGTTTGGGGTATTTCTTACACATAGTAAAAGAAAAGTCAACAATTGTATCAGTACTTCCCCTGTTAAGATAACTGAGTGCCACCTAGTGTTCAATTTCTGCAACTACTAAGCTTACAAATTCAATACTGCTATTAAAACCCAGGTTCTGAAAACGGCATTTTGGAAATCTTTTTTTTTTTTTTTATGTTTACGGTGGCAAAATACGACTATGAAAAGAACATGATATCAAAATCAGTATAAAAATAGCCACAGGCTACTTAAATATGACAAACAGACTTATTTTTTTTCTTCAACTGCAGACTTCTGCCTCCCTCAAATTGTATCAAAATCTCAAGGGAATATCTAGGTAACTGGAATATACACAATGACTCTATACAATCAAGAGGCCAGGGCTTAATCAGATTCCGTGAGGACAAGGCAAATGATTTCTTCAAAACACCCATTTTCTTACTGGAAGTGGTAGGAAAAGCAGCAATGCATGGTTTTTTTTTTTTTTTGTAATTAGTAGACATGGTCTTCTACCCATAAGCTCCATTACATTAAAAGAACAAAGTGGGCTTAACATCTCACTTAAGATAATTCAGCATTATTATCAGTTTTAAAAAAACCAAAAATATCTTAGAAACAAATCAGTCTGCTTTAACAAATTGCATTCATGCTAATGAAATTTTAATCTTCTTTGTCATGATCAAAATCCAAATTGTAGGACAATCTTCAGAAAAGATGGAATGTAAAATGTTGAGTTCAATTTAGATCTGGAAGGGAAAAGAACATCAGATGAAAGGAAAAAGAATTCTTATATTCCAACAGTCTACTCCATATATAAGGGAGACTTTCACCTCCTTAGGCTATGTGAGAAACAAATCCAGTTTGAAGAAGAAATTCCTATAATTCTGGCCTGCTATAAGTAAATCGTGATGATCTCCTTTGTAATGTTACATGTTATGCAAAATATTCTTAATAAAATTTACTGTCTCCTTCCTTTAATGCTTGTAATTTGAGATTTTTGTATCTCATGGATGGGAGCAGACACAGGAAGCATGATATGATTGATCCCGTTCAGTGTGATACTGACCTAATTCTCCTGAGTCAATCTGGTTATAGTTAAAACATCTATAAACCACCTGGAGAAATGTCTCAAAGAGTAGGGTTCTCAGGTGACAGAGCCAACTTTTACAAAATGTTCAAGAGAACTCCTTTAATAATCACTCTTTACCATCCCTTTTCCAGCCAGCCAGCTGGGTCCAGTTCTGAGGAGGCGTTGGCCCAGATCCAGAAATTTTTACTGAGAAAATCTTGACCACGCCTAGATTCTCAACCCATTATCTTGGTGCATGCGGCTTCATATCCATGCATGTTCTCTGGTTAGGTTCCTTAATTTTTTTTTTTTTTTAAAGAGGCCTTCTACCCCTGCTCAGATGTCAAAATGTTTGGGTTGGCGCTTAATCCACATGTCAGCTGCAAGCTCTTATTTACCAAAGAATAGAATTGTTAATTCTATTGTCAAAATATTAGTAACAGTTTAGTCGTAAGACTCCTCTTGGCTCAGGGTCTCCAAAATTAAGAAAATAACAGAACAACATGTTTATTTCTCACTTCCTATTTTTGTGTACATGTTAAAATGTCTATAATATTAGTAATTTAACTCACAGTGTGAGTATTCTTGGTCAGGAACAACTGCTCTAGGTATTCCGAAATTCCATCTTTGCATCAAATTTAACGTTATTATGTTATTTATGTAGAGACAAAGTCTGGCTATGTTACCCAGGCTGGTCTTGAACTCCTGGGCTCAGGTGATCCTCCCCTATCAGTCTCCTGAGTAGCTGGGACTATGGGTGCATACCACCACATCTGACTTATTATTGTTTTTGGGTTGAAATACACAGGTGGTTTCTGAACTACATTTTAGTTAAAAGAGGTTTGAAAAGAAGAGCCCAAAACAGATTTAAGAGTAACACCCTAATCACTAAATAAATTTATACTGCCAAAAGATTAAGTTTGAATTTCATTCAATTACAGTAACAGCAGAAGTGCAGTAAAGCATTTACACTTATGGGCATTACTACTTTATTATTAGGAAAGACAATCCATTTTCCTCAAAATAAACATACCAACTGCAAACCAAGAGTTTGCCAACAGTACACACCCAACAGCTAAAAATACCATAATTGGCAATAGGCTTCCATTTTGACAAGGCTTTCAGTGTATGTTGTAATTCCAATGCTTCATATCAAGCTGGTTCAAACAAGATTCTTTCAACACACTAATATTTCAATTAAAAAGGCATGTTCCTTTGATAAGATCTATTTTTCAACTGTCCACTAAATTTCTTAATGGCTATCTCTTTAGAGACTCTTAATTAAACAAGTTATGATTAGAGTGGCTGGCGTTAATATTGCCAATGCAAACACTGACCTTTTCAGGAAGAGAAATTGAAGAGGGTTATAAGAATTCTCAAAATAGGGCCGGGCATGGTGGCTCACGCCTGCAACCCCAGCACTTTGGGAGGCCGAGGAGGGCAGATCACCGGAGGTCAGGAGTTCGAGACCAGCCTGGCCAACGTGGTGAAACCTCGTCTCTACTAAAAATACAAAAAATTAGCCAGGCGTGGTGGCACGCGCCTGTAGTCCCAGCTATTCAGGAGGCTGAGGCAGGAGAATCGCTTGAACCCAGGAGGCAGAGATTGCAGTGAGCTGAGATTGTACCACTGCACTCCAGCCTGGGTGACAGAACAAAACTCCATCACAAAAAAAAAAAAAAAAAAAAAAAAAAAAAGAATTCTCAAAATATAAACAGTTTGACCAGGTGTCTTCTAAATAATATTATTTAATTCAGACAATTCTCAAAATACAACCTTATTTAAGTGTCCCATGTTCTTAAAATTAATGGATGTTAGGGGAAAGTTGGTTTCTCCATGGATAATAACAAAAATTGGAAAACACAAGGTACATCTACTTACGTCATCAATATCTTCATCATCATCTCCAATGTCATCAAACTGAATTTCATCATCATCTCCAGGACCAAATGTATCAGTTTCATTGATTTTAGCTAAGGACACAGTAAGAAATACTCATAAGTCAGCACTGTAATTTACTCAAAGTTTCATCATAAGAGCATTCCTTTTATATAAGACAATAACTATAAAGAATATTTTATGAAAAAAAATTCCTGCAGTGTCACTGCTAAGTCAAGATGGGAGTATCTGTGTTACCATTTTCTTTTGTTTGCAAAGGTATTTTTAGTAAGGAAGGCCCTAATTACACTAATTCTGAAGCTATTATAACTTTCAGGTATACTTCTCAACATACAAGGAAATATGGTAACAACGTATTTCCTTAAGAATAGCTGGTTCACTAATCATCAGATAGACTCATCAATCAGAAAGATCTGGTCAAATCATGATTACCCCTAAGCAATGAAAATGAACCAGGAAGCGCTAGTCCTATTCCTATATACATTAACATTTCTTAGATCAGAAATGCTAAGTAATTTCAGCAGGACTTTCATGCTTAAGTAAAATATAACAAAATTATGTTTTTTCTTAAGATACAACAGAGCCAAAAATAATAACTGCCAAGTGAAAATGCAGGCCTACAGAACAGTATGTCAAGTACATTTCCCCTTTGATGAGGTTATAAGGGACTTATTTTTAGGTTTTCTGCGTTAAGAATTCATTACTTTTGTATTTGGAAGGGTGAAAACCAAGAAATGTTGCTTTTAAAAAATCCTATGGGATACTATTATACAACGATAAAATGGAAATATAACTTTTTAATAAAAATCAGTAATGAGGCCGGGCATGGTGGTTCACGCCTGAAATCCGAGCACTTTGGTAGGCAGAGGTGGGTGGATCATCTGAGGTCAGGAGTTTGAGACTAGCCTGACCAACATGGTGAAACCCCGTCTCTACTAAAACTACAAAATTAGCCGGGCATGGTGGTGCATGCCTGTAATCTCAGCTGCTTTGGAGGCTGAGAATCGCTTGAACCTGGGAGGCAGAGGTTGCAGTGAGCCAAGACTGCACCACTGCACTCCAGCCTGGGCAAAAGAGTGAGACTCCATTTCAAAACAAACAAACAAAATCAGTAACTGTACCTAATTACTTGCCCTTGCTTCATGGTTTTTTTTTTTTTTTTTTTTTAATTTTTTTTGAGACAAGGTCTCACTTTGTCACTCAGGCTCGAGTATAGTGGCATGATCATAGGTCACTGCATCCTTGAACTCTTGGACTCAAGCAATCCTCCCGTCTTGGCCTCCCAAGTAGCTGAGACTACAGGCATGTGCCACCATGCCCGGCTGACTTGCACTTCGTGTTTAACCCATATGCGCACTGACAGTCTCTCGAGGAAGGAATTTTAATAGATACTATAACAAAATTATTCCTTTAGTTAGCATTATGTGGAAGTCCAAAGCTTACAGAACTCCTCACCATATTTATTAGGAACAGAATTCCAGTAATTTCTTTCTTATAGTATCTAGTATTATGAAGCATAGGCAGGCATACTTAAAACTAAAAATGTGAGCACTAAAGTAAATAAGCAAAATCCATAGTTCCTTCACCTAACCAGCAACACATAACCTAAATACCATATGACAAGTTAATACAGTAACTCAGACATTACCATGCTCTGGAAGCTCGCCGTATGCCTTCAGACTTCTAGCTTCGTCTGCATTGTATTTTAAAATTACATCAGCTTTGTTATCCTTAAATAGAGACAAATAACTTTAAAAAACTGATCATAACAAAATATTATCAGTTATTTCATAAATTCTCATATTGAATAAACAATCAAATCTCACCGTTTTACTATAAATCTTTCTCCTTTTAAATTTTAAAGCTTTCTCATACCCTCTGAAAAAGATCCTTAGGTTTAACCCAAGAGGAAGCTTATGTACATGCCTGAATGATTAACAAGCTTGGGAAATATAGAGATCTCACTTTAATAAGAGCAGAACTGTGCATACCCCATATTTTAGATTATTTAATATTACCCTTTGATCAGAAGTCTTTTGAAGTACAAAAGTTCCCTGGGACAATAATTTGCAGGGTGATCAAACACTGCAATTCCAAAACTGAGACTGAACTGAGACTGGTATAATGACCTAAGGAAATTATACCTTTCTGTATTATCTGTGCTTCTTTGCCTAGGTATCAATCACAATCTCCTGTGGAGCTTTTATATCTTCTGAAGACAGATTAGTAGATGTGAAGAGAAGCCCAAGAATTAGTATTGTGAGAAGTTCTTTAGGTATTTCTGATGCAAAAGTCCCATTGAGAAATACTGCCTTAGAATGTTTCTACTTCCCTATTTGAAAATAATTTAACTCAGTTAAGGGAGAAAATTGATTGCTTCAACTTCAAGGACAGTGTGATTCAGACCAGTACTTCTTAAAATGTAAAGTGTATAGAAGCCTATGGAGATCTTATTAAAATGCATGTTCTGACTGAAGAGTCAAAGAACCTGTATTTCTAACAAGCTTCCAGAAGATGCTATCGAGCCATTGACCACCCTGTAAGTAGGAGGGGCACGGAAAGATCATGAATAATTTCAAATCAGAAGTTGGTCCTGGCTGTCACTTTACAGTCAAAATGTTACTCATTTTGGACCCTTGGTTTCCTTATCTATCGAACAGGAAATTACTTATTCTTCCTATTTCTGGGGTTATTGTTAGATCATAAGAAAAAAATGGACATTAAAATGGTATGAATTTAAAGCAAGCTTTCTCACCTCAGCGCTATGGATTATTGTGAGGCGGACCATTCTCTATTATGGGATGCTGTCCTGTGCCCACCCCAGCCTCTATCTACTACATGCTAGCAGCACTGCACCCATCCCCCAGTTGTGACAACCAGAAAAGTCTCCAGACACTGCCAATGTCCCTCGGAGGGCAAAACTGCCCACAGTTGAGAAACAATGGCTTAAAGTGAAGATTTAAATTATTTATTCTGGGTTTTTTTTTTTTTTAAATCAAAGTATGATCGAGGCTATACAAATAGAGATAGTATCATACAGGGATGATTTCCAATAGGTGGATGTCAAATGGATCTCACAGACCCACAATGAGTCTACAGAGTCAAGGGTTACCATCACGAAAGGCAACCACCACTTTCTTTCTTTCCCAAGTGCTCCTTTAGATTTATAGCACATACCTATGTTGTGATGTGTATTGTAATTACTTGTGTGCTTAACTCTCTCCACTACCAGGCTATGAGCCTTTTGTGGGATGGGCACTTAACTCATTCAGCTGTATCCCCTAGAATAATGGCTCCCAGATTTTGATTTAAACATAAATCCCTGGGATACCTAGCACAATGCCTGAAACAAAACTGGCTCTTAAGAAATGGCTCATCAAATTCAAGCCAGTAAAATAGGAAAAATTTACATGTAAATTTTACCTGGTAGTCTCGGAGACCAACCAAAATAATGTCCGAGGTATTTATCCAAACCTACAAAAGAAAAGTCACTGCCCGTCACATTTAAAATAACGAAGAATCAAGAAATTCCAGAGTAACAATCAATTAGTTTAGAAATTAAGAGATTTTAGGCCAGGAGCGGTGGCTCATGCCTGTAATCCCAGCACTCTGGGAGGCCAAGGTGGGCGGATCACCTGAGGTCAGGAGTTCGAGACCATCCTGGCCAACATGGCAAAAACCCGTCTCTACTAAAAAATACAAAAATTAGCTGGGCGTGGTGGCATGCCCTTGTAGTCCCAGCTACTCGGGAGGCTGAGGCTGGAGAATCACTTGAACCTGGGAGACGGAGGTTGCAGTGAGCCAAGACTGCGCTACTGCACTCCAGCCTGGGCAACAGAGTGAGACTCCGTCTCAAAAAAACAAATAAATAAACTTCTTTAAAAGAAAAAAAAAAAGAAAAGAAATTAAGAGATTTTAGTTTGGGCTGGCATTGTGGCTCACGCCTATAATCCCAGCACTTTGGGAGGCCGAGGCCGGCGGGTCACTTGAGGTCAGGAGTTCAAGACCAGCCTGGCCAAAATGGTAAAACCTTGTCTTTACTAAAAATACAAAAATTAGCGAGGCGTGGTGGCGCATGCCTATAATCCCAGCTACTCAGGAGGCTGAGGCTGGAGAAACACTTGAATCTGGGAGGCGGAGATTGCACTGAGCCAAGATTGTGCCACTGCACTCCAGCCTGGATGACAGAGTGAGACTCTGTCTCAAAAAAAAAAGAAAGAAAAAGAAAAAAAGATTTTAGTTTGGGAATAGAAGGATTAACATACCAAATTAAAAAAAATAAATACAAAATCAGAGTTGGGACTTTTAGTCAACCTGATTAATAAATCTGCCTGAATAACTACTGTGATGGTGAATTAATCATTACTTTCCAAGGCAGTCCATTCACGATGACATTCAAGAGATGCAACATTAATACAATGCTTATATAACTCATATTCAAATTTTCTGAATGTACACTTTACAGCTATATGTCCAATTCCTAAATCAGAATCCAAACAAGGGCAACCTACTCCATTTAACTGTCAGGTCTCTTTAAGTCTCCTTGCAACTAGAATAGTACCCCAGCTTTTTTTTTTTTTTTTTTTTGAAACTTTCATGACAGTAACATTGCATTAAGAGCTGGGCCATCTGGCTGGGTACAGTGGCTCATGCCTATAATCCCAGCATTTTGGGAGGCCAAGGTGGGCTGATTGCTTGAGCTGAGGATTCGAAACCAGCCTAAGCAACATGAAGAAACCCCATCTCTACAAAAAATACAGAAATTAGCCAGGCATGGTGGCACAGGCCTGTAGCCCCTGCTACACGGGAGGCTGAAGTGGGAGGATCACTTGAACCAATGAGGGTGAGGTTACAGTGAGCCCAGATCATGCCACTACTCTACAGGCTGGGTGATAAGAGTGAGACCCTGTATCAAAAAAAAGACAAGGAAAAAAAAAACTGGGCCGTTTGTTTTTGCAGAATGTCTCTCAATTTGGACTTTTTGGGCAGGAATACAATACAAGTGATACAAATGCTTCTTTAACATTAGAACCTGTATAAAATTACCATTACAGACCTTGCTATTTTACTTATAGGTAAATCACTGTTTACCAAGGTAAGTCTTTTGGGAATTTCCAAAAATGAAGTCCATGGACAGTTAAAAACTGTAGAGGGATTTTCCCCCTTAACCAATTTTATATTAAAGTAAAACAAATCACACCTACCTTTTTTCTCAATTTTCCTCTGATGTGACATAACCTCTTTACACCATCGAAACACATTGCTTCTAGCCGTCCATTTCCCAACATTTTGATTACCTGAGCATACTCTAGCGGGGAGAAAGGAAAAGGGTATGGAATATTGTTCAACTTTTGATAACAGCAACTTAAAGTCCACATAAAACTGTCAAGAGAATAAAGTTGCACCAGTTGGGAATAAATACATATAGTAAAACTATAAACAAACATAAGGGAGTGATAAACATCAAGTTAGTTAACGGCAGAGCTAGAACTAAGACTCTATGATGACATTTCTTTCTTTCTTTCTTTTTTCTGAGCTCAGGTCAAGTGTAGAAAACTTCATAGTTACAAAGGTCAGTCGTAAAACCTTTACATCATTGCCCAGAAATGATTAGGCTTTCATAGACATACATATGCACCCCCTCACCCCCAATCTCATTCATTCCTACAACTGCTACCTTTATAAACACGTGTGCGTGCACACACACACACACCCCCCACACACACACCAGACATATGCCCTTATTGTTTTACATTGTTTTATAGTTCTGCTTCTCAGAACTGTAGAGATCATGCATCAGGTAGACCGGAAAGCCTTCTGATGCTCAGATTTGGCTAGTTTCATCATTGATCCACTTCAGTAAAAGCAGATCTCAGAGAATGTAATGCCATTTCTATAATATACTGTCTCTGCTATTAGACATGTTTAAATTATCGACTCATTCTGAATAAGTAGATTGACTACCCCACTTTTGGCTCTCCTTTACCTCAGTACCTTTAGGTGCAAATCTCATAATTTTTAGTTCATTTAGCAAACAAAAACAAACTTCAAACAATGTCTTTGTTGAATTAGAATATGACTAATCCCCAGAGAGGATGTCCATTAATTTGTAAATATACTGAGACTTCATTTTGAAAGGCTCAACAGTGGGGATGACTTGTGGAAGTCAATTACTCAGACTACAGTGAGTTTAGCACCCATCTACCACCTCAACATGGTTGGTCAACTCAAAGGCAGCCTTTCTTCTGAAGTGAGGGAAAAAGTAATAATAAAACAGTGTATGCCCAAGTCAAGTCAGCTGCTATTTTAGAGGCAAGGATGACCAAGGCTAAGAAACCAAAGGACTTTTAGCCAGAAAACGTATCTCATGTTTACTGGTTTATATGTATGGCGTAATAAATCCACCCAAAGTTCTATTAAAAGCTAAAGTACTGGAAATAATTGGAATACCTGAGGAAATATGGAGTATATACTAGATATTATATCAATGTCAAATTACCTGAGTGTGATAATTCTCTTCTAGTTATATAAGAAAATATACTTGCACTTAGAAGATACATGATCAAGTAAGGGAAAAGTAACATGATGTCTCTAAATTTCAAATGGTCCTGAAGAAATCCTACATATGGGGCTAGGTGCGGTGGCTCACGCCTGTAATCCCAGCACTTTCGGAGGCCGAGACGGGTGGATCACGAGGTTAGGAGATCGAGACCCATCCTGGCTAACACAGTGAAACCCCGTCTCTACTAAAAATACAAAAAAAATACCCAGGCATGGTGGCGGGTGCCTGTAGTCCCAGCTACTTGGGAGGCTGAGGCAGGAGAATGGCGTGAACCCGGGAGGTGGAGCTTGTAGTGAGCCGAGATCGCGCCACTGCACTCCAGCCTGGGCGACAGAGCGAGACTCCATCTCAAAAAAAAAATTAAAAAATCCCACATATATATTTCTTTATATGTGTGTGTACAGATGAAGGATTTAAGGGAGTTTGTTGCACTAATACTGCAACTTTCTGTAGGTTTGAAATGACTCGAAATAAAAGTAACAGGAAAGGGCAAACGATCCAGTTAGGATTTATTTGACTAGTGCTATGTATCTTGGTCTGGCACTTACAATATTCTTCAGTCTAATAAAATCAGTTAACTGTTCAGTTTCATTTTATTGTAGTTTACGAAGTTATATGCTAATGGCACTGGAGAATGGAGAGGTCTATAAGGGCCTCAGGCTCATCCTTCAAATGTCCATGGTCTACTCAACATATTATATGTACCATTCACTACCAGAAATGCTAATCATAGAACTGCCAACTAAATCACAGAACTGTCAACCATAGCTCAATTCCCTCTGAACTATACGACACATTCTTAGTTCCCAGTACTTTGGGAGGTCATGGTGGGAGAATCACTTGAGCCCAGGAGTTCGAGAATAGCCAGGGCAACATATGAAGACCTCATCTCTATACAGTTTTTTTTTTTTTTTTTTTTTTTTTTTTGAGACAGAGTCTCCCTCTGTCACCCAGGCTGGAGTGCAGTGGTGTGATCTCGGCTCACTGCAACCTCCGCCTCCCAGGTTCAAACAATTCTCCTGCCTCAGCCTCCTGAGTAGCTGGGATTACAGGCACGTGCCACCACACCCAGCTAATTTTTGTAATTTTAGTAGAGACGGGGTTTCATCATGTTGGTCAGGCTGGTCTCGAACTCCTGACCTCGTGATCCGCCCGCCTTGGCCTCCCAAAGTGCTGGGATTACAGACGTGAGCCACTGCGCCCAGCCTAAAAAAATTTTTAAAATTAGCCAGACGTGGTGGTGTGTGCCTGTAGTCCCAAATACTCGGGAGGCTGAAGTGGAAGGACTGCTTCAGCCCAGGAGGTCATGGCTGCAGTGGGCTGTAATCGTGCCACCACACTTCACCCTGGGCGATGGGCAAGACGCTGTCTCAAAAAAATAAAGTCCCCAGCTAAAAAAGAAAGGATGTTATTTTAAAAAGCGTAATTTATGAAAACACTTACCCTGACCATCCTCTTTGAATACCAGTTCTCTTTTTTCAGATTCATTCTCATTCTTACCCCTGCGTCTGTTTTTACCTCCTTTACCTGATGGTTTAAAAAAAAGAAAAGGAGGTAAATGACATTAATTATCTGTAAAACAGTATGAAATAAAATGAAATTAAGGCTTATAAAACCATTTTTTAAAAGATCACTTAAATTAAAAAATTCATCTATTTTAGCTACACAATCATATTAAATTTACAATCTCCAATCCCAACATTAACACATTATCACCTCCCTACCCTTCTTGGAATTTCCTTTGGGGATTTTTCTGACATAAAATACACATAAATAGCAGATATTATGTTAAAAAATATAGAAAAACATTTCACTTTAGCACCCATCCTTTTGAAATAAAAATGCAATTCTATACATATTCTTCTAAGCGGAAATCTTGGGTGTCTTCTAAAGCCAGGCCCTATGCAAGGAACCCGATACTTTCAAAATTAAGTGAAGACAGTGTCTGGACAGAGAACTGTGGTTTTCAAACTTTTGGTAGCAGAGTACCATAAATATTGAAATCTCACTGGGTGCAGTGGTGTGCGCCTAGGGTCTCAGCTACTCAGGAGGCTCAGGTGGGAGGATCACTTGAGCAAGCCCAGGAGGTTCCAGGCTAGCCTGGGCAACATAGCGAGACACTGTCTCTTAAAAAATAAAGAAGATCTGTTCGGTACCCAATTTACTTTCTTTTATAATGCTGGTCCCTACTCAACATCCCTGTTTCTATTATATGACCCCAGTGACCATGCTCTTAACCACTATGCAATAATTCTGCCCATTTACTTGTCACAATCACCCCATGAGGTCATAACATTCATTTATTCCCAGTTTACCCATGAGTTCCCTGAAGCTCAGAGAAGTTAAGTAAGTCGCTTAGCTTCAGTGAGTAAATCAGTTCACTGATTACAGTCAGTAAGCTGGGGTGACCAAAGTCACAATGTTTTTTTTGCCCCTAGCCCCCACATAAGCTTACCTCTCCACAGCATTTTGCTCCCATTCCAGAAAGGAAACCACATTGGCAGCCATTTCCAAAAGGCAGGAAAAAGGCTGTAAGTGGTAATGACCCTAAGAGACTCATGGGAAGAGCTTGGAAGCAGCAAAAAAAAATGGAGGACACTTAAATTAGGTCATGAAAAGTACCATTCCTCTAAGTAAGATAACTAAGAACTGATTGGTTTCAGACAGTACAGGAATGATAAACACCAAACTCAGCCTGGTGATTACCTCCAAAAAGAGAGTAAAAGGTGATTAGGGCTTTACCTCAATCTGCGCTGTAATTCTTAAATTCAGAGTAATGGGTTCCCAGGTATATCATGTTAGCTGTATTTTTTGTATGCCTCAAATGTTATTTAAGAAAAGACTAATTACTTGTCAATTTACCAGAATTAACCATACCCGGATCACTCCCCTTTGTATTTTATTGCCATGTAATGGGATGTTCTTTAAATTCTCTGTTGAATGAATGAGACTAGGTCTGAGTGTACAACAATTAAAGTGACATCAACATTCTTTAAACCAGAGTTGTTTTGGAGAAATTCCCAGAGAGGCTCTTTCTTAAGACATGAGGCTAGGGAACTAGATGTGATTTAGTGTAGAAGTCCTATCCCCTTGGAACCAAAGCAGAACCTATTATTCACTAAGGGTGGAGTCGACAGGAGGTAGGTGACTTAAACCAACAAATATTTATTAAGCATCTACTAATTGTCAAGTGCTGGCAATCCAATGAGATTAAGACAGATACTATTCCTGCCTTGTAGAGCTTACAGCCTGGTGGAAGAATTGGAAATCTTATTACTAGAAATAAAGGTGAGAATAAGATGGAAGTGATCCCCTTACCACCTCAGAGAGAATAAAGGATTATACAGAAGAAAACTGTAAGACTTTAAAATTTTTTGTTTATAACTCCATCTTTTCCAAAATAATGAGCAGTGACTGCACCAACTTGTGCACAGAACACCTCGACCAAGTACCCTAAGGGATAAAGTAATAAGTGACAGCTACAAAGAGGAAATGTGGTAGAATCCCTGGAGCCAGCTGTCAAGTAGAAAAGAGAGCAGAAGTAGGCCTGTGTCAGGGGAGGGTTTCCTCTAGAATGAATAATCAAAGGAGACTACTTACGGACTATGAAGTATGCTCCTCTCCTGTAGGAAAATACAGTATTTTCCCTATATTTACTTGCACAATTTTCTTCAAGTTATACGGCTATTAAAAATGACAGGAACACTGTAAATCTATAAAAGTAATTTCTTTAGGAGTGTTCTGTTTTTTGTTTTTGTTTTTTTTTTTTTAAGATTAGGCCTTCCGTTTTGGAAATCCCAAATAAAGTTATCCTCAAGTCTGATCATTTGTGAACGCTTAGCCTCAGAATGGAGGACACTTAAATTAGGTCTTTATTCTCACAACATATGCATCATCTGAAGCAAAAGTAGAAAACTTGGCTCAATATGGAATAAGTCTTCAGCAAACAAACATAAGCTATATCCTGTAAAGGGATGGAGAGAGTAAATCTCTAGAGGTGAGCCTTAGAAATGTATCAAGGTTTCACCCACTGTTCACAAGGGACAGCGAGTAGCCTCAACAATACTGAACTGTCCATAAAGAAACCCATGCAGGAGTACCTGGTGCTCACGAATGCAGACAGCACTCTGAAAGTTCAGAACGGCTTCCAGGGATTATAACCCCTCATGCCCGGGAAGGCCAAAGGGGCCTATCTACTAAACCTAGGCCGCCCCGGGGAAGGTTCCCGCCACCGTCCCCACCGAGCAGCGGTCAGTCTGGCGCGAATCAGGAGCAAAAGCCCACATTCTCCCGCAGGAGGCCCTACAAAAATGGCGCCGGCTCCACCCCAATGTGACCAAACTGGGCAACAGGAGTTAACTTCCCAGCTCCTCTCCCGAGCTCAGAGTCGCGTGTGGGGCGCCCAGCCGCGGGCAGGCAGGGCGGGAAGGAAAAAGGGTCACTGCGGCCTGGGTGACCTGCAATCTACGGGCAGGACCTGGGAGACCCGGCCGAGCAGAGCCGTGGTCCGGGGGTCCGGGCGGCATTACCTTTATTCTTGGGCATGGCGGTGGCGGCGACCTCGCGGCGTCTCTGACTTCTTTCCGGGTAGCGGCGACCGCGGCGGCTGCTGCTCCGAGGGGCGACACGAGGGAGCGCGCGGGACCAAGTAGGTGCTGGAGGCCAGGCAACGTGCGCGGGAGAGGCTGGCGACCCAGCTCTTCAGAGATCCGCCTGCGTCCACGCTCGGCGGCAGCAAATGGCGCCGCGACTCTTTGCGTCGCTTTTCCCCGCCTCCCGTCGCCGGCTGGGCCCGCCCCCAGGCTTTATGACGCAGGCGTGGCCGACTGACTCCTATTGTTAGAGCCGAGGGAGACGCGTTGTGGGAGGGTGCGCAGCAAGCCAGAGAGGACGCGAGGGGCAGGGCCTCAAGCAGGGAAAAGGCGGAGTCAGGGAGGGAGGGGGAGAGACTCTGCGTCATAGAAAAGGGCGGGTTGAGGTGGCGCTTGCTGCTGGTTAAGACCAGACCTCTGCTGCTTTGTAGCAAACGCGCGTCTCCCGGTTTCACAAGTGGCTGACTCGTTAACCTCGTGGTTAGCTCAGTTTTTAAAAAATATGTATATTTTTATTTTTATTTTATTTTTTGAGACGGAGTCTTGCTCTAGAGTCGCCCAGGCTGGAGTGCAGTGGCGCGATCTCGGCTCACTGCAACCTCTGCCGCCCGGGTTCAAGCGATTCTCCTGCCTCGGCCTCCGGAGTAGCCGGGATTACAGGCACGTGCCGCCACGCCCGTCTAATTTTTGTGTTTTTAGTAGAGACGGGGTTTCAGCATCTTGGCTAGGCTGGTCTTGAACTCCTGACCACGTGATCCATCCGTCTCGGCCTCCCAAAGTGCTGGGATTACAGGCGTGAGCCACCGCGCCCGGCCAATATTTTAATTTTTTTATTAAGATGGAGTCTTGCTCTATCGCCCAGGCTGGAGTGCAGTGGCGCGATCACGGCTCACTACAACCTCCGCCTCCCGGGCTCAAGCGATTCTCCTGCCTCAGCCTCCCGAGTAGCTGGGATTACAGGCATGTGCCACCATGCCCAGGTAATTTTAGTACTTTTAGTTGAGACGGGGTTTCACCATGTTGGCCAGGCTGGTCTCGAACTCGTGACCTCAACTCGCGCCCACCTCGGCCTCCCAAAGTGCTGGGATTACAGGCGTCAGCCACCGTGCCCAGCCGGTTAGCTCATAACGCAGTCCTTTCACTCGCCCAGCCGGGTTGGGAGCCTGATGGGAAGGGCAAGGCTTTCCTGGCATCCATTACCAAAGCATAATATTTGCATGGCACTTGTTATTACTCTTTAAGTCTGTCTGTCCTACCTCACTGTAAACCTTACCGGGCAGAGACCATGTTTGTTGCTTACCATTACCCCCACTTAGCTGAATGTCTGGCACATAATAGGTGTTCAATACACACAGAAAGGAAGGGAGGGAGGGGAGAAAAGACTTAAGCTCAATGTTAATGGGCTGAATTGTGTCCCCCCCAAAATTCGTATGTTCACGTTCTAATCCCCAGTAACTCAATGTGACTGTATTTGGACATAAGTTCTTCAAAGACGTGATTAAATTGAAATGAGGTCATTAGTGTGGACCCTTATCTGACTGGTGTCCTTACAAGAAGATATTATTAGGCCACAGGCATAGAGGGAGAACACCACGTGAACAAGAAGGTAGCCATCTATAAGCCCAGGAGAGAGGCCAACCCTGTTGACGCTTGATTTTAGACTTTCAGTCTCCAGAACAATGAGAAAATAAATTTCTGTTGTTTAAGCCACTCAGTACGTGGTACTTTGTTATGACAGTCCTAGCAAACTAATACAGCTGGCTAATGCTGGGCTGTACTCTACAAGATTTATTTCTAAGTAAACTTATTTTGACTAAACCAAGTAAACTTATTTTAAATAAATCACCTTTCCACAAACACCAGGGTTTGCACATACTTAGAAGACAGAAATAAAGTATCATCATCTAATATAGTGGTTCTTTTCTGTGAACATTTGGCAGCGTCAACCAGAAATGTTTCTGGTTGTCATAACTTGAGGAGGGGGGCAGTGATGCTGGCATCTAGTGGGCAGAGGCCAGGGATGCGGCTAAACATCCTACAGTGCACAGTACAATCTCCCCTCCCCCATACAAGCAAACAATTATCCAGCCCAAAACATCAGCAGAGCTGATATTGAGAAACCCAATGACAGATGCACTTCTTAGAGTGAAATTGAAAGATAATGGGGGACTCAAAGTTCTGGGTTTCTCTTTCTATCTGCAATATTTTTCAATTTACATAATTGAGGATGAAAGGATTTTTTATGAAATTTATTTAAATTTTGCTCCAAGGTCAAATAATTATGAACTTGAGCTTTGGAGTTAGAGAGGCCTGGGTTCAAATTCAAGCTCTGCAGTAACTTATTACTCTATTTTCTTGGGCAAGTTTTAATCTCTTTACAAGCTTCCGTTTTCTCATCTGTAAATTGGATGTAGGAATAGTACTAACCGGCCAGGCGCAGTGGCTCACACCTATAATCCCAGCACTTTGGGAGGCCGAAGTGGGCGAATCACCTGAGGTCAGGAGTTCGAGACCAGCCTGGCCAAAATGGTGAAACCCCATCTCTACTCAAAAATTCAAAAATTAGCCGGGTATGGTGGCAGGCGCCTATAGTCCCAGCCACTTGGGAGACTGAGGCAGGAGAATCACTTGAACCCAGGAGGCGGAGGTTGCAGTGAGCCAAGATCGCGCCACTGCACTCCAGCCTGGGCAACAAGAGTGAAACTCCATCTCCAACAAACAAACGAACAAAAAAAAAGAAAAAAAAAAGAATAGTACTTACATTAGGTTGTTGCAGGAATTAAATTGATATAATGCATTCAATTAGCAATTGTGCCTAGTACATGGTAAGTAGTTAGACTCTAAGAGTCCGGAACTCTAAATGTTTAAAAATAAAAAGTTTCTGTCAATTACCCAGTATAAAACCTCAAAGAGGAAAAAAAAATATCAGGCTTCATTTCTCTACTGTAGGATGGTTCCCCCATCTGACTGATCATCTTAATCACTTGGAAGGAAGTGAGTCAGGTGGACATCTGGGGGAAATGTGTTCTAGGCAGAGAGAACAGCAAGGGCAAAGGCCCTGAGTGGAAGCATGCTTGGTATATTCAGGAAACAGCAAGAAGCCAGGTGCAGTGGCTTCCACCTGTAATCCCAGTGACTCAGGAGGCTGAGATGGGAAGATCGAGCTTGAGGCCAGTAGTTCGAGACCAGCCCAGGCAACATAGCGAGACCCACCCCCCCATCTCTAAAATAATAAACACACGACAGTAAAAAAAGCCAGGCATGGTAGTTCACATCTGTAGTCCCAGCTACTTGGGAGGCTGAGGCAGGAGGATCCTTAGAGCCCAGGAGTTTGAGGATGCAATGAGCTATGATCGTGCCACTGCATTTCAGCCTGGGCAACAGAGTGAGACCCCATGAAAGAAAGAAGGAAAGGAGGAAGGAGGGAAGGACATAAATGAAGGAAAGGAAAGAAGGAAGGAAGGAAGAAAAGAAAGGTCAGTGTGGCTAGAATGCATTGAGCCAAGGGAAGAATTTGAAGAGATGAGATTGGAGAAGTAAGGAGGCCAGATCACTTGAATCTTCAGTAGGTTTTTTTTTTTTTTTTTTTTTTTTTTTTTGAGACAGAGTCTCGCTCTGTTGCCCAGGCTGGAGTGCAGTGGCGCGATCTTGGCTCACTGCAACCTCCGCCCCCTAGGTTCAAGTGATTCACCTGCCTCAGCCTCCCTTAGTAGCTGGGACTACAGGTGTGCGCTACCGTGCCTGGCTAATTTTTGTATTTTTAGTAGAGACGGGGTTTCGCCATGTTGGCCAGGCTGTTCTCGAACTGCTGACCTCAAGTGATCCACCCGCTTTGGCCTCCCAAAGGGCTGGGATTACAGGCATGAGCCACTGCGCCCGGCCTTTCAGTAGGTTTTTAAATAGATCATTTTGGTTTCTGTGTTAAGAACAGACTGTAGGGGGCAAGGGTGGAAATGGAAACCACACGGGAGGCTACTGTAACAGTCCGAACGAAAGACAGTTGTGGCTTGGACTAGGGTATAAAGTTTCTTTTTAGGATGGTGAGAATGTTCTAAAATTACATTATAATAATGGTTGCACAACTCTGTAAGTACTATACTAAAAGACATTAAATTGCTGGGTGCGGTGGCTCACACCTGTAATCCCAGCACTCTGGGAGGCCGAGGCGGGTGGATCACAAGGTCAGGAGTTCGAGACCAGCCTGGCCAATATGGTGAAACCCCGTCTCTACTAAAAAATACAAAAATTAGCCGTACGTGGTGGTGTGCACCTGTAGTCCCAGCTACTTGGGAGGCTGAGGAGGGAGAATCACTGGAACCCATGAGCTGAGATCGTGCCACTGCATTCCAGGCTGGGCAAGAGTGAGACACTGTCTCAAAAAAAATAAAAACAAAACAAAACAGTAAATTGTACACTTTTTTTTTTGAGACAGAGTTTCATTCTTGTCTCCTAGGCTAGAGTGCAATGGCGTAATCTCAGCTCACTGCAACCTCTGCCTCCCAGATTCAAGTGATTCTCCTGCGTCAGCCTCATGAGTAGGTGGGATTATAGGCTCCTGCCACCATGCCCGGCTAATTTTTGTATTTTTAGTAGAGACGGGGTTTCGCCATGTTGGCCGGGCTGGTCTTGAACTCCTGACCTCAGGTGATCCACCTGCCTCGGCCTCCCAAAGTGCTGGGATTACAGGCATGAGCCACCATGCCCGGCCTAGATTGTACACTTTAAATGGTGAACTGTATGGCGTGTAAACTATATCTCAATAAAACTATTAAAGAAATAGGAGACGGATCAAATGACAAATGGTACTGAGGGTTTAGCTGAGGTTAGAAAATATAAATTTGCAGTGGTATCAGTTTGCATAATTATATGGTTTTCGAAACCACCATTGCAAAATTGTAACTGAGACAATGAGATCTGACCTAACCAACTCCAACTCCATCTTGTTTCTTTTTTTTTTTTTTTGAGACGGAGTCTCACTCTGTCGCCCAGGCTGGAGCGCAGTGGTGAGATCTCGGCTCACTGCAAGCTCCGCCTCCCGGGTTCACGCCATTCTCCTGCCTCAGCCTCCTGAGTAGCTGGGACTACAGGTGCCCGCCACCATGCCCGGCTAATTTTTTGTATTTTTAGTGGAGACGAGGTTTCACCATGTTAGCCAGGATGGTCTATGATTTCCTGACCTCGTGATCCGCCCACCTCGGCCTCCCAAAGTGCTGGGATTACAGGCGTGAGCCACCGTGCCTGGCCAACTCCATCTTGTTTCTAACCTCCAAGCTGTCCTTGTTCATTCCTGGGTGTAGGCTGGACTAACTTTAGGAGAAATTTAGTTTACAGTTTAAAACAAAAATGATAACAGCCCTTTCCCAAAATGAATCCCCTTCTTGCCTGGGGACTAGACTGCCTTTGTGGGACTAACAAATTAGCCAAAAGATTAGAAATTATGGTTTAGGAGTCATGCAGCTGGAGGCTACAAGATTCTGACTCTCTCCAAATTGCTCCTGGGGATAACATCGCTATCATAAAGCCTAAGATCAGTGCTTGATATATTTTGCAGACCCTGCACTTGATGGATCAGTTGGCACCACCCAGATCAATAAACTGGCTAATATGAGCTTGTGGCCCCCACCCAGGAACTGACTCATTGCAAGAGGACAGCTTCAATCCCCTATGATTTCATCTCTGACCTGGCCAATCAGCATTCTTGACTCACCGCCCCCCGACCCCCCACCAAATTATCCTTTAAAACTCTGATTCCTGAATGCTTAGGGAGACTGATTTGAGTAATAATAAAACTCCAGTCTCCTATACAGCTGGCTCTGCATGAATTACTCTTTCTCTACTGCAATTCTCCTGTCTTGATAAATTGGCTCTGTCTCCACAGAGCAAGGTGAATCCACTGGGTGGTTACATTTCTTCCATACAATAGCTGACTGCATACAATCATTAACCAAAATGATCCAGGATTGGAGTTTTTTTTTTTTTTTTTTTTTTTTGCTCAGTGGGTGCAGAATAAGGGAAAAATATAAGGAAGTTGCGGGTGCTTCTAAGAGAGAAGTTCAGATTATCAACTATGGGGCCATGAGGTTCAGTCTGGATAAAAAAGGAAATAAAGACTGGGGACTGTGGGGGAAAACCCCAGAGGTATAAAATTCAAATTCCTTAATATGATTTATTATGCCTTTGATGATCTGGCTCCTGCTTATCTCTTGAGCCTCACATTATTTCTTCTTCTCTTACTTTTTAAGTTCTAGTCATACAGAACTTTTGAGTGCCTCTAATTCCGAATTTCTATACATTCTATTCTACCCTTCTCCCTTGCCCTTTTAGGTCTCAGATTAATAATTGTTTCCTTAGAAGGTCTGCTCTAATCCCTAGGCAACCCTGCTACATATTCCTACAGCATCCTGCACTTCCTTTACCTAGCTTTTTTTTAGTGTGTCAATTTTATGAATTCAGGGTACATTAATATAAAGCTGCAGAAGCCTGACCATGGCCAATACTGCTACTCTGTGTCAGTCTGTCTGAGAAGCCAGGTGTTTCTATAATCATGGTAGGCAGACTAATGAACTTCAAAGATGTCCATGTCCAAATCCCTGGAATCCGTGAATTATGTTATCTCACATGGCAACAGGGAATAAAAGTTGCAGATGCAATTAATGTTGCTAATCTGTTGACCTTGAGATGGAGAGATTATCCTAGATTACGTGCGTAGGTGAAATCTAATCACACGAGTCCTTAAAAGTGGAAGAGGCAGAAGAGGAGGGGCAAAAAGATGCATATGGAGAGGACTTGACCCACTGTTGCTGGTTTTGAAGATGAAGGAATGGGCCATAAGTCAAGGAATGGAGGCAGCCTTTAGAAACTGGAAGAGGCAAGGAAACAATTCTTCCCTAGGGCCTCTGGAAAGGAACGTAGCAGCCTTGCTGACACCTTGATTTTAGCTCAGTGAGACCTGTATTGGACTTCTGATCTCCAGAAGTGTAAGATAACAAATTTGTGTTGTTTTAAGCCACTAAATTGTAGTAATTTGTTACAAAAATGGTAGAAAGCAAATACAGTTAACATTCCTACCTTGCCTCAGCATAATGCCAAGTAGACCTTGAAGGTCGCCATCTTATCTCGAGTACCTAAATCCAAGTGGATAGCCCCTGAACCAGCTGTTATGGGCTGAATTGTTACCTTCCCCAAATCCTTATGTTGAAGTCCCAACCCCCAGTACCTGAGAATGTAACAGTATTTGAAGATAAAGTCTTTAAAGAGGTGATTGAATTAAAATGAGGCTGTTAGAGTGGGGCTCTAATGCAACATGACTGGTGTCCTTATAAAAAAAGGAACACCAAGGCTGCACACGCACAGAGGACCAACCATGTGAAGAGGCAGCAAGAGGGCGGCCAACTATAAGCCAAAGAGAGAGGTCTCTGAAGAACCCAACCCTACAAGCACCCTGGTCTTGGACTTCCAGCCTCCAGAACTGTGAGAAAATAAATTCTGATTAAGTCACTCAATGTGTGGTATTTCATAATATGGAACTACTAAGAAATGTCAGCTGGGCAAGAAAAGGCTAACTTCAGGCCTATATAACCCATTCCCTCTCTACTAGGAATCAATGAACTCAATCAAATTTCCTCTAAAATGTGCTGATATTACCAGAGAGAAAATGTAAAGTCCTTATCTCTAAAATGCTTTTAGCAAGATATACTTGGTCTTTATAGATGGTTTATTGTAAAACTTGGGATTTGTGGATTCATGAGGCATGACTGGCTGGAGAATGAGGGCTCATTTAAACTGCATAATGAAGTATAAAAAGGAGATGTTGCAAAATCAAATGACTCCCTTTGTTTGAACAAGGTCTCCACATACAACGCTCAGAAAGAAACTTGTCCTTTTTGAATCCAAAGTGCACCGAGAGAGAAAAGGGCCATTTTTGGAGCTGGACTCTCTAACATTTTGGACTTCTCTAAAAAAAGAATATTTCTTCTGTGTCTGGTGATCATCCCATATCCTTTGATTCATTAAAAGTTTGGTATTGGGTAAGATCTATGATTTATGTGTTTGACTTGACAAACCCTTTGAATGAAACAAGATTATGCATGGAAAAATTATTTTGCACTTCTTAAATATTCCTGTTTTATGTTCTATCAATCTAGTTTCAAAAATATACTTTGGATAGAATTTTACATTATAAAGGATTACATGATGAAAATAATCTGATAAAAGGGACAAACATGCATTGATTTGAAACTTTATTATATAAATTTTCATTTCTTTTAAAGATTACAAAACCTGTTCTATGACAGGAATACAAGCAATATTGTTCCAGGATTATTCATGGATACATCTGAAGAGCTTAGATTACACATTAATAGTATGATTTGAAAACTTCCCAGATTAGACTCTTAAGTAAAACAATTTAAAGTATTTAGTGATATTTGATCCTTTACAAGCATTTTATAATTATGGCAGCAATGCCAAGCATCTGATGCGATTTAACCACCAACAAAAGGTACAATATGTAAGAATTCATGATATGGTATCTTGGGCTTCTGGCATGCCTTACTAGAGAGAAACTAGTATAAAGGAAGATCATATATAACAGTAGAAAAATATTTGTGATTTTTTTCTTTTTTAAAAACTATTTAAGTAGGCACCCACCCCATTCCCACCCATGACCAAAAATGCAAAATAAGTACATCCCTTAGGTGTATACCTTCCCTTTTGCTTAGGGCAACAGTTAAGATAAACTAATACACGTATATGATTTTAAGAGTTAAAAACTCATCACCCATAATCAATAAGGATGCTAAGGAATGGCAATACCTTGAAGCTTTTTTTAAAATTAAAAACCAAAGCTTTAGATGGTAAACTACACTTACAGAAACACAAACCAAAATCTTTATGCCCTTGCTTTGTACGTGAAAGTTCTATTTTAAATACTTGTTTGAAAAACTCATTATACAGTTCATTCAGTACTATGGTGATAACAGGAGTAAAGATGTTCACTTCCATTAGACAATGAACTAATCTACTTAGAGAGGACTATTATAGCGACTCTCTTCTCATATACGTTTACATATACTCTACTCATGGTATGTGCTCTAAGGAGGTTTTATTGAGGTTTGTACCTCTGAACTTAAATCTCTACATTTTCCTTTCCACTAATCTCTATTCAAAATGTCATATACTTTGCTAGTTGCTCTGGGAGAAGTCATGGACATTTAAACAGCTTATCATGCAGTTCAAGATTATATGGCAAAATAATGAGGAAAGTGCCTTAAGAGGTAGGAAGTAGGCTCTCATCCCAACCCTCGGTATGCCCTGTTATGAACAGTTAAAAAACTAGAATCAAAGTGGTAAATGTGAGGCTGATAGTAATACCAGGCTTAAGAAAATTAAGTTGACTTAGTTACTAGAAATCTTTGAGAACACTCAGTCACATTGGAACCAGCTGCAAATCACTTGATCACACAGAATACAGCAGTGTCAAAAACACATAAAGCACACCGTAGATACAAATTCTTCTTGGCCATCCATATTTGGGCATTATCATTCTGGAGATTCTTCATTGGAAAAAGTGGTTAAGTGTGGCTCTGTTGAATACCACAGTCCCAATAAAGTGAATTTCATTCCTTCATTAATTGGTCTCCACCAATGGTCACTTGGGGAGACCAGCAAAATGTAAGCAACCTGGGGTTGAAAAGAGGACTGTTTTCATTAATTGAAATAAAAATACTGAGTTAAGTCAACTTATCTGTGAATTAAGTAAGGCTCAAAGTATATATCCAGTTTAAAGTTAGTTACATGGCATTGGGCCTTTCAGAGGGACACAACTCTAGGACTAGATTGAAACCTCCTGGTTTAAGCACCAAGGTCAGCCATGGAATCCATCATATTTGTTAATCTGAGAAAACAGACCTTTTCTGAACCTTTACATTCCTGAGCTATCTATCCTAATGCCTTCATAAGTCTCAATGCTCAATCAACCATAAGATAGAATTTTCTTTATAAAATATAGTAAAGCAAACTGAAAAATTATAGGTCATTTTTAAAGGCCAGGAAGTAGAGAATATCAAAGCCATGCTGAGATGGGTATTGCTGGCCTCCATGGTGATTAAGCGCATCCATAGCAAGGCCTGCAAATCTTGAATGCTTTTCTGCTCTCATCCCAGGCTGGGCTTACCTGAGTCCCTTTTCTGCCGAATACATTCTGCCCTCTCTTGAAGCCTTTGCTCTGTTCAAATCTTTCCTGGGCTGAAGGTGCAGGGCACAGCTAACTGGACAGCCCCACCTCCCATGATGTCCCCTGGCCCCAACAGCAGTCACTTCTTAAAAAGAGATGGGAAATGGTTGACCCAAACCCGCTTTTTGGAGTACACTGCATGTGAAATGTGGAAACTCTACAGCATACACACCACAGCTTCTCTCCAGACAATCATAACTGACTTTTCACACACACAAGCTTCATAGCATCTCAACTTTGGGCCTTGTCAAAATTATTACATTTTTGGACTTTTGGGGTTGCTTGTGAATAAATGCATCCATATCAAATCTGTTAAAGTTGGGGGTCTGTTGCATTAGAAATAAGACACCTCTATAAACCAGAAAAAGCTGAAATGATTTATAAAAAACAAAAATTAAAAAAGGATGAAAAACTTACCTTCATTTAACATCATCACTTGAAAGGGAAGATACAAAACACATGGTAGTGTAATTCATACCTTCCAGTACGTGCTTGACAAGCTTAAATTCAATCTCTCATTTTGTAAAAGAGGCCTGATAGTTTAGTTTCTTCTTTCACAATGAAATATCTTTAAGACTGGACTGATACCTTTTGGGAGAAGCCTCAGTAACTGGCAGCACTAATTGGTGAAAGGCAGAAGCCTTTAGGGGCCTCAATACCACAACTGTAGGGGCCTGAATAATTGATGTTGAGAAATTAATGGAAAAGTTAACCCAACACAAGCACTATATTTAGAGCACATCGTTGGCCAAGTTTTTCCACTGTATGTCAAAAGCAATGGAAGAGAATAAGAGGACCACAGATGAAATAAATTTAGGTAGAAAGCCTTCCATTTTGTGAACATATAACTTGCTTTTCTCCAATAAAATTGGCTGCTTGGCTAGGCAAAGAAGGCAATTATCTTCGAAAGAAATAAAAGTTGGCATCACATACCAGTAGAGGACTGCCCAAGAAATATGTAGTTTTTGAACTCAGCTACTGGTTGGTGATCATATGAGGGAAAGGCAGCATGGTGTGATGAGGCGGAAAAAAACAAAATGGGGAGAAGTTAAGGATTCTAGACTTTGATATGTGTCTCAGGTTCTCTACATGCAATATGAGAAAGTTGGATTGGGTAATTTATAAGGATTTATGTGTTTACTTCTAGTTCTAAAATACTATGATGGACAATACTCCTAAGCAATTACGGAGTAGCATCAGTGTAAAAAAATCTGAAAATATATCTATTTCTGCTCAGAATGACATTAACATTTTAAAAGTGACAATAATTTGAGATGACCAAAGTTTGAAACACTGAATAGAGGAGGGAAAAAAGCTCTCTTTCCAGGCAATGGAAAGCAGCTTTTAATAGCATCCATATATTCAAGAATTTGAAAATACTTTCTCTATCTAGACATTCTGATATCCCTCCTATATATTATTTCATTTAGAAGCTAAACTTACATTTGATTTCTATGCAGTAATCATTTTTGTGTCACTTGGGCAAAAGAAATGTTATAGATTTCCCCTTTCTCTTTAATTGCATAGAGGAGAAATTAAGGAATGACAAGTGGATTTCAGGACATTTAGATAAACCACACTCTCTTGGCTTTGTACTCTTAGGGGAAAATTTAAAGCTTCTGTGGCAGGAAAAAAGGTTTCTGATATAAATGGCTTATTACATGATGACTAACAAAAATCTGTATGAGTACATTCTTTTTTTTTTTTTTCCTTCTTGAGACAGAGTCTCACTCTGTCACCCAGGCTGGAGTGCAATGGTGTGATCTTGGCTCACTGCAACCACCACCTCCCAGGTTCAAGCGATTCTCCTGCCTCAGCCTCCTGAGTAGCTAGGATTACAGGTGCACGCCACCATGCCCAGCTAATTTTTGTATTTTTTAGTAGAGACGGGGTTTCACCATGTTGGCCAGGCTGGTCTCAAACTCCTGACCTCAGGTGATCCACCTGCCTCGGCCTCCCAAAATGCTGGGATTACAGGCGTGAGCCACTGCGCCCGGCCTGTAGGGGCACATTCTTGATGAGGTAAGTTAAATCACTTTTTTCTTGCTCATATGTCTTTTACATTACATACTGATGTATGCTAGGCAGCTTGGCAAAGACACAGGTAATAATGGGGACTGAAGTTTCTTTCATCAAATACGATTGTGGAAACTACCAAATTAGATGCAGATAATGAATACTGCAATCTAAGCAGGCCCAGTGGCCATTATGAAAACTGATCATTCCTGAAGTCAAAGGAAGCAGTATGTGGCTATAAATTATCATGAGGGATTCAGAAAATACTCAATGCTGTTCACTTAGCCTGCCCTACCTATAATTTTAGGTTAGAACAGATACTGTTTGATCAATAATGTTTTATTCCCTAAAATAAGAAAGTTTAAATCCAATTTCATACAGAGGCCTTTGGCCTTTATTACATTTAAATTAGTGTTTAATATAGAATATCTATTTAAACATGAAATATCCAATAGGACTTCAATTACCTGTTGCTAAATTTTCCTTCACCCATCTCCTTACCATGACTCTTAAAGGGCTTTGACGTATATTGGCAAAATCCCAGATGATATGCCAAATTCTAAGTATGGATGCTATGTAAGATTAGAAGTGCAAGGACTACTTCCTTAATTAAGGAAAAAAGTACTCTAAGGAGTTGCAAAGTATATGGACTAACTTCATAGGTGTATTCTTGATTTCATGCCACACACATATGATAACTTTCTCTACCATAACAGCTCTCTAGGTTAGTCTGACAGAGCACCTGACTTTAAGAAACAAACAAATGAACGAACCAGTGAAACAGACGTGGGGAAAGATATGTACATTTTGGAAGTATTACATTCAACAGCTGTTCCACAATCTGGCCATTTTTAGGACTGTCCAACAATACTGTTAATCCAGGTGAACTATTTAACCAGATTTAATAGTCAATTGATTAATAATAATAGATTCCAAGTTAAACAAGGCATGTATACATTAAAGAAAGCAGTACAGAAATGTACTGTATATGAACTGTTTACAAAAACATACAAAATGTTGGATGGCACAAGGGATACAGTGCTAATATAAACGGATTGTTTAAGCTAAGTGCTTAACATAAACTGTCCATCCCTATAACTAACAAAGAATATTTAAGGGACATGAAATATTTCCTATAAAAATAATGCTATATGGTGTACTTTATTCAGTGTATTTTTAGGTGGTATTCATATGTTCATTATTTTTCTCATTGATTCAGTGACTATATCTTCATCATGTTTCCATTTTCATTTCTTCCGAAGCTCCAGGAAAATCTAACTTGCTAACAATCATTTAAAGCGAGAAGAGAGGAAAGCAGGAGCAGCAGCAGGAACAGCAGCATTATGGGTACCAGCTGGGACAGTGTGTGCTTGCAGGTGTCTCTCAGATACGTGCTACCTGTCGCCAGAACTTGTGCTATCAGCTTACACCATGGTACCAAATATCTCACTGAGGTCACTTCACAGGGCTGTTGAGGTGATTTTTTTAATACCTCTCCGCTGAGCAAGAGTAGAGCGGCCTACTGGTTCCAAAACTGGTGACTGATTACGGTTCAAAGCAGAATATGTAGCTGCCATGGCACCCTGAACAAAGGAAATAAAGGTAGTAACAAAAGTGACAATGGATAGTCACACGTACACAAATACAAAATGAAGAGTTTTTTCATATGCAAATGTACATAGATTTTATTTGGTTCATAATGAAAATAACCACACTGGTCAAATCCACTGACTTAACCAAAACTGTAGAGGCCAACATGGAGGTTAAAATTATGTATGAGAGAGAACAAAGATAGGCTCATAACAGGCAGTCCTCACTTTTCTCAGGACTATTCAACATTTTTTCCCTTTGCATTCCTTTAATGCATAAAGGCACTAAAGAGACAGGAAGGCATGCTCTTTAAGTTGGGAAATCCATAAGCTTAATCTGTCCTTATTGATAGTGAATACCTACTCATGTAGACTGAGAGGAATTCAAAAGTCGCTCTTAAACTAGTTTTATTACTAATATATTGATATGCCTTGAGCTTTTCGAAGTCACCCACTGTAAGAGAATCCCACAACAGAACTGGATGCAGGATGAAAGAGAAAGGTGCTGGGGGCATGGACAGGGCTTCTTGAAGTCTCTCCTGGAGGACCTGTGGAAAACAGTGACTGTATGGGGCTGCTCACCTTTACTAGATGTGGTGCATCCTGTCTGTTTAGTTGGTATTGTGGCAGTTGGTCCCAGTGGACGATCCAAGGATGTCTGAGCACAAGAGCAGCAGTCAGTCTCTGATGAGGGTCTACATGAAGCATCTTTGACACCAGGTCCTGTAATGGGAATAATAAAACAAGCTTAAACCTTTTGTTTTGCTTCTTTTTCTATGGCTCTTGATACTAATGAACATTCTTCCTTAGCTTCTGTGATACTGCTTTTTCTGGTAGCAGCCCTTTGGTCAACATGGTAATTTGGGGGAAAAAAAATCAGTCTCCGCTTTTTCCCTGCTAAATAACTGTAATTTGGTGCATCACAAGGGGTCAATTTAGCACATTTTATATATCTTTAAGTACTCTGGCTCTTTTTTCCTTCAGATTTTCTGAGTTTCCTACATTTTTGTAGGTTTATTTATTTATTGAAACAGGGTCTCATTCTGTCGCCCAGGCTGGAGTGCAGTGGCATGATCTTGGCTCACTGCAACCTCTGTCTCCTGGCCTCAAGTGATCCTCCCACCTCAGCCTCCCAAAGAGCTGGGACTACAGGTGTGCGCCACCATGCCTGGCTAACTTTTATGTTTTTAGTAGAGATGGGGTTTCATCATGTTGCCCAGGCTGGTCTCCACCTCCTGGATGCAAGTGTTACTCCCGCTTCAGCCTCTCAAGGTGCTAGGATTACAGATGTGAACCACTGTGCTTGGCCAGTTTATTTTTAAGTAATATTCAGTTACTTAAGACTTTTTTTGTGCTGCTGGTAATACTGAAAAAAAAAAACATGAATGTCCAATAACAGGAATTTAATTGGAGGGCTCTAAATGCCCCCTGAAAAGACTATAGTATTTTTTTTCCTACTTCAAAAGCAACCCATGGGCATTAGAGAATAATCAGAAAATACTGGAATGTGAAAGCACATGAGGAACAGTTCCATAATCCCACTCTTCCAGAGACAGTCACTGTTAGCACTGCATATCTATCTAAATGCCATTCCTATGCATGCAATGTAGATGCATATAATCACTACATGGTTTTACACTCTTCAAAATAACACCACTGTCATTTATAAAAGCCACCATTTTTTAAATTTTTCATTCAAAATACATTTGTTAAGTATCCAGTAAAGGCCAGGCATTCTGCTAGGCACTGGGTAGTTAGCAATGAACAACACAGAAATGAAGTCTAGGCAACATTGTGAGGTCCTGTATCTACAATTTTTTTTTTTTTTAAAGCTGAGTGTGGTGGCATATGCCTGAGGTCCCAGCTATTTGGGAGGCTGAGGCAGAGATCATTTGAGCCCAGGAAGTCAAGGCTGCAGTGAGCCGTGATTGAACCACTGTACTCTAGTCTGGGCAACAGAGCGAGACCCTGTCTCAAAAAAAAAAAAAAAAAAGACAAAATGAACTCTGACTTCATGAAGTTTTCAGTTCAGTGAAGGAGAGATAAAGAATCAATAATCACAAAGCAAGTAAGTTCTTTGACAGGATGAACAAACACCAGGTGCAGCTGGAGGGACACAGAGATACCTGACTGTACTGTGTGAGGTGGCTTAAAAGGGACTTTTTAAGAGGAAGATAAGACCTGTAGGATAAGCAGGAGCTAGATTAGAGAAAGGAAGGGGGAAACACTGCCTCAGGTAGAGTAGAGAGAATGGAGAGTGAGTTTGGAGGAACGCTCTTAGGTGGGAGAGAAGACGACACAGTTAAGGAACTGGCAGCAGTACAATGCGGCTACAGCATAAATTTACCGTGAAGGAGAATGTGGCAGTGGATAAAGTGGGAGAGATGAGAAGGGACCAGATCAGGAAAGTCCCTGTAAGCCATATTTGCAAACGTGGACTTATTTGATGGTAATAAAGTGTTTAAAGTTAGGGAGTGATGCGGTTAAGTAAAAAGATCACATTCACTGAGTGTGGAGGAAAATGGACTGGTGAAAGATGACAGCTTCAGGGAGGTGTATGTAATGGAGAAAATTGGGCTGGGCGTGGGAGAAATTTGGGAGGCCAAAGTGGGAGGCTCACTTGACCCCAGGAGTTCGAGACCAGCCTGGGCAACGTAGTGGGACTCCATCTCTACAAAAAATTTAAAAATTAGCTGGGAGTGGTGGTGCATGCCTGTAGTCCCGGCTGTTCAGGAGGCTGAGGTGGGAGGATAGCTAGAGTCCAGAAGTTGGAGGTTGCAGTGAGCTGTGATTGTACCACTGCAACTCTAGCCTGGGCAACACACTAAGACTCTATCTCAAAAAAAAAAAAAAAAAAAAAAAGAGAGAGAGAGAGAGAGAAATGGAGGTATTTAGGATAAAGAACTGACAGAATCTGGTGGTTAACTAGATCTTGGGAATTAGCGTGATGTTGTTCCAGGTACTCCTCTGCTATGAGACATTTATGGTTTCTTACTTTTAGTTATTAACAGCTAAGAACAGGGATACGCAATTGAACAGAGCTGGAAATAAAAATAAAAAAAATTAGGAACCTCCCTTTTGCAATTCTGAAAGTAGGCAAAAGTGCTTAAAATTGCATAAAAGGTTGCAAAACTGTCCAGGGGTACAACAAAACTCAATTATAATTTTAATCAAATCTATACGTTAATGAGCTTTTGGTGAACTCACTTCAAACTACTTCTCTTACTACAGCCCCTTTAATGGCTACTCCTCCCCTAAGCTTTCTCTTTAAGTGGTGCTCTCCAGAATTCTTTCCTTGGCTCTCTTACACTCTGCTCAGATAATCTCATTCAAATTCATGGCTTTAGCTACTATGGATGATGACAACTCTTAAGTGTCACCCCAGACTTCTCTTTTAAGACCTATAACCATATAGACAGTTGCCTGATGGACATACATCTCTTAATTTATAATGTCCAAATCTGCAACCACCACTCCTCTCAAAACTACTTCTTTTGTATTCTACAAATCAGTGAAGGATACCACCCCTCATCCATCTGCCCAAGGTAGAAATGGGGACTACATACATTATAACTGCTTTTCTCTCATTTCTTATGTATAATAAACCATCAAGTCTATTATGCCTCCTCAATTTCTCTTCCATTTGGCTCAAATTCCATCACAACTGCTCTAATATAGGTCCTCATCATTCATGACCTGAAATATTGCAAAACCTTACAAGTACTGTCCCTAATATTAGGTCAGTGAGGACTAAATGAAACAACATAGGTAAAAGTGTTAGCACAGTCCTTGGTACATAAATGCTCAGTAAATGCCAGCTCTAGTCTTCTTGCTCTGAAAGCCACATATGGCCCACATGACTGACAACATTCACATATGCAACTTGCTCTTGAGGGGATACACCCAGATTGATAGAGCCCTCCCTTCTATCTTGTGGCTAATCATGGAATTATATCATGCTTGTAATCACAAGTCTTAACTGTACATATTAGCAACAGTTACTAGTGATAACATGGAATCTATAAGATAGGCTGTGAGTTGGATGTAATTTTTTATGCTCTGTGTCTCCATTCTTACCTGCCCTTCCTCTCTCACCAAAAAAGCATACCAGGATGTAAGTGAATGAAGAAAATCACAGTGATAACCTCAACTTGCTTTAACTTATTAAAAAATCAATTAATGTGTAAGCCCTGATATTTTATTATTGGTAACATATACTTAATATACCTCACAACCTATCATGACAAAGTTTGTGGTGGACTCCATAGCTAAGAATTACTGCTCCACAGAATGCACTTTAAAAAGGAAAATCTGATCACTGCACTCCTTAATATGTGTTTTAACAGCTCCACAATACCCAGAGTTAAGCCCACAATCCTCAGCACGAGCCACAAAGCCTTTCACAATCTGGGTTCATCAGCTATCCTCTCCCATGCAACCCTGCACTAGTCACATGGAATGACCAGCCTGGAGGCATTCTGCTATTCTCATGCTATCATCACCACCTATCTGCATGTGCTGATCCCTCAGTTTAGGACTACATCTTTCAGCTCCCCAAATCTGCCTGGCAAACTCCTTCACCGCTTCTGGAAAGCTTTCCTTAAAATCCTTCTGACTAAGCATCGTCTGTGTACTTCTTTAGCACAGAAACTGTACCACTGTTACAGCACATGTGACACTGCACCGTATATTTTTGGCTGTCTCCCAACTAGACTGTGAGCAACCTGGGATTGGGAATTCTATCTTTGTCACATCTTTTATCTCTAAGGCCTTCATTTATTAAGCACATTGTAGGCACTCAATAAGGGAACTACAAAGGAAACAAGTACCCAGAGAAATGAATTATCTGGTTTAAGACATTGTTAGAAAAAGGTAAAGGCTAACATTTCATTTTATTTATTTATTTTTATTTATTTTTTTGAGACAGTCTTGCTCTGTCACCCAGGCTGGAGTGCAGGGGTGCACTCTTGGGTCACTGCAACCTCCGCCTCCCTAGCTCAAGCAATTTTCCTGCCTCAGCCTCCCGAGTAGCTGGGATTACAGGCACCTGCTACCACACCTGGCTAATTTTTTTGTATTTTCAGTAGAGTTGGGGTTTCACCATGTCAGCCAGGCTGGTTCTGAACTTCTGACCTCAAGTGATCCGCCCACCTCGGCCTCCCAAAGTGTTAGGATTACAGGTGTGAGCCACCACGCCCGGCCAACATTTCATTTTAAATGCAGTTATAAAACCAAATATTATCTATACAGACATTAAATTGGTCAACTGAGGCTTCAGGCCCTAGGCCAACAGAATCTATATACACTTTTGATGTGTTCTATTTACTTATACGATCACCTCAACTCAAGCTTTCACCCCTAAGAAAAAAGAATATGCACTTTCACCAATATGTATCCTCTTTATCTACTCTGTTTTTATTTTGAAGTAAAAAACTTCATTTTTTTTTTAAAGAATTCTCTATGAAAAAAGTGAAAATAGAACAGAGTTGGAGAGCAAGTCAGTGCTATTCAGGGGATGGCAGATCTTCCAGTGAGAAGGGCTCTTCAAACGATTTCATGCAGATGCTATGAAACTATACATCTGTTTATCGTGAAAAAACCGAAACCCCTTTCTTCATAATCTGAATTAAAAATAGAACATGGTATAATTATTCTAGGGAATGAGGGCTGTGGAATCATATTTAGTTTGAAGCACCCATGTTTACCTGGTATGTAACATAGACAAGTTCAAACTAACATTCCGGGCTCTGGTTTCCTTCTGTGAAATGGGGATACTGCCACCTATTTCACAGGGTGTTATGAGGATTACATGACATAATTTAGGTAAAGTGGCATGTGAGGCACACAATAGACAGACAAATCATGAAGACTACCACGGTTATTATTTATCACGTTCTTCAGTGAGAAACAGTTTTAAAAGTATAAATAATAAGGCCAAACCAATGTCAGCTGGGGAAGAAACAAAATAATGGGTCCATTTTCGAGTTCAAATTATTTGTTAACATCAGTTTAACATACTAATTTATAAACAAAGGTTTCTAACTGGTAGTATTTCTTCTCACTATGGATCATAAAAAGTTATTTTCTCAAAATCTTATAATAGGAAGTGATACTTACCTTTGCTGTGTCTGAAACAGAATTCCAGTAACCACCACTGAGTGAGAATTTTCCGCTACCTATTCGTGCCAATATTTCCTCTGGTGTATCATCAGGACCATTTGCAAATGGAGTGTAACTAATTTATAATAAAATTAAAATATTAATGAATAAAATTTATTACTTGGTTGGTAATCTCAAAAGTACTCTAATTCAGTTAATGTAATATTTTATTAAAATCTACCAAAGTGAAAAAAATCAACAAAATGAAGCTCCATAAGGCACCAGGTAAAGTATAGGTTATAAAATATTAATTATATTTAATATACAAATTATTGTATATTTACAATAATTACAAATATACAAAATATTTATATTAATAAATATTTTAAGACCTGACACATTATAGAATAAAACATTAAGAAATAGTGTAGGCCAGGCACGGTGGCTCATGCCTGTAATCCCAGCACTTTGGGAGGCCGAGGTGGGCGGATCACGAGGTCAGGAGTTTGAGACCAGCCTGGCCAACATGATGAAACATTGTCTCAACTAAAAATACAAAAATTAGCCGGGAGTGATAGTGCGTGCCTGTAGTCCCAGCTATTCGGGAGGCTGAGGCAGGAGAATTGCTTGAACCTGGGAGGTGGAGGTTGCAGTGAGCCGAGATCGTGCTACTGCACTCCAGTCTGGGTGATAGAGCAAGACTCCGTCTCAAAAAAAAAAAAAAAAGGTCTATGTTTCTAACATGACAAGAGTACAAAAAAGTATGGAAAAAATCAATTTAGGACCTCGAGACATTAATAAATAGCACATTATAAAAAATCAGTAATGATATAGCCATAAATGTGGAATTGTTACAGAATTGTATATATTAGATAACACGAGAAAACATGGAAAGATATGACAACATCTGAATTAAAAAAAAAAAAAACCTACATAGGCCAGGTACAGTGGCTCATGCCTGTAATCTCAGCACTTTGGGAGGCCAAGACAGGAGGATCACTTGAGCCCAGGAGTTTGAAACCAGCCTGGGCAGCACAGCAAGACCCTGTTTCTACAAATTAAGAAATCAGGCAGGTGTGGTGGTGCACTCCTGTAGTCCTAGCTACTCCTATTCAGGAGGCTGAGGTGAGAGGATTGCTTGAGCCCAGGAGTTTGGGGCTATAGTGAACTATGGCTGTGTCACTGTACTCCAGCCTGGGCAACAGAGTGAGACCCTGTCTCTAAAGAAAAAGCAAACAAACAAACAAAAAACCCCAAACAAAACAAAAACCTAGATAACTTAAGCAAAACATTGATGAACAAATGCTTAGGTGCTTAGAACATATGGTATACACTCACCCGGTAAGCATTGTATAGAGTAGGACACCAAGACTCCATATATCACAAGCAGCATCATAGCCTTGTCTTTTTAAAACCTAGAAAAAGTGCAAAATTAGTATTACTATACCACCATTTTGTATATATATTTGTAAGGCTATGAGTTGAATTATATATTCCAAATCAACACCTATAAGGAAAATTTCAACAGAACATGGTTACCAAATAAGGCAATACGTTAATCCGATTCTAGAACATTCTACTACTAATAATTCATAAATTTAATTTTGGTATTCAAATTAATATTTATTGAGTGCTGTAGGTACACAGGAATATAAAACAAACTGAAGATAACTTTCTTATTTTAATGAATTTATATTTTGTTTGGGGCTACAGAAATATTTACAAAAAACAATGCTTTTAAGAACACATACACACACGCACACAAAGAACACACAGAACCTAGCACAAAAATCACCAACTTTTATCAGGTACGAACTATGAGAAATACAAAAAACCCCTGATTTCCCCCCCAAAAAAAAATCTGATGGGAAATAAACATATAAATAGTTAACGACTCAACCTGATAAATATTATAATAAAATCAAGTCTGGGTAGGGTATGGTGGCTCACGCCTGCAGTCCAGCACTTTGGGAGGCCAAGGTGGGAGGATCACTTGAAGCCAGGAGTTTGAGACCAACCTGGGCAACACAGCAAGACCTCTTTATTATTATTATTATTATTGAGACAGGGTCTCACTCTGTCGCCCAGGCTGGAGTGCAGTGGCGCGATCTTGGCTCACTGCAGCCTCCGCCTCCCGGGTTCAAGCAATTCTCCTGCCTCAGGCTCCCGAGCAGCTGGGATTACAGGCATGTGCCATCACGCTTGGCTTATTTTTATATTTTTAGTAGAGACAGGGTTTCGCCATGTTGCCCAGGCTAATCTCAAACCCCTGAGTTCAAGCAATCTGCCTGCCTTGGCCTCCCAAAGTGCTAGGATTACAGGCGTGAACCATGGCATCTGGCCAAGATCTCATCTTTAAAAAATAAAAATAAAAAATAAGCCAGGCACGGTGGTGTTCTCCTGTAGTCCCAGCTACCTGGAAGGCTGAGGCAGGAGGATTGCTTGAGCTGAGGAGTTCAAGGCTGCAGTGAGCTATGATTGCACCACTGTATTCTGGCCTAGGCAACAGAGGGAGACCCTGTCCCTAAACAAACAAACAAAAACCCCAAATTATGTCTTAAATGTTATAGGTATGAAGATGAGGAAGCAATTTATTCCTGACATGGGGAGAGAAGGAAGGCTAGAGGGTGGCCTGCTTATATTGGACCTATAAGTAAGAGAGCAGAGCAGGCTTAGTGATAGGCCAGAAGTCCAGTGTGTCTAGAACTTCAGGTAGGGAATACCGGAGCAGGTAGGGAATACCAGAGAGACTGAAGGGTTGTTTTTTTTTTTTTTTTTTGAGAGGGGTTCTTGCTTTGTGACCCAGGCTGGAGTGCAGTGGTGTGATCTTGGGTCACTGCAACCTCAAACTCTTGGGGTCAAGTGATCCTCCTACCTCAGCCTCCTGAGTAGCTGAGACTACAGGCACGCCACCATGCCCAGCTAATTTTAAAATTTTTTGTAGAGATGGGGTCTCACTATGTTGCCCAGGCTGGTCTGAAACTCCTGGCGTCAAACAGTCCTCCTGCCTTGGCCTCCCAAAGTGCTCGGATTACAGGCATGAGCCACCATGCCCTGCCTCAAGGGCTTTTATAATATGTTAAGAAATTTAGATTCTTCTGTAGGCAATCAGATGTCACTGAAACATTAAACAGGGAAATGAAAGGCTGGCATTTTATCCTAATTATTTCTTCAGTAAGTCTTCAATTAAATTATTATTAATAATTCGGTATTAAACATAGTGAATGAGTTTTAAAACATACTAATACTGCAAGCAAACTCTCTCACAATTACCTCTGGTGCAACAAAATTTGCAGTGTAACAAGGAGTCATGAGAAGACCATTTTCCGCTCTCAGCTGTTTTGCAAAGCCAAAATCACAAATTCGAATAGATTCCGGATTACCAGATTCATCCACATAAAGAATGTTGCTAGGTTTCAAGTCTCTATGAACCACCTAATTGAAATACAAATTAAAGAGTTATGTTAACAATATATTTCCATTACTGAAAGTTCTTTATTCACAAACTGTCAAGCAATGCACTTAACAAGATGATGAGTGCTGACCTTTAAATTAGCCTAACATTATAAAATACTGATAATGTAAAGCATAACTCTCTAACATAGACCGGGGGCAAGGAGGAGGAGGAAGAAAGAATAGTACTTACCTCCCTCCTCTTTGTCCAACTGAGTAATTGGGTTAAGGAAAATTGCAAACAGCAATAATATATCTACCTCCAGGTTGATCACTCATTTAATATTGAGTGTCTATCATGTACCAGGGTATTATATAAGCTGCTGTAGATACCGTGGTGAACAAGACCCATGAGATCCTGGCCTTTCCATGCTAGGAGCTTACACAGTTCTGGGGGAAGCAGAGAATAGGTTGAGAGATGGGACATAACTAGGGAGGTCACTTTAAATAGGGCAGTCAGGAAGGGTCTCTAGATTAGGTAACATCTGATCCAATAGCTGAAGAACAGAATGAATGAGCCATAAGAACAGTAAGGGAGAGTCATTCTAACTAGAAGGAACAGCACGTACAAGATACATACACAACAAATATATTCTGATAGACTAAATGGAATAGACAGGGCATTGAGGAGTAAAAAGGAAAAAACCAAAACAAATCTGGACTTTATTTTTGGTACTGCCTATTTGATATACAAGGTGTTACACATGCAAGAAACCTCTTCTTTAGAGTTCTGTATTATTTTCCTCTTTTAATGATCTACCTGAGTACAGTAGTCCCCCCTTATCCGTGGCGTATATGTTTCAAGACCCCCAGTGGATTCCTGAAATTGAGGATAATACCGAAGTCTCTCTATATTTTTTCCTAGATATATATACCTATGATATAGTTTAATTTATAAATTAGGCACAGTAAGAGATTAACAATGACTAATAATAAATTAGAACACTTGTAACAATATACTGTAATAAAAGTTATATGAATGTGGTCTCTCAAAATACTGTAATATTTTTGACAATGGTTGACTGTGGTAACTGAAACCACAGAAAGCAAACTTGCAGATTAGTGGGGGACTACTGTACTTTTTTATCATAAGCTTCTCTGACATTCCTTTTTAGACTTAAGTGTGCCTTCTGTCACCAAATTCTGAGTCTGTGTTCCAATCAATCAAATTAGATTTAGTTCCTCACATCCAGGACATCACTTCTCCAGACTATTTTAATAACGAATTACTGATGAGGCATTGGGAAAAGAACACAGAAGACTTTGATGACTGCAAGGTCATAAGTTCCTCAGTGACTACTGAGTTCTACTAATTTCAAGTTACAATACTAGGCAAATCTTGATAAGTTAGAAGTCAGGAAGCTCCAGAATTAACACATTCTACTTGGCTTTCAGGGGCAAAGACAAAACAAAAAGAATGTATTGAAACTGAACTCCTTAAGAAGTAATCTTTTATATATGCATGTATCAAAACATCATGTTGTATACCATGAATATACATAATTTGTCAACTAAAAAATTTTTAAAAAATTGTTTATTTTCCCCTTGCTTTCTGCTCCTCTGCTTCACTCCTCTGCTGTTCTCCTTTCCTCCCTCCCTCCCCTCATTTTCTCCTTTCCTCCCAGACTTCCCTTCTTTTTTTTTTTTTTTTTTTTTTGAGATGGAGTCTCACTCTGTTGCCCAGGCTGGAGTGCAGTGGTGCAATTTCAACTCACTGCAACCTCCGCCTCTCGGGTTCAAGCAATTCTCCTGCCTCAGCCTTCTGAGTAGCTGGGATTACAGGCATGAGCCATGACGCCCGGCTAATTTTTGTACTTTTAACAGAGACAGGGTTTCGCCATGTTGGCCAGGCTGGTCTCAAACTCCTGACCTCAGGTGATCCACCCACCTTGGCCTCCCAAAGTGCTGGGATTACAGGCGTGAGTCACTGCACCCGGCCGCCTTGTTTTAAAAATACGATTTTCTCGAACTCCTGACCTCAAGTGATCTGCCTGCCTCGGCCTCCCAAAATGCTGGGATTACAGGCATAAGCTACCGTGCCCAGCCTAGAAATACAATTTTCTTTTGCTGTTTACTAAAAATCTGCATACAAGAAGAACGAAGAGCATATCCACCAGCCGAAGCATGTGACTCCTTGGCCTCATTGTTTTAAGGATTTCCTTTTATACATGAATACAAACCAGGATTCCTTGGTTCTGCTTCTAACCTGAAGTGGGCCTGGTTTTCATGAGTACAGAGTGACCTAGCAGAAACAATGCTATGTTTTCCAGGTCGGAAGAGATCACTTACTTTTTCTTGGAAGCACAAGAGTTTAACATAAACAAGCTAGGATATCAAAGGTACACTTCAATCTCAATAATAAAAGTTTATATAGAGGAAGGTCAGTAGGATAATTCAGCTAATAGCAGTTATTTTCCATTTCAGGCATAAAGTAATTTCTATCTAATTCTAGCTCAAACATAAAGGAAAAAAGTGTGTGTATGTACATATAGAGTGGTAAAAAGACTTACCCCTTGTGCGTGAAGATATTCAACGGTTTTAGTTATAGTGAACAGGACAGCACTGGCCTCTCGTTCAGAGAAAAATTTTTGTCTAAGAATTTTATCCAGCAATTCACCTCCTTTCATAAGTTCTGTTACTACATACACATACTTTCCATCATCATATACCTATAAATTTCAACATCAAAATGTAAATATTATTTGAAACTATATGTGCCCAAAACGAAGTTTAAAATATAAAGGAAAAATTAAACTCACTTCATATTCAAGACAAATTTTATTTATTTATTTATTTTGAGACAGACTCTGTCGCCCAGGAGTGCACTGGCACAATCTTGGCTCACTGCAATATCCACTTCCTGGGCTCCAGCGATCCTCCCACTTCAGCCTCTCAAGTAGCTGGGACTATAGGCGCATGCCACCACACCTGGCTAATTTTTGCATTTTTTGTAGAGACGAGCTTTTGCTGTGTCTCCATGAGCAGGGATAATCTGAGGAAATTTGAGTTTTGACAACCCCCAGATAAGGCCTTTGGGCCTATTGAGCATCATTAGCAAGAGAAGACTTAACACTACCTGGGGAGTTCACACTGTTTGCCAACACTTTGTTATAATAAAAGTCAAGAGAGACATAGGCAACAGGGTTATCATGACAGTCCAGGGAAAGATACTTTACTTGTCCTGGGGGTGGCAATGGGCAGGGCAGGCTTCCTGGAAGAAGCAGTGCCTTAGCAAAATCTTATATGTGTGGTAGTTAGCCAGGTAAAGAAAATAGATGGTGTTGGCAACTGAGGGAACTATAAATTCAGACATAACAGCATGGAAAATGAGGCATGCGCAAGAAATTTACATACTAGAACACAGAGCATCAGGTGTATGAGAAAGGGTGTGTGAGAAGTCTGAAAACTACAGAGGAAGGCAGGGTCTTAAGCGGCTGGGGACTTTAGACTGTAGGCAGGGAAGTTAAATGGGTAGTTATGAGTGTTAGATCTCTTTTCTAGTAATGTGGAAGATACTTTGGGGTAGTCTGGAGAGTGAGACTAGTCAATATTGAATATGAACTAATAGTAATATTAACACTGAACATTTAGGTAAGTGTTCAAGTAAGTGCAGATATTAAAAGCAATAATATCGTAAGTACTTTTCTTCTTAAAGCAAAAGTAGAAAAAAATAACTGTACAAACATATCTTTATTGATAAATGAAATTATGCCATATACACATATAAATTGTTTTCAAATCTACTTTTTAAACTTACCATGTTGAATTTTGTTTTGTTTTGTTTTTGTTTTTGAGACAGGGTCTTGCTCTGCTGCGCTGGCTGGAGTGCAGTGGTGCGATAACTGCTCACTGAGGTCTTGACCTGCCGGGCTGAAGCAATCCTCCCACCTCAGCCTCCAGAGTAGCTGCGACTATAGGCATGAGCCACCATGTCAGGCTAATTTTTAAATATTCTTTAGAGACAGGGTCTCCCTATGTTGCCCAGGCTGGTCTTGAACTCCTGGGCTCAAGCAATCCTCCTGCCTCAGCCTCCCAAAGTACTGGGATTACAGGTGTGAGCCACTGTGCTCGGCCTGGCTAATTAAAAAAAAATTTTTTTTTGTAGAGATGGAGATCTCACTGTGTTGACCTGGCTGGTCTTGAACTCCTGGCCTCAAGTGATCCTCCTGCCTTGGCCTCCCAAACTGCTGGGATTACAGGCGTGGGCCACTGTGCCCAGCCTATGATGAGTTCTTTGTCTACCACATGATTTTTGAAAATACACTACTTTCAATGTGAGTTAGACAACTGATTCAAATGATCCATATTAAAGAATCTACTTACATCCTTTAGAGTGATAATGTTTGGATGCTGTCCATAACGAAGAAGAATTTCAATTTCTTCTGTTGGGTCTCTCTTGCTTTTATCAATAATCTAAAAGGCAAATGTTTATCACAAAACCTCATCAACTATACAGTTATAAACATTAATTGTTTATAGCTACAGACCTTGGGTATTACCTCATGTAAATAGTGTATAAATAAGCCATTTATCAGTCAGTTTTATTCAACTACCTGGCCAGATTGTTTAATCAGAAAGCCAGTCTTGATATAGATGGCAAGGCTGTAAATTCTAACTCATGAGTCGCATTCCCACCATGCCTCTCCAATCTAAGTTTGTAAGTTTGTAGTAAGTTTAGGACTTAACCAAAAACTCAAAAAGCCTCGAGAAAAGGTACCAAGAACACAGTTAACATATCTTTTCTTCTATCCTTGAGGCCTTAAACATTTGGGAACTCAGTCAACTTCTAACCCCCCATCAATACAGATAATTAAGAGCTAGATATAACACCACCACTAGCATCTGCTTATTGAATTAAGTTTACTTCCTTTAATAAAATGCTTCAATTGAATATCCTGTTAGCTGTAAGCTACTTATAAAAGCTAATTATCTGCTAAGTAGAACAATCTTGTTTTTGAAGTTAGGCAGAAAGCTACATAGAAAATCATACCTAGCATTTTATTTGGTTAGAATTTGGTTTAATTATTATAATAAAGCCCTTTAAAATAGTAATGTAGCTTTCTAACCCTTTTATATTGGCTGCTCCTTAAAAATATTTTTCTTAATGTTTTAATCTGCTCAACTAATATTATATAAAAAAGACAAATTTTGCTTTCTATTCATTCAAAGGGTAGTCTGAAACAAATTAGGTGGCCTTTGTATGTTCAATTTTAAACAGCTTAGTAATTAAGTATGCACTAAATACCCAGACACTCCAGCAACCTAGGAAAGAGGTTACAACTCTCAAGCATGGGTCCAGTCTTCTATCTGAAATGGATTTATAGTTGACCCTTGAACAACACAGGTTTGAACTATGAGGGACCAATTACACGTGGATTTTCTTCTGCTTCTGCCACCCCTGAGACACCAAGACCAACTCCTTCTCTTCTTCCTCCCTCCTCAGCCTACTTAAGGTGAAAATGATGAGGAAAAAGACCTTTATTATGATCCACTTCCATTTAATGAACAGTAAATGTATTTTCTCTTCCTTATATATATTTTTTCTTTTTTTGAGACAGGGTCTTGCTCTGTTGCCCAGGGTGGAGTGTAGTGGCGCAATCACGGCTCACTGCAACCTCAAACCCCTGGGCCCAAGTGATCCTCCCACCTCTACCTCCTGAGTAGCTGGGACCACAGGCACATACCACTACACTCAGAAAATTTTAAAAATTATTTGTAGAGATGAGGTCTGGCTATGTTGCCAAGGCTAGAGTACAGTGGCACATAGCTCACTGCAGCCTGAACCTCCTGAGCTCAAGCAATCCTTCCGTCTCAGCCTCCTGAGTAGCTGGGACTACAGGCACATGTAGCCACGCCTGGCTAATTTTTAAACAATTTTTCTGTAGAGATAGGGTCTTGCTCTGTTGCCCAGGCTTGTCTCAAACTCCTGGCCTCAAGCAATCCTCCCACCTCGGCCTCCCAAAGTGCTAGGATTACAAACGTGAGACACTATGTCTGGCATGATTTTCTTAATAACACTTTCTTTTCTCTAGCTTACTTTATTGTAAGAATACAGTATATAATACATATAACATACAAAATAATCGACTATATATGCTATCAGTGAGGCTTCTGGTCAACAGTAGGCTATGAGCAGTTAAGTTTTGGAGAGTCAAGTTATACGTGGATTTTCAACTGCTTGGGGATCAGCACTCCCAAGTCCTGTGTTATTCAAGGGTAGACTGTACTTGTATAACAGTTCTGTATTTGGAGAACAGGGAAGGTAAACATACAGGTGCCCACTGTAATCAACTGCAAATGATAGTGTGGAATTAGGCAAATGGGTGATTAAGAGGAGAGGTATATGGAATAGACATGCTAATTTAAGAGATGACCTGGGACTAGTCTTTTGAAAACCAGAACACACTGGGAGGGGTCGTTTTTGGCATGGATCTGCTAATCTGAGCCCAGTTTGCATTAGATCTATACTTGTGCTTGTGGACCTCAAATATGTGGTAATTTCAGTAGAATCCAGTTGTGTTGGGATTGGTTTTATGAATCATTTAAGTTACAAAAATCCACAAATAGCTTGGAGATATTTTTGAGGTTTTAGGCATAGTCCTCAAGGTTTCTGTAATTCAAAGGGGCCTCAGGACATTTCTGCTTTTTATGATGTATTTATGGAGGCAAGACACATCCTTAAACTGCCTACCAAATACATTATTAGTCTTTTCTCCTTTCATGTAAGCAATTTGAAAACTTCTATGTATCTTAGATTTCAGTAAGAGCAATGAATAGGAAAATAGAAAATTAAATGTATTTCTTTTAAGAATTTCCTTCTTTAAAATTAGCTTTATTGTCCTTCCAATGAAGCAAATTAAATGTATTTTTATGGTTCATCCTTCTATCTGACAGAAAGCCCTATAGACACTGACGACTTTAAAGCAGTTACATCTAAGTTTAGAAGAGTGATAACAACTAATGTCACTATCTCTCTAAACATGAGCTATGTATATTTATAAACCAGTCCTAAGGTTCAAACAAGTTGAAAGCTTTAGACATTGTTTGAATTGCTTGAGATTGGAGAGCAGAGGTTACTATTCCAAGAAGTGAAAAGAGACTTGAACATAGTGCTTGTTCACTTACGACTAAAGGTTTGAAATTCAAACTTTATCGTAGAGCTAGGTTCCTTGGTTTTTGGCTTAGAAAATTCTGTCTTAGGATACTTGATGAAATTAAAACAGCCAATGATAACGAATTTTATGATAGTGGTTTTTATTCATTAGTTCCCAGATCCTTTTAGATGCAAAGAAAGGTATGAACTTTTTGCCAGAGAAGATGTAAACATACAAAATTTTGCACACAATTTTGAGGAATTTGCTGACACCCTGAGCATAAAATGGGGACTTCTCAGAGTAAAAAGATACTTTAAAAATCACTTGAGGTAAAAAAAGAAAAAAAATCACTTGAGGTGTAAACTGCTACTGCTCTGGGAAAACTAGATATATAACCACCTTACCTTTAGCTCACAGGGTTCTAGATTAAGATCTCTGAAGATCACTAGCCAGATATTTAACTTTTTTATAACAAAAGGCACTTTTAACAACAAGGGGAGTGTAATTTTTAACTGGTACTGACATGCATGAACAAGAACTGTATGAATTGCATTTTAAATAAAAAAAATTTACCTTCACTGCAAACTCCATGTTTGTAGCTTTATGTATACATCTCTTGCAAACAGAGTAGGAGCCAACTCCAATATCTTCTTTTACTTCATATCCATCAGTAAACTGAATACTGTTCCTGTGTAACTGCTACAAAAAATTATAAATTGGTGAAGAGTCCCATAATGCCTTTAGTGCATTTTATAATAGGGAAGTATGTTACTCAGCATGCATTGTTGATGCCCTACATATAAATGAATAAGAATAAAAATACATCTTTATAGTACTTATTATTCTACAAACAAGTGATTTTGAAAGTGTTTACAATGAAGTGTACAGCAAGAAATATGACTTAAAAAAGCTTATGTTACAAACAAAAATTGAATTTGCACAACAGAAAAAGCAGAGCTACTTGATATGGGGCCTACATCTTTGTCTGTGATTCAGCCTTATTCCAGTCCCCAGTCGGCTATAGGTTTTCAAGTACCTTTGCAAATGAGAAGTTTGAAACCTATGGTATAGAAGGAAAGGATTTAGGAGGATTCAGAATTAGAATATCTGAATTCTTGTCTCAGGTACACCACTTACAGGCTATGTAACTTTGAGCCTGTATTTTCTCAGAGGGTAATGGTGAAGATTAAATAAAAATAATGTATTTGCAAGCAATACCTGTTATCGCCATTTTGGACTTTCAGTAGCCACTCCCTCCTTTCTTCACCCTGAAGTCATAGCCTTACACAACTTATGCTAAAGAAGCTCGTCATGGGTTAGGGACTAATAACACACAGTAGATGATGAACAGCAACTTACTGATTCCATAAACAGGCTGAGGAAAGTTGTGCTGCCCTTGGCTATACTGATATGAGACATCCATGCCTATGAGCTTTGTATATGTTAAAACTTGAATTTTGTAGGATATACAAGTTTGTGGTTTCTATGTTAGGTACAGAATTTGTAATTTAAAAACTTGCCATACATTCATGTGCTTGCATAGTAAATGGCACAGACTATTTCAACATGAGCTCTGCTTAAAAACCAGTGTTTTAATTGTTTTTCTACAAAATGGAAAACAGGATAACTGACTCATGAAAAAACTTTAGAGCAAAAGCAACTTAATCATCAAGCAAATCCAAGTACAAATGATATCCTAAAAAGAATCCAATGCTTCAAAAGATATATCGAGTTCCCTTTGATTAGAAAGATGACTTAAGATTTGAGTTCATTTTTATTTCTTGTATCTTTTCTAAGGCAAAGGTTGACAAACTATGGCCAGTGAGCCAAATCTGATTCATTGCCTGTGTGTGTAAATAAAGTTTTATTGGTGCACAGCCATGCCCACTTGTTTATGTATTGTCTGTGGTTGTTTTGTGCTACATAGCAGAGTTGAGTAGTTGTGACACAGCCCATATAGCCCACAAAGCCTCAAGTATTATCTGACCCTTCACAGAGAAAGTCTGCCGACTCCTGTTCTAAGGCATCAAAGAACCAGAAGACCTCAATTCATCATAGCTGACCTGAAGGAGGCAGAGGGTGAAACAAACTCGGCATGAAAAACATTTTGAGGCACAGGAGAGGATATAGACAACATCGTCATGTTTATCTCAACTCTTTTAAAATTCTACTTTCTTTTTTTTTTTTTTTTTTCTGAGACAGAGTCTAGCTCTGTCGCCCAGGCTGGAGTACAGTGGCGGATCTCGGCTCACTGCAAACTCTGCCTCCCGGGTTCAAGTGATTCTCTTGCCTCGGCCTCCTAAGTAGCTGGGATTACAGGCATGCGCCACCACGCCCAGCTAATTTTTGTATTTTTAGTAGAGACGGGGTTTCACTGTGTTGGACAGGCTGGTCTCGAACTCCTGACCTTGTGATCTGCCCGCCTCGGCCTCCCAAAGTGCTGGGATTACAAGCATGAGCCACCGCACCTGGCCTAAAACTCTACTTTCAAGTCACATAGGTATCTAGGATTTTGGTTCTTGCAACCTTTTCGATGACATATGAAAAAAATTCCTAAGAGTAAAGTTAATGATATAAAATGTATTTTATTTTATTTTTTGAGACAGAGTTTCAACTCTGTCACCCAGGCTGGAGTGCAGTGGTGCGATCTCCGCTCACTGCAACCTCTGCCTCAGAATCAAGTGATTCTTGTGCCTCAGCCTCCTGAGTACCTGGAATTACAGGCACGTGCCACTATGCCCAACTCATTTTTGTATTTTTAGTAGAGATAGGGGTTTCACCATGTTGGCCAGGCTGGTCTTGAACTTCTGACCTCAAGTGATCCAACTGCCTTGGCCTCCCAAAGTGCTGGGATTACGGGTGTGAGCCACTATGCCCAGTCTAAAATGTATTTTAAATTGCTCACTTGAAGTCAGTAGAAAAAGATCTATTCACAGAATGAACTATATCTTACAACATTCCAAATCTAAAATTATTTAGACATCCACTCACCTGAACAATTGAATGTACACCAACTGTCTGCATAGCTTGGCTTTCATCATCTGAGGTAATAGCAACAAAACTAAACCCCCGAAAAAGCTGATGTGCATTAGCACTAGGTGGAATGCCAGGTGAATCTGAAAAGAGTAAGAAGTGACAAAGAAGATTCATTTGAAAGGAAATTAAGGGAAAAACTGTTGACACTATGACCTTTTTCACTTATTCTGGAATTCTATTTCTCAGGTACACAGTATATACCTCTTGCTTTCCAGGATACCTGTGAGGCACTGTATCAGATCTGTTCTGATTGTGTATTGCCATTACAACACCAACATCCTAGTCCCTCGGAGCCTAGAAAATAGCTAATTCATTTGAAGACTATAATACATCGATGAATTATAGGGTTAATGGTATTCAAAATTAATGCTGTCCCATGGAATTTCCTGAAATGATGGAAATTTTCTTTAACTTTACAGTCTGATAGCCACTAGCTACATGCAGCTTTTCGACATTTGAAACGTGCCTAGCGTGACTGAGAAACTACACTTTAAATTTTAATTAATTTAAATTTAATTAGCCACATGTGGCTACTGGCTACCATATTAGAAACTGCAGCCCTCAATAATAACCTAGTTGGGGTGGAACAGGGGAGATACAAGGTTGATCTACAGCAAATTTAGGAGATGTGAAGATAGCTTAGAGAGTTATCCAGGAAAAGATTTTCTTTTTTTCTTTTTGAGACAGAGTGTCGCTCTGTCACCCAGGCTGGAGTGCAGTGGTGCAATTTTGATGCACTGCAACCTCCACCTCCCAGGTTCAAGCGATTCTCGTGCCTCAGCCACCCAAGTAGCTGGGATTACAGGCACATGCCACCAAACCTGGCTAATTTTGGTATTTTTAGTAGAGACAGCGTTTCACTATGTTGGCCAAGCTGGTCTCCAACTCCTGGCCTCAAGCGATCTGCTCGCCTCAGCCTCCCAAAGTGCTGGGATTACAAGTGTGAGCCACCGCGCCCAGAGTCTGGAAAAGATTTTCTGATGAAACAAGAAAAAAACATATTTGTTGTCTTATATTTGGATTTTCACATTTTCTCCTTACCTTTGGGAGTTTTTGCAGTAAACTCAGGATCAAAATAGAATGTATCTTCAGGCCTGCCCGTTGCAGGTTTAAATGGCGGATGAATTTCTCTTCTATACAGTTTCTGGAGGGGAAAAAAAAAAGAGACTTAGACATATTTTAATTATAAAGAAATATTTCAAGCAAGTTTTCATTCTATACTTACATTCCAGTCTATCGTTGAGAAAAATGAATGTCTTTTAATTTCTTCAACTCCATCTGGTCCTGCACCTATCAAAAATGGATTCACTGATAATTTTATTTCAAGGAGAAATATACATATTGCTCAGCCTTTGTTTTCAATACTTGTCTAATTAATTAATTAATTAATTAATTAATTTTGAGACAAGGGCTTGCTCTGTCACCCAGGCTGGAGCGCAGTGGTGTGATCTCAGTTCACTGCAGCCTCAACCTCTCAGGCTCAAGTGATCCTCCTACCTCAACTTCCTGAGTAGCTGGGACTACAGGCACGCACCACCATGCCTGGCTAATTTTTGTATTTTTTGTAAAGATGAGGTTTTGCCATTTTTCCCAGGCTGGTCTTGAACTCCTGGACTCAAGTAATTCTCCCGCCTTGGTCTCCCAAAGTGCTGGGATTACAGGCGTGAGCCACCAGGCCTAGCCTTGTCTAAATAGTTAATAATTCCACCACAAAACAAATATCTACTCCCCGCTAAAAACAAACACCAACAAACATACAACATAAACAAATTAGTTAAAATTTTTACCTAATCTGTTTGCAGGATTTCGCTTGAAAAGCATTCGTAAAAGACTCTGCGCTTCAGGACTCAAAAACTGTGGCATTCCAAGTTTGGCTCTAAATAATAAATCCACATAATATTTTATTTTTTGGAGGCATCTGTATTTTTATTTTTAAAAATTCTTAAATTAAACTTTTTGAGATACTTGTAGATTCACACTCAGTTGTAAGAAATAATACAGAGAGATCCCCTGTGCCCTTTACCCAGTTTCCCCCAATGGTAACATCTTACAAAACTACAGTACAATATCACATCCAGGATATTGACATGGAGACAATCCAATGATCTCATTCACATGGCACTGGTTTTATTTGCACTTATTTGTGTGTGTGTTTAGTTCTATGCCATTTTATTACATGTATGGCTTCTGTATGAATATGTCACAGTTTATTTATCCATTATCTGTTGAAGGACATTTGGGTTGTGCCCAGTTTGGGGCTAATATGAATAAAGCTACAGTGAACATTTATGTACAGGTTTTCATGTGAACACATAACTGAATTTTAGTTCATAATCTAATAAGCTTTTTCATTTTTCAAAATTTTGCAAAGAGCACTGTGAAAGTAAGATCATTTGAATCCTAGTTCTGGCTCTGTTACTAAGAACTTTGTGACAGTGGGAAAGCCAATTATTCTGGGCCTGTTATCATTTCTTCATAAGCAAAGGGATTGGTCTCTAGACCAATAGCTCCCAAAGTATAGCCTCGGAACTCCTCCTCAAAGGGAATTTAAGAAACCTAACATTTAAAGCTGCTAAGAGAACATGTGTTTCATATGCCACTTTTTCCTTTCTATTCCCTTTAACAGCCCCTGAAGGGAAGGGGAACTGTGGGAAAGAGGATTGTGAAATATTGAAGATACACAGTCTAAAAACTGCTGGCCTAGATGAACTTGAAGGTCTGTTTCAGCTCTAATTTTAATTCTTTTTCCAAACCTACAAATTAAAGAAACCAATGATCCTGTAAGTATGACAATAATAATAGAGCTGGGGAAAATTCCTATTTCAGAAACAGATCCATTTATTATTCAGTGGGTTGTTATTGAGCTATTACATGCCAGACACTGTTTAGTGCTGAGGATACAGAGATAAAGAGAGCCCATGAAACTCATGGTCCATGGTGAAGATGGATACAGATAATGCTAGTACATTAAGAGACAAATGCAGAAGAACATATGCAAAGAGTGACAAGGGAACAGTAGGGGATATTTAATTTAACATGGGAGATTATGAAAGGTCTTCAATGCAATCTAAAGGCTAACAATTTATTCATTTGGCTAGTGTTTCCCCAAATTTTACTGAATAACATTAATCCCTCTAGATAGTTAGCAACAATAAAAAAATTCATGACCCAATGAGCTTGTAGAATGCTATTTATTATATCCCCCTATTAGACACACAGAATTAAAATACACTGCATATAAAAAGGCTGAGAAATCTAGAGCAAACAAATCAGTTTTTTTTTTTTTTTTTTTTAAGACAGAGTATCCAGGCTGGACTGCAGTGGCACAATCTCGGCTCACTGCAATCTCTGCCTTCTGGGTTCAAGGGATTCTCGTGTCTCAGCCTCCCAAGTAGTTGGGATTACAGGTGTGTGCTACCACACCTGGCTTTTTTTTTTTTTTTTTTTTTTTTTGTAGAGATGGAGTTTTGCCATGTTGACTAGGCTGGTTTTGAACTCCTAGCCTCAAGTGATCCTCCCACTTCAGCCTCTCAAAGTGCTGGGATTATGGGTGAAATCAGTATTTTCTAAGTATTTATTTCCAGCACCTCTTTTTCAAAGAATACCTATTAATATCTTGTAGAATTAATATTCTCTTGGACAAATCTGGGGAAACACTATTGTATTAGGTAACAAGGATGCAGCAGAGGTCCTGAAACTGGACTAACATGACTAGACTTATTTTCAAGAAGGTAACTCCAAGGGTAATAGAGAACAATTTGGAGTGGGAAGAGGTCATAAGTGGTAGGCAATCAACTTAGGAATGTGGTCAGATAGTATGGGTAAGAGGTCACTGTTTTCTGAATACTTTAAGCAGTTTAATTCAGAGGAAAGGCTGGAACAGTGAAATAATTCTGAGATCGAATTTGGAGAATACCTAATTATGCAAAAGAGAGAAGGAATAAAAAATGATTTCCTGGTTTCTGGCTTGGAAGAGGGTGCATGAAAATGCTGATAACTGGGAGTATAAGAAAAGAACAGCAAATAAAGATACATTTAGTTCAAAGATGTGAAGTCATGCATGTAATATGTTTTGGGAGGGCCAGGCAGGTGAGTAAATAGAAACACAGGTCTAATGCCTGGTAAATTCATGTAAGAAAGAGTGATTTGAGAGTAATTAAAATGTGGAGGGTAGTTATAGGAAAGACTGAAGTCAGTCAGGAAAGAGTGCAGAGGGGGAAGAAAAGCATATCATAGACGGATCCTGGGGGATAAGACCATTTAAAAGGTAGTCAGAAAAAGAACAATTAGGGCATTAAAAATAATGACTGCAATTGGCTGAATCACACTGATTATTAAATCCCATGAGTTTATTATGTAAAGTAAGAAAAAGCAAAGTCAAAATACAAAAACTCGACTCACTGGATACTACCCCCACTAGGAAGTAACTAGGGCTCTGACATTAGAAACAATTTAAGAAAAGAATTAAGTATTTATTCTCTTTTTCTTGGATGAGCGTTATTTCAAGTAATTAAATCATCATAGTTGATGAGGGAAAGTTTGTTGAGAAAATACCAGCTAATAAATGAGGAAGGAATAATAATAATAATAGAAAATCATGGCTGGTGCATAGTGGCTCATGCCTGTAATCCCAACACTTTGGGAGGCGGAGGTGGGAGGATCACTTGAGCCCAGGAGTTTGAGACCTGCCTGGCAACATAGCAAGATACCATCTGTACAAAAGATTAAAGAACTTGGCTGGGCATGGTGGTGCACCTGTAGTCCTAGCTACTCCAGATGCTGAGGCAGGAGGATCGTTTGAGCCCAGGAGTTTGATGTTGCAGTGAGCTGTAATCATGCCACTGCATTCGAGTCTGGGCAACAGAGCAAGACCTCATCTCCAAAATTTAAACTTTTTTTTTTTTTTTTAAAAGAAAAGCAATTCATCACTTTTGAATTCCTTATAAAATAACTGTTTCAAGTAATGATTATTAATGGATAGAACCATTAGTTAAAAGCATGCCAGGGAACTTTACAACGGAGGAATCAGCTGCAACCACTGGAGCCCATCACTTAAAGTGGGGGCAACCAGGTATTGTAAGCCTCCTGATGTAATAGGGACCACACGGTATTAGCTGTGAAATAATCTTGCTAAAACAGTTTAACCAAAAACAGAATAGAGGATCAAGCTAATAACACTAAGGGAATAAAAAAAAATTTCCATACTCCTAGGAAAAGACTAATTGTTATGTAACCATGGTAACAAGAGAACCACCAGAACTGGTTTTAAATCCTTTCAGTTGGTTTAAAATCCATTGAATTGATCAATGACAACTTGCCTGGTGAACACCTGCAAAGATGAGTAACTGCTCTTTGTCTCTGAAAATTAGCCAAACAGGAATGGACTCACTCCAATAAACACACCTGAATGCCCACTGATCAACAACAGTCCCACCCAAATAATCACATTCTTACAGATAATGTCAACCCACTTATAGACATGAAACTCTGCCACTTCTTGAGCTCCACCCTTCCTCAAAACCCTATATAAGATTAGTGGTCTACTATATTTGGGGAGACTCTAGCCTTACCATAGCAAAGAATAAAATAAACTTTATGCTTTTTGTTTCAGATATTGAGAGGGGGTCTCATTCTTTGACAAGATAAATCCAGAAAGCAGAGTTCTATAAAACAACTGACTAGGTTTCTATGAATAAACAGCAGGGGAAAAACAGGGATAGATAACAGAAGTTTAAGAAGTACAACCAAATGGAATGTGCAGACTTGATTTGGATCCAACTGTAAAGACACAGTTTTGAAGAAAATCTGAAAAACTTAGTTAAGGACTGATGATACCTAAGCATTATTGCTAGTTTTATGTGGATGTGTAAGAAAACACCCATATTTTTAGCAAGGCAAACTGAATTAAGTAGATATGTCTGGAATGCTTATAATACTTCAGTAAAGAAAAGAAAAAAAGAATAGATAAAGCAAAATGGCCAAATCTTGATAAATGTCGAATCTGGGTAACAGGTATATGTGTTCACTGAATTATTCTATTTTTGATAGTTCATATTTGAAAATTTTTATAATTAAAAAAGGAAAAACAGGAAGAGAAGAAATCATGTAAAAGAGACCAAAAGGGGAACGGTTAGAGAGGTGGAAGAAGTAGATCAAAGTAGGAAAAACTATGGAGGGAGGGAGTGGCCACCAGTGTCAAATACTCAGAGATGCCTTTCTTGAGTGTCCCATCTAATATGGCTCCTGCTTTCTGCTCCTTCCCTCACACAGTAAGGAGTCACTATTATGAGTACAGAATTCCGATTTATTATCCTTATATCTCCTATTACTATCTGAAATTGTTTAGATATTAATTCCTTGTCTCCCCCACTAAAATATAAGCTCTGAAGACCACCAAAGACCTTTTCAGTCTTGTTAATACTACATCTCAAGTATGAGTAGCAAGAACTGAAACATCTGTTAAATGAATTGTGTGAATGAATGGTAGAGTCATCCTTTTGACAACCTGCCACTGGTTTTAGCAACCAGAAGATCACTGATAGCCACAGAGAGAGCAGTTTCAGTAGAGTGGTGGGGATGAATGACAAATAGGCTGTGGAATAAAAGAAGCCAAAAAAGTAGTAACAGAAAGCATAGACTACTTTTTAAAGAGGCTTTGTGTTGAAAGGATGCAGGAAGATGGTACAGTAACTTGAAAGGAAGGCCAAGTCAAAGAAGGATTTAGTTTCTTCAACACGAGAGTGTTTGTTCGCTGAAAGGGAGGGATCAAAGTAGATGAAGTGATAAAGGTTCAGTGATGAAAGTTCAGTGAACATTCATTTATGTAGCACATCTTTTTAGACCTTTTATATTGTGTAGAATAATATAAAATGCCCCAAAAAACCCCGAACAAAAACACCCAAAGTACACAGCTCAATTATTTACCACAAACTGAATAGTTATCTGGCCAAGACACATAACATTGCCAGAACCCCTCATCCAGTGTAACCACTTCCCTTATTTTGCCTCAGGCTTTTAACCATCTAAATATGAACCCTAAAAACTATGCTTTAGTTTTGCCTGCTTTGTAAACTTTACAAATAGAATCATATAGTACTTTTTCTTTTGTGTCTGTACTTCCTTAGCTCCACATTCTTGTGAGATTTATCTAAGTTGTTGCATGTAACTGTGGTTTGTTCATTTTCTTTGTTGTATGGCATACTACACCCATGCGCCAAGGCTTCAGCCTGTTTTTGAATGGCTCTCAAGAATTGTTTTATATTTTTACAGGGTTGGAAAAAAAATACAAAGAATATGTGACAGAGACTGTGTGTGGCCCACAGAGCGTAAATACAACAACTTCTATTGTATTCGACTGTACGAATATACCATCATTTATTAATTGATTCTTCTGTTAATAATCAGGTTTCCACTTTTTGGCTATTACAAATAATGTTGCTATGAACGGCTTTGTACTTGTTTTTTGATGTGTGAGTAACTAGATTCTTTTAACATGGGTGCATGTCTAGGAGTGGGAATTACTGGATGAGGGTATACATATATTTGTCTTTAGAAGATAAGGACAAAAACTGCTTTCCAAAGTGGTTATATGAGTATTGATATTCCTTCCAGCTATGTATAAAAGTTGCCACTGCTTCACATCCCACCATTTTGTACTGTCAGTCTTTTTATTTTTATTTATTAAAATTTTTGTATAGGGCAGCAGTCTGGGCCAAAAATGGTTCAGAATGCTCCTGTCAATCTTTTTAATTTTAGCCATTCTGGTGAGTATGCAGTGATATTTCCTTGTGATTTTAATTTGCATTTTCTGATTAACGAGGTTGAGTATCTTTTCATAAGTTTTTTGGCCATTGAATATCCTCTTCTGTCAGATCCCTAAGTCTCTTGCCCATGTTTTTATTGGGTTGGCTTTTTCTTATTGATTGGGGTTCTAGATAGATTGGTAATGATTTTTATGTATGGTGGAAGGTAGGAATTTTAAAAAAAATTTTTAATTCTTTTAAAGCAAATTTTTTTTGAGACACGATCTTGCTCTATTACCCAGGCTGGAGTGCAGTGGCATGATCATGGCTCACTGCATCCTTGACCTCCTGGGCTCAAGCGATTCTCCCACCTCAGCCTCCCAAGTAGCTAGGACTACAGGTGTGCACTACCACACCTGGATAATTTTTATATTCTTTAACTCATGGCCTCAAGTGATCCTCCCACCTCAGCCTCCCAAAGTGTTTGGATTACAGGTGTGAGCCACCACTCCCTGCCTATTTTTTATACGAATATTTAACTTTTCCAGCATGATTTATTAAGAAAAGGCTATTCTTTCCCTACTGCTCTGAAATTCCCAATGGTCGCAAATTAAGTGTCCACATATATAGATCTGTTTCTGGGTTCTTTATTCTTTTGCATAGATCTACTTTCCACACTTGTTTCAATGCTGTATTATCTTAGTTACTGTTATAATAAGACTTAATACCTGGTAAAGCAAGTCTTCCTATCTTGGTCTTCGAGAGTATTTTAGCTACTCTTTGTCCTTTGTATTATCATATTAGAATCAGTTTATCAAGATTCACATTAAAAAGTTGTTAGGATTTTAATTTTATTTGCATTGAAACTATAGTTTTGTCATCCATTATAGTAGCCACTAGCTACATATGGCTACTGAGCACCTGAAATGTGCCAATCCACATTGTAAGTGTAAAATACACATTGAATTTCAAATGAGTATGAAAAAAATTAGTTTACAACAAATACCTCAATCAATTTTTAACATTGGTTACATGCTGAAATAACATCTTGGGTACACTGGGTTAAATAAAATATTACAATTAACTTTCCTTTTACTTTTTTATTTTTTTTATTTTTTGAGATGAATTTCATTCATCACCCAGGCTGGAGTGCAGCGGCATGATCTTAGCTCACTGCAACCTCCGCCTCCCGGGTTCAAGTGATTCTCCTGCCTCAGCTTCCCAAGTAGCTGGGATTACAGGTGTGTGCCACCACGCCCAGCTAATTTTTGTATTTTTAGTAGAGACAGGGTTTTGCCATGTTGGCCAGGCTGGTCTCGAACTCCTGACCTCAGGTGATCCACCCGCTTTGGCCTCCCAAAGTGCTGGGATTACCTGCCTCTTTTTACTTTTTTAAATGTAGGTACTAGAAAACTTAAAATTACGTATGTGGTTCGCATTACTTTTCTTTTTTTTTTTTTTTTTTTGAGACAGGGTCTCGCTCTTCACTCTGTTGCTCAGGTTGGAGTGTAGTGGTGTGATCAGGGCTCACTGCAGTCTTGACCTCCCAGGCTCAAGTGATCCTCTCACCTCAGCCTCCCAAGTGGCTGGGACTACTGGCACGTGCCACCACATCTGGCTAATTTTTTTATCTTTTATTTTTGTAGAGATGGGGTTTTGCCATGTTGCCCAAGCTGGTCTCAAACTCCTGGGCTCAAGCAATCTGCCCACTTCGGCCTCCCAAAGTGGTGGGATTATAGGCATGAGCCACCATGCCTGGCTGGTTCACATTATATTTCTAGTGGATAACACTGATCTATAAAAATGTTATCTTTACAACACTGGGTCTGTCATAACATGAACATGGTATATTCTTTCAAGTTATTTTGGTCTTTTAAAATTTCTTTAAATAAAATTTTCTGGTTTTTTTGCACAGAGGTCTTACACAACTTCTGCTAGATTTATCACTAGGTATCTGAGAATTTTTACATTGTTGTAAACACTGTCCTCTTTGAAAATTCCATTTTTTTTTTGAGATGAAATTTCACTCTTATTGCCCAGGCTGGAGTGCAGTGGCATGATCTTGGCGCACTGCAACCTCTGCCTCCCGGGTTCAAGTGATTCTCCTGCCTCAGCCTACCGAGTAGTTGGGATTACAGGCACCTGCTACCATGCCCGAATAATTTTTTCTATTTTTAGTAGAGACAGGGTTTCGCCATGTTGGCCAGGCTGGTCTCGAACTCTGGACCTCAGGTGATCTGCCTGCCTCGGCCTGCCAAAGTGCTGGGATTACAGGTGTGAGCCACTGTGCCCGGATAAAAATTCCATTTTCTATTCCTAGTATAGAGACATGGAATAGATTTTTGTTTATTGACCTTGTATCCAGTAACTTTGCTAAACTCTTATTAATTCTAAGAATTTATATGATCACTGGATTTTCTTTTCTTTTCTTTTCTTTTTTGAGACAGGGTTTTGCTCTGTCACCCAGGCTGGGGTGCAGTAGAACCATCTCAGCTCACTGTAGCCTCAAGCTCCTGGGCTCAAATGATTCTCCTGTCTTAGCCCCCATCTGCCACCCCACAAAGTAGCTGGGACTACAGGTGCTTACCAACATGCCTGGCTAATTTTTGCATTTTTTTGTAGAGATGGGGTTTTGCTATGTTGTGCAGGCTGATGACTGGATCTTCTATGGATACAGTCATGTTATCTAAATAATGATAATTTTATTTCTTCTTTTTAAACCTTATACTTTACTTTTTTGCTTGACTTACCATATTGGCTAGGACTTCCAGGACAATGTGGACAGAAGTGAAATAATGGGCATCCTTGCCATATTACAAATCCCAAAAGTAAAGCTTTCAGTATTTCACTATTAACATGAAGATAATATGAGTACTCTAAATCTACGCAGTCTGTTCATATTCAAACCACGTAATATTGATGAATTTCTTAGTTATTTCTTATACTACAGCCAACACTCTAAAATCTCATTTTTTAGTGTGAAACATTTATTTTATTTTACTTTTTTGAGATAGAGTCTCGCTCTGTTGCCCAGGATGGAGTGCAGTGGTGTGATATCAGCTCACTGCAACCTCCACCTCCCGGGTTCAAGGGATTCTCCCACCTCAGCCTCCTGAGTACTGCTGAGACTACAGGTGTGTACCACCATGCCCGGCTAAGTTTTGTATTTTTAGTAGAGATGGGGTTTCACCATGTTGGCCAGGCTGGTCTCAAACTCCTGATCTCAAGTGATCCGTCTTCCTTGCCCTCCCAAAGTGCTGGGATTACAGGCATGAGCCACAGCGCCCAGCCTGAAGCATTTATTTTAAAATCTCATCAAAACATCTATATTAAGGGAGTACTTACTTAAGAATCATAGTCATTGTTTCTTTTCGATCTTTTCCTTGGAAAGGGAGTGTACCAGTAAGCATTTCAAACTACAGAAAGGCAAAATAATCAGAAGTGTTAGTCAATAAATATAAAATCTGAAGGCCAGAAGGTAAAAAAAAAAAAAAGCATCATTTTAATTATAACCAAATATTCTAAAATTGCTACATAACAAGTGTTTTCTATTTCTACCATATTCGTTACTGAAGTTCTTGATAATTCCTAAAACAACTGAGCTATACAGTTTTTTTTTTTTTGTAGAAATCAATCACATTTTTATTTTATTTTTTTTTTGAGACAGGGCCTGGCTCTGTTGCCCAGGCTGGAGCCCAGTGGTGCAATCTCAGCTCACTGAAGCTTCCATCTCCTGGGCTCAAGCAATTCTCCCACCTCAGCCTCTCAAAGTGCTGGGATTAGAGGCATGGGCCACCATGCTCAGCTTCATCAATCACATTTCAAATGGCAATTTTAAAGTGTAGATATGTGAACAATTTGATAGATATGCCAATTTCATATGAACTTATTTATTTTTTTTGAGACGGAGTCTTACTCTGTCACCCAGGCTGGAGTGCAGTGGCACGATCTTCACTCACTGCAATCTCCGTCTCCTGGGTTCAAGTGATTCTCCTGCCTTAGCCTCCCAAGTAGCTGGGATTACAGGTGTGTGCCACCATGCCTGGCTAATTTTTTGTAGTTGTAGTAGAGACAGGGTTTCACCATGTTGTCCAGGCTGGTCTTACAGGCATGAGCCACCACGCCCAGCCTGATTTTTGTATTTTTAGTAGAAACGGGGTTTCACCATGTTGGCCAGGCTGGTTTCGAACTCCTGACTTTAAGTGATCCACCTGCCTCGGCCTCCCAAAGTGCTGGGATTACAGGCGTGAGCCACCGCGCCCGGCAGAACTTACTATATATTTTTTGAGACAGAGTCTCGCTCTGTTGCCCAGGCTGGAGTGCAATGGCATGATCTTGGCTCACTGCAACCTCTGCCTCCCAGGTTCTAGCGATTCTCCAGCCTCAGCCTCCTGAGGTGTGTGCCATCCTGCTCAGCTACTTTTTGTATTTTTAGTGGAGATGGGGTTTTGCCATGTTGGCCATGCCGGTCTTGAACTCCTGACGTCAGGTGATCTACCCGCCTCAGCCTCCCAAAGTGCTAGGATTACAGGTGTGAGCCACTGCACTCGGCCAAACGAACTTATTTTAAGGGTCACTTACTAACAGATTTCTGGACCAGTTTCTCCAAAAGACCAAACACCATTAATGCTTTAGATTGTTACTATTAGCAGGAAATCTATGGTAATATTTTTTTTTGCCCTTTCAAATTAGGATGAGATAGACGCAGCTAACAGATTTCATAGTCCTTCTATACTGCATGCAATAATGTTTCTTGGTTATTTATTACATATGGCATAAAATAAAGAAAATAAAAACACCAGTTTCTTTAACATTCACTGCTGATCCTCACTTAACAATCTCCTTCCCCTCTAAAAAATCCCAAATTCAAACCTTACCATTAACACACCAAAAGACCACCAGTCAGCACTCTGAGTATGACCTCGACGATTAACTACTTCTGGAGCCATATACTCCACAGTTCCACAAAAAGAATATGCCTTCTTTTCATGGTCAATAGACTCTTTACTTAGGCCGAAATCTGCCAAAACAAATATCATAAATATCCTACATAAATTTGCACATGTAAATTTTAAACTTTGAGTTCTGACATTAATCATTTAAAATTTCTAATACAAGTTTTTTTTGTTTGTTTGTTTTTTGAGACAGAGTCTCGCTCTGTCACCCAGGCTGGAGTACAGTGACGCCATCTTGGCTCACTGTATCCTCTGCCTCCCGGGTTCAAGTGATTCTCCTGCCTCAGCCTCCCAAGTAACTGGGATTACAGGCGTGCACCACCATGCCCAGCTCATTTTTTTGTATTTTAAGTAGAAACAGGGTTTCACCATGTTAGCCAGGCTAGTCTTGAATTCCCGACCTCAAGTGATCCACCTGCCTCAGCCTCCCAGAATGCTGGGATTACAGGGGTGAGCCACTACGCCTGGCCCTAATACAAGTTTTTAATTTTAATACAGTGTATTACTCAATATTTGTACCACAATCAACCTTAAAGGAAAGTATATATTGTAGGAGAAAATATTTTAATAAAACGAGGATTTTTTTTTTACCTGTTAACTTGATGTGACCTTCTTCATCAAGAAGTATACTGAAAAAAACAAAGAAAATCTTTTAAGAACACTAAATAGAGATTTATAGAAGCTAAGACTGAAATTACATCCTTAAGCATCAGATCACCACATTTACTCTAAAACATTGCTTTAGACTGTGAATAAGATGGCAAAGGCAAAGGAGGAACAAATTATTTTTTGGACACACATTTATAACAAAGCCCAAAGGCAATGCCATAAACTTGTATTAATATGCCAGGGGCACTTGAAAATTATTAGGAAAAGAATCAAATCACCTGTACTCTTCCCAGCTGCTCTTTCTAATGCCTTTCTGCAGACGTAGTTTGACTAAACCCCCTAGTGCCTGCATTAATAGACAGAGGGTCCACACATTTAATTCAAAAACATCAGACATGTCATTCTCTTGGTTATTTTATTTTGCCTTTTTTTCCTTTTTGTGGAGAATAGGGTATCACTATGTTGCCCAGGCAGGTCTTGAACTGCTGGGCTCAAGCTATCTTCTTGCTTCTGCCTCCCTGAGTGCTGGGATTACTCCCTAAGGTGTGAGCCACTGCGTGCCCAGCTCTCTTGGTCATTTTAAAGGTATCTGACTCAATCATTGTTTCCTTATTTTTTTTTTCCTGACACAACCTACACAATCCTCTTCTCCTTCCCCATACTCCTTGTTTTTCATTGACCCCTCCCTTCACTATACATATTCTCCAGGGTTTTCTCTCTTCCCCAATAAACTGTGAGCTCCTAGAAGGTTTGACCTTATTCATCTTTATAGCTCAGTGTCTGGCAGTGTACAGTACAAACAAGAAATGTTGAATGAATAAGGCCTGTTTGCAAAGGGCCTACAGGGCATTCCAAATAGTTTGGGCTTCTTGTCAAGGACAAGGGAGACCATAAATGGTGTACATTCATGGAGGGTAGAGAAATTTACAGAGAAAATAAAGGGCATTTAGTGAGCTCACTGGGTCATGATAAAGAACAACTGGAGAATGACACTCAGGTTTCTGGCTTGAGCAGATACTTGAGTGGAGAGTAATGCTATTAATCAAGGAGCTACAGAAAGGAGAGAGTACTAAGCTGTAAGCCAATAATTGTGTTAAGTTGGTGCAGAAGTAATTAAAAGTAATGGCAAAAACTGCAATTGCTTTTGCACCAACCTAATATTTCTGGATAGGTATGGGATCAAGCAATAAACTGTTTCACTTATATTTAAAGCTATCCCACAATATAGGCATTTCCTTACTTTTATTTTAACTAAAAATGTGCAAGTCAAACTTTGTTATAAAATTTTACTATAACAAAAATATTACCAATCTTTCTATTTCATAAATGCAAACATAATTACAACAAAGTTTACCACTGAAGGTAATTCAGTAGGGACATGTTTTTCAAGTTTCTTTTATCATAAGCACCTGTTATGAAAAATATTAATATTGATTCTGCTTGATTATGAAGAGATCAACACATTTAGAGAGTATAAAGGGCATTATTAGGTACTGTAGAAATCATCCTCCCTTCTAGTGAATACATGAAAAACAGTTCTAAAAACAAAACTTCAAGTCATTCTCGGTAATTCTGAAAGAAAAAAGGATAATATGGCTGAAAGGGCATTAGTTACGCCTTCTGTAGCAAATGCATTCTTCTAAGATAACCATGCTTATACTGTATCTTTGAAAGAAAAAGTCAACTGTATCACTCTCAATAAACAACATTCCTTTTCAATGGTTACTAATTTTTAGTCATATTTATTACAACAGAGTTCTAGTTTAAAAGAATCTGAAAAACCCTTAACAGTTCATAAAATATTTGGCCTAAAAATTTAAATTTCTCCCAAGTTCTGTATGATGGTATTTACTTGTATAATTCACCAAGTAAGTGTTATTTCTAATTAATAGCATCATCTAGACATGTATGTTTAAGATCTTAATATAAGCAATCTTATTTACATCTGATCTTATTAAAGCCTTGAGACAGGGCTCATACTTTAATGTAACTTTATGACCAATGCCAATACAATGGTCTATGGTAAATATATTCAATTAAATAGTATAAAACACACATTTTTATGAATGTTTAATCTTATGTTTATAGTAATTTTTCTAAGGACTATATGCTTGAATATTCATTCTCACCAATAATTATATTTTGTGTCACAATAGTTATAAGTTGGGAAAATAATCAGGAAAACTCAGCAGTTATTTGGGGAATAAAAACAAAACCATATGAAACTTATCCAAAAACAATAAAAAAAACATAAAATATAAAAGCATAACAATTTCTAAATGATCACTTAGAAGAGTTCCAGATGAGCATTTCCTCTCTTCCTGTGTTAATACAGAATTTAAATTTTGTACTAACTTTTTTTTTTTTTTATTATGCTTTAGGTTCTAGGATACATGTGCAGAACGTGCAGGTTTGTTACATAGGTATACACATGCCATGGTGGTTTGCTGCGCCCATTAACCCGTCATTTACATTAGGCATTTCTCCTAATGCTATCCCTCCCCTAGCCCCCTAACTCCTGACAGGCCCCGGTGTGTGGTGTTCCCCTCCCTGTGTCCATGTGTTCTCATTGTTCAACTCCCACTTATGAGTGAGAACATGCAGTGTTTGATTTTCTGTTCCTGTGTTAGTTCGCTGAGAATGATGGTTTCCAGCTTCATCCATGTCCCTGCAAAGGACATGAACTCAGCATTTTTTATAGCTGCACAGTATTCCATGGTGTATATGTGCCACATTTTCTTTATCCAGTCTATCATTGATGGGCATTTGGGTTGGTTCCAAGTCTTTGCTATTGTGAATAGTGCTGCAATAAACATACGTGTGCATGTGTCTTTATAGTAGAATGATTTATAATCGTTTGGGTATATACATGGTAATGGGATTGCTGGGTCAAACGGTATTTCTGGTTCTAGATCCTTGAGGAATCGCCACACTGTCTTCCACAATGGTTGAACTAATTAACACTCCCACCAACAGTGTAAAAGCGGTACTATTTCTCCACATCCTCTCCAGCATCTGTTGTTTCCTGACTTTTTAATGATCGCCATTCTAACTGGCGTGAGATGGTATCTCATTGTGGTTTTGATTTGCATTTCTCTAATGACCAGGGATGATGAGCTTTTCTTTCATATGTTTGTTTGCCACATAAATGTCTTCTTTTGAGAAGTGTCTGTTCATATCCGAGAGAAATATTCAAAATTCTTAATATGATGGTTGTACAACTCTGTGAATATACTAAAAATCAATGAATTATACACTTCTTTTTTTTTGAGACTGAGTTTCGCTCTTGTCACCCAGGCTGGAGTGCAATGGCGCGATCTCAGCTCACTGCAACCTCCACCTCCCGGATTCAAGCGATTCTCCTGCCTCAGTCTCCCAGTAGCTGGGATTACAGGTGTGCCCCTCCACACCTGGCCAAGTTTTGTATTTTTAATAGAGACGGGGTTTCACCATGTTGGCCGGGCTGGTCTCAAACTCCTGACCTCAAGTGATCTGCCTGCCTTGGTCTCCCGAAGTGCTGGGATTACAGGTGTGATCCACTGCACCCAGGCAATGACTTGTATAATATATGAATTACAACTCAATAAAGCTGTTTAAAAATATTCCTGGTAGAGCAAGGCTCGTGCTTATATGCTTATAAAAGGAAAAAAAAAACTTTCTTACTCAGTGGTAGATAAACATCAACAAATTAAAACGGAAGTGTGTACAATTTAAATAATATCCGATTCTTGATGACTGTTACTATCAAACCTGTGGGAAATTTGCTCAGTTCACACTTAAAATTTGAAATTACATGGAGAAGAAAATTTTCAATAAATGGTATTTGGGGGAAAGAAAGGATTAGCTTTATACCATCCCTCCTGCCAAAAAATTTCTAAACAATGGAGCTAAAAGAAAAAAAAAAAGAAACTATAAAATTAGAAGGAAAATATCTGATCATAGAACTGGGGAAAGCCTAAGAATGAGAGTCAGAATAAATCACAAAAGAAGATTGGTAGATCTGCCTGAAGAAAAAAACGTGCATAAATTAAACAACATAAAGTTAAAATTGAAAGACTGGAAAAAAATGTAAATTTTCTTTTTTTTTTTTTTTTTTTTTTTTTGAGACAGGGTCTCACTCTGTTGCCCAGGCTGGAGATGCAACAGAGCGATCTTGGCTCACTGCAGCCTCGATGCCCCAAGCTCAAGCAATCCTCCTGCCTCAGCCTCCTGAGTAGTCGGGACTACAGGCATGTGCCACCATGCCCAGCTAATTTTTTGTAGAGATGGGGTTTTGCCATGTTGCCCACACTGGTCTACAACTCCTGGGCTCATGCAATTCAGCCTCCCAAAGTGCTCGGGTTACATGTGTGAGCCACCATGCCAGACCAAAAATAACATTCTGAAAGAAAAATGAACAAAGGCCATGAGCAGAAAATTCACACAAAAATACAAATTGCCAATGAATGCAGATTTCAACCTCATTAAAAAATCAAAGAATGGGATGGCTGTGGTGGCTCACGCCTGTAATCCCAATACTTTGGGAGGCTGAGGCAGGTGGATCACCTGAGGTCAGGAGTTCGAGACCAGCCTGGCCAACATGGTGAAACCCTGTTTCTACTAAAAATACAAAAATTAGCTGGGTGTGTTGGCAGGCGCCCGTAATCCCAGCTACTCGGGAGGCTAAGGCAGGAGAATTGCTTGAATCTGGGAGGTGGAGATTGCAGTGAGCTGAGATTGCGCCACTGCACTCCAGCCTGGGCAACAAGAGCAAAACTCCATCTTTAAAAAAAAAAAATCAAAGAATGCACACAAAAACAGTATTTTTTGATTAACTGAGATTTTTAAAGTATGAAACTACAGTGTTAGCAGAGATGTGAAGCACAGGCACGCTAGTGCAATACTGTGGGAGTTTCATGAAGCCACTTGATTTTTTATAATCTCCTAAACAATCATATTACATTGTATTCAACTTAGTAGCATGATTCCTTACTTTTCTGGTTTTAAGTCTCTATAAATTATTCCCAGGCTATGTAGATGGTCTAAAGCAAGTGCAAGTTCAGCCAAGTAGAATTTGACATCTTCTTCTGTGAACATCACCTAAAATAAAACAATAATTTTTCTAAATTTATTTTCTTTTTGTGTCTGTAATTTTTAAAGTTCCACTCTAGAGTTTAAATATCCTAAAAATTTTATAAATATGATAATTATACATAGCTTTGTTTACAATTTATTCGTGAAAGGAATAGCAAAATTATCTAATCAGTCAACCAATCACTTACTAAATACTAACTATGCACTATGGGAGAAATAATTTTACATTTTATTGTTAAGTATATTCAGGGTGTGCCACTGTTGTCCCATGACAGTAACATTTTAGAAATGAAAAGTGATCTTTAAAATGCATGCTTAATTTCTAGTACTAATTGTTTAAGGATATCTTGTTGATACATTATTGCTTCTGGAAAAAACTATAAAAGAAGCAGGGTTAAGACAAAGACTGTTTATTTGTCAATTTAAAGTCCTGCTTTCAGAATAAATTCAAAAGGTAGGAAAAGAACTCTTTTTGGGTCTGATTCTTCCAGAATCTTGTGCCACTAGAGAAAATACAGTAAGCATAATACTGAAACATAACAAAGCTTTAGTTCAAACAGGATGCATGTAAATAGACTAAAAATAGAGATTAATTATATACCTCTTTGGATAAGCGTGTAAACAAATCTCCTCCCCTGAGAAAATCCAAAATAAGATACAACTTCCCTTCAGTTTGAAAAGCTGAATGAAGAAATGAAAATTTTCATTTAGTCCACCATAATTTTTTTAGGTTTACATTAGGTCATTCATAAATGAATATTTTAACAAATTAATTATATCAAATGTCCAAACTTACTTTTACTTAGAAGAAAACCACTGATTTATCTTAGTTTCCATGTGGAAATGTTAAATACAGTGTTTCTTATTATGGAATCACTAGATTTTCAACAGGCAAGTCACTCAGGAATACAATAGTTCTAAACCCATGATACATAAGAAAACCTCCTAAAAAAAAAGACTTACTTAACTACGAAATAACATACAAAAACCATGCCACTAGCTACAGAAAAAAATATGGGTTGGTTAGGTTTAATTACACATAGTAAGAATCACCACACCTTTACCCACTGAGAAAAAGCATATGGCTTCGGGGAAAAGAACAGCAGTGACAATGGTTTTAGGATGTTGACATTAGGGATCTCTTTGGCCTTTAGGGTTGGCTAACACATATAGGCTACAAAAGGCTAGCATATTATTACTCATTATTATTATAATAAAAAAGCAATAATTATCATTACCTGTTCCTATGGCTACCACTCAGAAACTAACTTTATAATATTTAAAAAAAACATAAACTAAACAATAAAAGCTTCTAAAGTTTGTCTAAGAAATAATGGCTTAATTTTCATGACTTATTACTATATAGATCTGCTAACCACATACAAATATATATTTATTTATATTAGTTTATCTGAATGTCCTCAGGGATTTTGAGGGATGAGGTCAAGGGATGATGTGGGAGACGGCTCATACTTACCATAATGCAACTTGACAATAAAAGGATGATTAACCTCTACCAAGATATCACGTTCCATTTTTGTCCGAACTCGGTCTCGAACTATAAAAGATTGTATGTATGCTACATTGTAATATCTTTCAAAGATAATCTTCAAAACAAATTCTTTTTGGTGCCCATGTTAAATAAAATTTTGCTTATGTGTATTAAAATGTGAATGTTTTATCATTCTTGAATTTACAAAATCAATAATGATGTCTTTTACTACATTACATAACCAAAGGAAGTTGCATATATTTATAAAATCCATGCTTTTAAGTTGGAAAAAATATAGAGAAAATATTAGGTATTGGCTTTAACATCAAATGCACAAGTATTTTAATCACAGCTGTGGAAAATGGCAAAAAAGCATGCAACTTTTAAAAAACAAGGCATCCTAATGAAACAGTAAAACATAAAAAATGAATAGGTTTCAACATTCCATCAGTCCTATCAATTAAACTCAACAAACATTCATTAAGCATACCTAAAATGAGGCAGACATGGGGTAAAGGACAGTTATATCCAAAGAGGTCTATTTTGAGGGAAGAAGAAAGGAAGCAAGAGGGAGAGAGAGAACATACTGTGGTATAGCTGAAAGAGCAAATGTTTTCTGGAGTTTAGACAGAAAGATATGAATTCAGATCTGTGTAATCTTTTTTTTGAAAAAAACTTAAGCATCACAAGATCTGTACAATCACGAGCAAGATACTTATTTAAATTCTTTGAGACTCAGTTACCTTTCGGCTACACAATGGGGATAACACTACTGTAGCTTTGAGGAGCATATGACCATTTGAGATAAGGTATGTACCTAGAGCCTGGTATGTATGAGATATTCAATTAAATAGTAGCTATTGTTATTATATGCAAAGTAGCACCATGAATATGATTAAGGGATAAAACAATTTACTACCAGCAATGAGTACTGCAGGATTCAGAGAAGGGCAAGATCAGTCTTACTTGCATAGGAAGGCTAGAAGAAAGATGTAGGGTCAGGGAGCAAGCTTTAAGACTTTTGGAGTGGCATTTAGATGGGTAGGAAGGATAGGCCCTAGAAAACAAGAGTCCAAGCATGGAGTACCCAGTGTAAGCAAAGATGTGAAGGCATGAATGACAAACAGGAAGGAACCAAATGAGATTTACTACTGCGCCAAGGCGAAATGGGGAGGATCCAGATTCTTGAGAAGTTGGAATGCCAAGATGAATTTATATTTGACCCTGTGAGCAAAGCTCTTTTTCAGCAACCAAATATTTCCTGAGCAAAGTGTATGTGCAATGCACTAGGGATATACATACAAATAAGATAATCTTCAAGAAGCTCATGATCTAGTGGGAAGGACAGACAGGTAAATAAATGATTATAATACATTCTAAGTACTCTGAATGGTTATATGAAACATGAAAATGGAAAGAATAGGACAATCTTTGGAGGAGGGAGAAAGTTGAGTTGGTTTTATTTTCAGTTTAGGGTGACTGCAGATATTTAAAATATAGAAATAAGACCTCTGGGGAAAATAAACAAAGCAGCTAAAAAATGCCCTATTTTTTCCATTCTACCAGTTTTCTATCCCCAACTGGGAGATTTTCATACCACTGACTGAAAATGGGCAAATCAGAAATAGGAATCAATTGCTCTTGATGTCTACGCAGCTCTTTTAACTGACCTGTCCAGTTAGTATATCAAATTCAATAGCAATCTCTGATTTCATTACCTTGCCCGATCGCTACAACTCTGGTATTTTCCTTGTTATATCTGATATGCCCCCTTTTTTTTGAGATAGGATATCGCTGTCGCCCTGGCTGGAGTGCAGTGGTGTGACCTCGGCTCGCTGCAACCTCCCTCTCCAGGGTTCAAGTTATTCTTCTGCCTCAGCTTCCCGAGCAGCTGGGATTACAGGCTTGTGCTACCATACCTGGCTAATTTTTGTATTTGTGGTAGAGACGGGGTTTCACCATGTTGGCCAGGCTGGTCTCTAACTCCTGACCTCAGGTGATCCGCCTGCCTTGGCCTCCCCAAGTGCTGGGATTACAGGCACGGGCCACCACGCCCAGCCTGATATGCCCTTTGTACTTTTTATGTGAGTGAAGTTCATCACCAATACCTGCTGATATTTCTATTCTAGTCTAGCCTAAATCTGTCCTTTTCTCATTATTACCATACAATTTTGGATTAGTTCCTATCACCTTAAAGGTGGATTCCAAAGTCCTACCTCTTTCAATAAGTATACAAGGCTTATCACTTAAAAATACCTCGTCTGCTCAGTAAGCATCAAAAATATCCACTAATAAATGCACTGTATATCCCTCTTGTCTTATTTTACCACAATGAAAAGAACAATTATTTGGGAGTCAAGAACTACAGTTTAGTGGCTATACTAATAACTAGATGAACTCATAACTACCTTGGTCAAATCATTTCATTGCTCAGGGATTTCCTGTTTCCTCCTCTATAAAATGAAGGATTAGAACCAAGATGATTTTTTTGTGAGACAGTTTTCTCTTCAACATTTCCTTATATGTAACATTGATGAGACCTTGTTTAACTGAAAATGAGCAGTGAGAGTCCTTCTCTAAAGAATTCCTTCATTTTGTCTGAGGTAGGCCTGTGTCATAATTCTAATCTCGTTTCTTTTGCTTATGTAAAGACCTAGTGACAATTCTAAATCATCCTACCATGAGGAATTTTAATTAGTATATACTAATTCAGAAGAAGGCATGTTTTATATAGGCCAACTTCTAATCCCAACATAGAATTGGTTAATACTGACTCATGCTGGCAAAGCAACTAGATTCCTCTGAAATATTTTTTCTTCTAGAGTAGTTATTAGATTTAAGCCCTACTTGACTGAACCTGAGAATGAAGAAATGTTGTTTATGTTCCTAGGACTATGCATTAAGAAACCTTTTTAAGCAGTTTACAGAACCTTTTAGACAAACAGACCACTTTAATAGGACAGAAGTCCCCATTAACTTTATCTAATGTTATTGACTTGTATTTGACCCCATTTATCGTATTAACAGGAACTTTAAAATGGGAAGAGACTTCTGGTTAAACATGGATATTTTACTCTCTACATTCTTCCAAAACCCCATGGAAATGACAATAATGGAAAAACTGCATAAACTCACAAGGACAGGAAGCAATAGTAGAAGATGTGCAAGTGGTAACTAACAAAGCAGACCAGAGAAAGCTAAAAATCTAAGCCTAAGGAAAAGAAGCCAATGAAAAATAAGCAAATTCTTGTCATTGAAATCTTTCCAATCAGCTTTCTAGCACCCGACTCTTAAAGAAAAGATAGCAAAAGACCCCCAGGCATTTGGAGAAAGGCTCTAAACATGAAAAACATCAAAATAAACAGAAAAATGGAATAAAGGGAAACAGAGACAATGTGAGGAACAGAAGATAACTTAAACACCACACAACACAACTCAATCTTGTAATTTATGTCCACTGAGGGAGCAAAGATAATATGGCACCTCACCCTTTTTAAAGCTTCTTGTTCTTGTTTAAAAAGGGTGGTGGGGTGGAGGAAGGAACAAGTATCCGCAACAAATAAACTACAAGGAAAAGATAAGAAATGAAGAAAGAGTTCATAGATGAAAAGACTTAAAAACATTATCAACCAATTGCAAAGTTGAGACCTTATATGTATGGATCCTAATTTAAACAGACTGCATAAAGAAACATAAATTTTAATAGTAGGGACAACTAGCAATTTGAACAAAGACTGGATATCTTTATGCTCATTTTTAAGGTATGATAATACAGTTGAATTATCTCTTTTAGGAGTCTATCTTTTTTTTGAGATGGAGTCTTGCCCCGTCGCCCAGGCTGGAGTGCACTGATGTAATCTCGACTCACTGCAACCTCCGCCTCCTGGGTTCAAACGATTCTCCTGTCTCAGGCTCCTGAGTAGCTGAGATTACAGGTGCCCGCCACCACACCCAGCTAATTTTTGTATTTTTAGTAGAGACGGGGTTTCACCATGTTGGCCAGGCTGGTCTCAAACTCCTGACCTCATGATCCACCCGCCTCGGCCTCCCAAAGTGCTGGGATTACAGGCGTGAGCCACCGTACCCAGCCAGGAGTCTATCTTTTAGAGATATATACTAAAATATTTATGAAAGAAATTCTATAGTGTCTGGGATTTCATTCAAAATATCAAGAGAAGAAGAAGGAGAACACTGATGAAAAAAGGTTGGCCATGAGTTGATAAATGTTGAAGCAGGGAGAAGGGTACAGGGGGTTCACTATATTCTTCTGTCTCTTTCTTAAATGTTTGACACTTTCCATAATTGAAAAATGTTTTAATGAAATAATCAGAGAACAAGAAAATCTAGGAAATGAAAAGCGATGGCAGAAACAAAAAGGTCAATAGAAGAGTTGGAAGATGGTTGAAGAAATTTCACAGAAAATAGAAAAAATGGAAAATAAAAGATGGAAAAATAAAGAAAATTAAGGAACAATTCAGGAGGTTTAACTAACATATTCCAAAGAGCAGCACTTACAAATGTAGAATAAATGACAAAAACTTTCCCAAGACTGAAGAAAGGAGTTTTTAGGTTGAAAGAGACCACACCTCATATATCATATGATATAGTTTTAGAAACCCACACTCAAGAATACCACTATATAAATTTCAGAACACCAGGAATAAAGAGTAGATTCTAAAGACTCCCAAAGAGGAAAAGCAGCTTACACACAAAGGACTGGGAGTGAGACCAGCAATTAACTTCATCACTGTAACACAGGAAACTAGAAGACAATGGAAGCAATACCTTCAAATATCTGGTAGAAAATTCTTTCTGACCTAGAATTTTATACTCAGCCAAATTATAAACTAAGTGACAGGCGGTAGAATAAAGCCATTTCCAGACATGGAGGGTCACAAAAAATTTAGTATCCATTTACTCATTCTGAGGTAGCTATGAGAAGATGAGTTCCATCAAAACTAAAAAGTAAACTGAGAAAAAGGTAGGCACAGAATTTATGAAAAGAGACTGAATACAGAAAAGAAGTGAAGGAAATGTGACTGTAGTATACTATTTCGTTCAGCTAGGAACAATTCTTATAAAGCTGTAACAATGAAAACATTATTGGGAAGATGTGAAAAGGGAAACTGTGAGTGGGTGGCAGCATGAGAGAACTGAATCTTAGTCTTCCATGTTAGAAAGGCAATAGATTATGTCTCCAAATGAAAACAAACAATTGCAATATAAAAGTGTTGAATATAAATGTAAATGGCAGCAGCTAAAGAGATGAAAGTCATTGTCTCTGGGGTTCAAGAATTAGGATAGGCAGAAGAGTGGGCAAAGCATAGCTATGTTATATGATAAGACTCTACAGATATTCTTTTGATAAACATAAAAATTTAAGAACACATTCACAATTATTCAGCAGTTTAAAATTCCAATAAGTCAAATATTTTCACTTTTCTATCATCTCTTTTATAGCTAATATCTATACAATTTTACATACTTGTAGCTCAATTTGTTCTAATTTTCACTACATTCATTTTTGTAATTTTATTTAAGATACTTTATTTTAATAATATCCTATTAAGTGGTAAACCATAATTTTATAACGTTTCTCTATTTTTCCTTATTAAAAAAAATTTTTTTTAGGGACAGATCTCCCTCTACCCAGGGTGGAGTACAGTGGTGCAATCAAAGCTCACTGTAACCTTGAAGACTCAAGCGTTCCTCCCGCTTTAGCCCCCCCAGTCAGCTGGGACGACAGGCACACGCCACCAGGCCTGGCTAATTATTCTATTTTTTGTAGAGATGAGGTCTCACTATGCTGCCCAGGCTGGTCTTGAACTCCTGGGCTCAGGCAATCCTCCCACCTCAGCCTCCCAAAGTGCTGAAATTATAGGAATGAGCCACTATGCCTGGTCACAATTCCTCTAGTTTTCCAGTGTGTATGTGATTTCTAACTTCTTGCTATTATAAATAATGTTGCAACAAGAATTTTCAAGCCTATGAATCCTTTTTTTGAAGCTATTTCCGCAGGTTAATGTAGCAGCAATAATGGCTTTCCAATTTATGCTGCCATCATATGAAATAACATGCATTCATCTCACTCTGTCACCCAGGCTGGAGTACAGTGGTGTGATCACAGCTCACTGCAACCTCAAACTCCTGGGCTCAAGAGATACTCTTGCCTCAGCCTCCAGAGTAGCTAGAATCACAGGCTTGCACCACTACAACCATCTGATTTTATTTTTATTTTTTGTAGAGACAGGGTCTTGCTATATTGCCCTAGCTAGTCTTGAACTCCTGTCCTTAAGCCATCCTCCCGCCTCAGCCTCCCAAAGTGCTAGGATTACAAGTGCGAGCCACTGTGCCCAGCAAACTTTATTATTTTAATATGCATCTTTGACTTTCACCAAAACTGAACATTTCCCCAAAGATTATTTATCTCCTTGTGTAAACTTTATTCAAAATCCTCCAGATGGAGGATATAATGGTATTTCTTATCAATTCCTAACTCCTTCATTCTTTTTAAGTTTATTAGTTGGAATTATATTGCAAGAAAGAGTTTTCCCTTTTCCCCCATTAATTAACTTATGAATTAACCTATGGCTTCTTATTTTATTCAACTGGCTTGTAATCTATCACTAACATTTATTATTGCAATGTTTAAGTTGCCCCAGATTTGGCCAGTAGAAGCCCCTTAGCCAACTCCTTATATTAATATATTTTCCTGTCTTCCTATTTATACTATTTTTCATTGTATGAAATGTTAACAATTTTTGTATTACTAATTTGTTTGTAATTTGCTCAATATTTCCTCACAAGTTTCCTAGATGTGTTAAGTTGTAAAATTCAGTTAGGGTGGAGTTTGTTATGGTGTTATTTTCCAGCTTGCTCAGGGGTATTTCTTTTTTCTTTTTTTTTTTTTTTTTTTTGAGACGGAGTTTTGCTCTTGTCGCCTAGGCTGGAGTACAGTGGTGCGATCCCGGCTCACTGCAACCTCCGCCCCCCGTGTTTAAGCGATATTCCTGCCTCAGCCTCATGAGCAGCTGGGATTACAGACACCCAACACCATGCCCGGCTAATTTTTTTTGTATTTTTAGTAGAGACGGGGTTTTGCCATGTTGGGCATGCTGGTCTCGAACTCCTGACCTCAGGTGATCTGCCTGCCTCGGCCTCCCAAAGTGCTGGGATTACAGGTGCGAGCCACTGTGCCCGGCTGAGCTCAGGGGTATCATTACTTAATTTCCCATTGTTCTGTATGCCTGTTTTGTCATACAGCATGGCAGGTACTCAATATTTTTGTAACAAATACACTAAAATTTGATATATATATGTTGTACTATTTTGTTCCACTGATTCTATGCCTGTATTACTCCCCCCAATAACACACTAAGTTAGTGCTACTTGAAGCATTAGGATCTGAGAGAGCTTGTTCCCTTATTATTCTTCTTTTCCAAAATATTCTGGATTCGGAAATAAAATTCTGAATTATCTTGTTAAGTTTTAAGGAAAATGCAGCTGGAATCTTAATGATATTGAGGTAACTGAATGGCTAGAGGAGTAGTGAGATTCTTAACAGTTGGCCTTCTCTAATAGGGATTGGGCATTTATTTCCTTTCCTGGTAACTTTTAGGTTTCTTAGAGTTTTGTAGTTTCCTTTACATACACTATGCACAATACAAATCCTGTTAAATACATAAAATCAAACTACTTTTGTTGCTTTTGTGAATGAACTCTGAGTCTCATCTATGCAGCTTTGTAACATGGGATTCATGAGTATAAAGTCACAAATGCAGTGACAGAAAGGCAGGGGATTGAGGATATAATTTAATTCCCTGGTCCTAGCAGGAATCAAGTAAGTGGTAATGCCATGGGGTAGGACTGAATAGGAAAGAAAATATGTTCAGGAAGGGAGTTAACAGAATGGAAGCAAACGACAGTGTTTACAGAGAGAAGTGAAATTTCTTGGGATGTCCATGGTGGGTAACTAATTGGGAATAACAGAAATAATAAATGATCATTGCAAATATTAGAGAATATTTTCAAAGCTTTATAAATTACATGTAAATTGAAGAGGAAAAAATGGACTTTTAGTAATCAATACACAAAACATCTAGAGGTTATGAGGTTAAAATAAGTGATACCACTAAATTAAAGGAAGAGTTAAGTATTTTTAAATCTATATTTCTTCTTAACTACTTTTTTTTTTTTTTTTGAGACGGAGTTTCACTCTTGTTGCCCAGGCTGGAGTGCAATGCCACGATCTCGGCTCACAGCAACCTCCGCCTCCCGGGTTCAAGCGATTCTCTTGCCTCAGCCTCTGAGTAGCTGGAATTATAGGTATGTGCCACCACGCCCAGCTAATTTTTTGTATTTTTAGTAGAGATGGGGTTTCTCCATGTTGGTCAGGCTGATCTCGAACTTCTAACCTCAGGTGATCCGCCTGCCTCGGCCTCCCAAAGTGCTGGGATTACAGGTGTGAGCCACCACGCCCGGCCTCTTCTTAACTACTTTTTACCTATGAGAGCCAAATCCTGCATTAGGGTTTTCAAATCATAGGCTCAGAATAAAAACTTACTTGGAGACCAGAAGTCATAAAGTCCTTTAGAATAAAAGCTATTTTGCAGCCAGTAAATCAGTACGTTTTTAAAAACATTAAAATAAATATATAAATTTGAAGATGAATCAAACCCAGTTTTAATCTTCTAAATGTTTACTTGTATAAAACTCAATATGAATTTATAATACGTCTTTTATAACGTGGCAACTCTGGTTCTCACTAGTTATATGATTCCTAGCCTAGCAGGAAAAATTCACTAAAAGTCAGCCTAAATTTAAAGCTGGTAACAGGAACCTATTCAGAATGTAAATAACATGCCAAGGAGTCCCATGAGCTCTATTGAGACCTTTCAGTTTGTTTAGACTACATGAACATTACAAATAGCAGCAACACTTACCTTTCAGTGTGGCCTTCTTCAATACCTTCATGGCATAAAGCTGCCTAGCATCAGAGCCTGAGATTTTTTTAACTAAGAAAACCTGCATTTAAGTAAGAGAAAATAAATATTACAAAGTAGTATAAACTATATCCTTGTTAAAATAAGACCCTGCTATAATACAGTTTATTATTATAATATAGATTCAGATATACTGTAGATTATTTCCCCTAAAATGTATCAATTATAAATACTAGTTATAAACATTTGTTATAACTTGGGGTGTCAATATAAGGGAATACATTTTTTTCATTTTGTTGTTTGCCAGTTCCCAAAGAGCATGTAACACATTAAGACAGAAAAAAACCCTTTAAACTACATATGTATGAATTAGATGGAAAAAATCCCAAAATGTTTAAAGTATAACACAGGTGGTATGATGTCCTGCTTTTAACAAAACAGAATTCTACTGAGCCCGTCAAAATTGTTATACGGCGGTTCCTTCTTGACCACAATTTCCTGTTGATACAAGTATTCACTGATGGAGGGTCTTTTCTGTATACAAAAGCTGCATATAAATCTCACTGCTCAGCGGAACAATTTAAAACACTTACATTGGGCTGGGAGTGGTGGCACACCCCTATAATCCCAGCACTTTGGGAGGCCAAGGCGGGTGGATCACCTGAGGTCAGGAGTTCGAGACCAGCCTGACCAACATGGTGAAATCCCATGTCTACTAAAAATATAAAATTAGCCAGATGTGGTAGCTGGCACCTGTAATCCCAGCTACTTGGGAGGCTGAGGCAGGAGAATCACTTGAACCCGGGAGGTGGAGGTTGCAGTGAGCCGAGATCGTACCATTGCACTCCAGCCTGGGCAACAAGAGCCAGACTCCGTTTCAAAACAACAACAACAACAAAATGAAAAGCAAAAACAAACAAACAAACAAACAAAACTTACACTGAAGAATCCTGTGCACAAATATTTAATGTGACTTAAGTTAGAACCCACCTCCCCACCTTTTTATGGTCAAATTATCACATACACCTAAATATGAAGAACACAATTCTCAGGTATGTTATTGGGCATCCTGACTTTGCAAATATTTGCGCAAAATGAATAAAGCCTGTTCTAAATAACTCATGGTCATTCTATAACATGGCTAATACAAGACTACCAATACATCTCTTCTACTCACTTTGACCATTAGGTTCATGATCATTTCCATTGAACCTTTAAATAGATATGCCAAATAGATTTGAATTTCAACTCCTCTTCCCTATCCATTCTTTTGTAGCAGTGTTCTTATGCTTCCACAGGTGGGAAGAAGAGAAGCAACCACAATCAAGAATTAAGTTTAGGATCAGCTTTCATTCATCTGAATTAGCACATCAGGCTATTAGCACAAAATTAAAAAATGATTCATTCAACTGATTCTAGGACAAGGCAGAGTTTCTCACTTTGAGAAATTGTGCCAAGTCAATGGGCAAGATCCCAAATCAAGTGAAGAGCACCACAACTCGCGGAGAAACCCTGATACAGGGTGTGTTGCTCTCCAATAATCACCACCCCCTTTCACCATGCCCCACGCTTTAGCTCCTTTCAGCCAGTTAGTGGGGAGCCAACCTAGGGAGAGAAAAGCATCCTTAATCAGGGTGGATGTAAGCTCTGGAATGATGTTTAAGTATTAAAGGTAATCAGAGATTATTAATATTTTTGACGGAAATAAAATCTGATTAGGTAGAGATAATTAGGATTTATTTGATATTTAATCTTCCTTAAGATTCCCTAACCATTCTGCAAGAAAAATTCTCCTGGTGAATTCCAAACTTTCAACTGTTCTTTGAATGCATCTTCTTAACACTCCAGCACTTCTTAGTTTGCAAAATACTTTCACAACCATTTGTAATAAATCATCGTGTCAATTTTGGGAGGCAGACCTACTAGGCAATGCCTATTTTATAGCTGTCCAAACTAGGGCTTAGGGGGTTAAGTAATTTGCCCAGTGTCACAGTGGAGGTACTGGGACAGAGTCCGTGTCAGTCACCCAGTATTCTGCTTCTGCTCAGGGTGCTGTTTATCTGTTCCCTTTGGCCAGTAACCAGGCAAGCCCAGCAGGAGCAGCAGCGGTCCCAGCTGCCATCTCTTCCTCCACCAGAGCATTTCTGACCTTTTCTCACTCCCCCATGAAGCTATTCTAGTCTCTGACAGGTCATCCCTGTTTCCTTGGCTTACTGTGGCCTTTCAGAATGAGTAAGAAAGGAGACAACCTATTTTGAATGTTTGGTATTTATAGTATGATATTTAAATTACTTTTAAAGACGTAAAGGGAGAAGCATGCTAATTCCAACAACTTAAATATTGTGTTCCCTGAAAATCTAATGTATAAAAATTACCCATCTATTTGGGTTTGAGTGGTGTGATAATTTAATTTAATACCAGATATTATATGCTTGGCCTTTTATCATTTAATTCTCACTACTCTCCTATGGAGTCAGAACTATTACACACTCATTAATTCTTTCCAGAATTATATGCCAGGCACTGTGCTACTGGTTCAATGCTGAGACTTGATACAAGGCATGACCCTTCCTTCACTCATGGAACATTTAGTCTAGTGGGGGAGACAGCCACTTAACAAATAATTAAACAAATGAAAAACTGCAATTGTGGCAAGTGCCATGAAGATGACGTATGTAATGTTCTGAGAGGGTATAACCAGGGAACATAACCTAGGAAGGATGCAGGGAAAGCTTCCTTGACATCACAGGTGCAAGAGGAGCTAACAAGCTGAGGAAGAGGCAGGGGTAGAGCAGAGTGTTTCAGGCAGAAGGAATAAAATATGGAAAGGCTTTCTAGCAGGATGGAGCTTAAGGACTTGGTCCTGCTTAAGGACCAACAAAGGCAGCCAATGTGACCAGAACACAGAGAGTGAAAAGTATGTAAACTGATGCTGGAGAGGTAGCTAGAGACCAGACTGAGAGGCTCCTCAGCCATCTTAAGAATTCATCTTTATCGTAAAAGCAAAGAGAGGACGCTGAAAGGTTATGGAGGGGTAGAGTAAAAGATTAGTTCATGCTGGCTATCATGTAAATAATGGATCAAGGCAAGAATACATTTGGAAAGACCCAGTTAGGAGACTCCTTCAATAGACCAGGAAGAAAGGTGGTAGCATATTCTCAAGGGGTGGCAGGCAGGCTTTGAGAAATCTTTACTGAATCTACAGTACTTGGTGACAGATAAGACTGGCCAGGTCAGAGTGGGATAGGGGAGGTAGGGACTAGAAATATACATCAAGAACGCTTCCCAAGTTTCTAAATTGCTTAATGAGAGAAAAATGAAATAGAACAGTTTGAGGCTTAGGGAAAGATCATGAGTTTGGTCTCAGACATGTTGACTTTAAAGTGCTTTTAAGACATAGAAAAAGAGTAAGCAGCTGTGCATAAGAATTCAGAGCTTGGAGAAGCAATCTAGATTGGAGATATAAATGTGTTATGTCAGCTGTATGTGAGTTACAATTAAGATAGCAGGCACAGAGAAAATCAATTAGGAGAGTATTAGTAACAGAGAAGAAGGCAGCCTAGAATCGAACCTTGAAGAACTTCAATATTTAATGACTGGCTAGAGGAAGGAAATGGGGATCCAAGAGGTTAAGTAACTTGCTCAAGCACACACAGTGAATAAATAGAAGAAAAAAAATTGAATTGAAGTCCGGCTGACCTAGAGCCCAAACTTACAACCATTACGCTCTGATGGCTACTTACTCTTTATTTGGATTAAAAGCATCCTTTTGGGTTCAAAAGAGGTTAACAACTGTAACAAATTACCTATGTTAGCCAAGAATTGCTAAATACCCCCACTAAAATACACAAGAGAGCTAAACTGGTGCTGTTCTGAAACTTGCAAAGCATGATATATTCAAATATTTCCTTACAGAGAAGTGGTAAGGAATCACTGCATCGTCAAAGTTGAATACAATCTCCAAATTTTCCTCTTGCCAAGAAACAATCTAGACCAGTGATCCCCAACCTTTTTTAGCACCAGGGACTGGTTTCATGAAGATAGTTTTTTCACAGACTGGCGCGGTGGGAGGGGGAGATGATTTTGGGATGAAACTGTTCCACCTCAGATCATCAGGCATTGGATTCTCATAAGGAGTGCACAACCTAGATCCCTCCCATGTGCAGTTCACATCAGGGTTCGTGCTCCTATGAGAATTGAATGCTGCCACTGATCTGACAGGAGGTGGTGCTCAAACGGCAATGCTCACCCGGGGGTTGGGGACCCCTGGTCTAAACAGATCAAGCAGTAGTAATTATGATGCTGTACTTCTCAAAATGGAGTACAGAAGTGCCCCTGAGGTGTGCAGTGTGTATGTATGTGGTGGGAGACAAGCGCTACATGAAAAACACTGATAAAGATGTTGCATCTTCGGCCGGGCGTGGTTGCTCACGCCTGTAATCCCAGCATTTTGGGAGGCCGAGGCAAGTGGATCGCTTTGAGCTCAAGAGTTTGAGACCAGCCTGAGAAACATGGCGAAACCCCATCTCTACAAAAAAAACACAAAAATTAGCTGGGCGTGGTGGTGTGTGCCTTGGTCCCAGCTACTCAGGAGGCTGAGGCTGGAGAATTGCTTGAACCTGGGAGGCAGAGGTTGTAGTGAGCCGAGATCATGCCACTGTACTCCAGCCTGGGTGACAGAGGAGGCAGACCCTGCCTTCTGGAGGAATTTTCCTTGGTGGCTTTGGGAAACATTTTTTGATATTAAAAACAAACACGATGTTACTGGATAAAATGCAAACTTTGCATTCATTTTAAAGACAAGCCAGGAGTCAAGAAAACTTCAAAATTGTAGCGGTAGCCCCCAACCCTACTTCTTTGGGAGCGTCACTCACTTTATGCTGGTATTAGAGTACGCTGGAAGGGAGGCTGAGATGCGCTGTATTGCAAGATCACCTTCCAACCCTACCCAAGGACTCAAAAAGAGGCCAGTGTATCAAGGGAATATCTTGTGATTTTTAACAATTTAAGAATCACAACTGGAGAGGTCATGTGCTCTTGAAGATAAAGTAGGAAGCAAATAGTACCAATTTACTGAAGTCTCCAACGTACTTTTGAACAACTTTATTCACTTTCCCACTTACTGATAGTGAGAAATGTAAAAAAACAGAAAACATTGCTGGTAGGAAGACTGGTAGCATTTCATAAAATATTTGTTTCCTCATGTATATGAAATACATATGAATTGAAAAGACAACTCTTAAAAAAGCACACACTCATGACTTACCTTTCCAAATGATCCCTGCCCTAATACTTTTAAAAGTTCAAACTGGGAAGGATCTGCCTTTTCATGTCCTTCCTTTACATGATGTGTGATTGCAATTTCTTTGATACTGACTTCTTCCTGTTGAGATAAACGTAAGAGGAGCAAACAGGGTTAGCCAGAGCTATTTTCTCCCGCTAAAAATCAAACAATATTAATTTAATCTTACTAGAAATTAATTAGAAATCAATCTAATTTCTAAACATATTAGAAATCCCAAATTAACATACAAAAACCACCTTTTACCAACCCATCAAGTGAATATGCCACACACATATACTTTCAGGTTAAATGTCAGAGACAGTTATTATACCAGCCTACTACATAGGCCAATTTAACCTCTACATGACATTTAGTACTAAGTATTTCCAAGTCTTCATTCTCTCTACTGGAGATAATTAGAATAGTTTTATTGGGTGGGGGCAGAGGGTGTAAAGAAGTCTGAAAATAACAGATTGGAATAATCTGCTGTGCTCTGGTGTATGGTTATGCTACGCAGAACTAATGCTATTTAAAAAAAGTGTTTATTGAGGAGAGGGGTTGAAAAATATTCCAGGGTAAACATGGAGATTTCTAACCTCAATGTGGCTGTTTAAGTACACTGAAGTTTTATTCCTTTGAAATGTCTAAGTTACTTTCTGTTTCTAGAATAATCTGGGATCTGAGAGGGGAGAAAGGAGTAACTCTAAAACACAAAAGGAGAAAAGATTTAACATTTGGATGGATAATCAGACATGGAAAAAAATGACTATTCAGCATGATGGAACAGTGAGAAGTATCTGGGTTAAGAGAAGGATTTTAAAAGACAGTGAACATTTTAATATATTTGAGGAAAAGTGTCAGAACAAAGAGAAAATGTATGAAATACACACAGGATTTCAATTACTTATGTGAGATCAGCAGATTAGGTTATCTTATTTAATCAAGACACATACGGTATGTTATAGTCAAAAATTACAACAAAACAAAACCTGACAAAATTAGAAACATAAGCCTGTCAAATAAAGACTAGCATTTCTATTTTGTTGACTATAATGTTATTTTTTTCTAGGTGCGTAAGTACTGTTAGTAGAATCTCAATGTGTTATGTAAACATAACTAATCCATTGTTTTTGTTATTATCATATCCCATACAAACATTTGCATTCAATTAACATTTTCTGAGATGTCCTTAGAATGCTGGCAATATAAGGAATTACAAAGATTTCTCAAAAGGACATACCAGAATACCCTAACATGGTAGCTTTTGAAAATGAGTAGTAAAAGGAAAAAAGCTCCCAGAAGAGGAGAAAAAGGAATCCAGGCCCACTACTTTATTTTGAAGACAGAGGCTGTAATTTGTAGGTTATCCTACTACTTAGGCAGTTCAATCATATTGGACTCCCCTGGGACTTCGGAAACAATAATCAAATCATTTCCTAACATCAGTTTAGCTCTTTATTTCACAATTTCCCATGCATTATCTCCTTTAATTCTCACAACGATCCTGTGCAGTAGGTATTAGCGTAGAACCAAGCATTAGCTGACTCTTAAAACGCTACCTCTTTCCTCTAAATAAGACCAAGGTACAAGGGTTTCAGACACCCTTTTCTCCAAATGAGACCAAGGGCTTCAGAGTGATAGCTGTTAGTAGCCATTAGTACAACAGGAAAGGCAGGAAGCAAATTACCAAATTTAAAAAAAAAAAAAAAACCTTTCAAAGAACAAAGTATATGTGGGATTAAGATTTAGATAGAAATCCAGGAAATACTATTATTGAGCACCTACTACATATCAACCCTGTGTTAGGTGTTTTTTCATGTTTTATATTCATGCTTCACAACAAATCTGACCACGTATTTAATGTTAGAGAGGGCTGATACAACATAAACGAGTAAACCTTAGAACAAGCATAAACATTTCAGAGTTTTCTATGTACTCTCCCATTTACCACTAGAAATTTGACACATACTCTAAAAACAAACTGGTCTGAATATTCTATAGTCTGAAATTTAAAGAGATTAATTGAAGGCTTAAGATCACAAGCCAGTAAGTGGTAGACTTAGGGCTCAATTCTAGGTCTCCTGACTTTGAAAACAAGGCCCTTACCATTACACCACACTGAGATCAATGACAGGAAACCTATAGGCTTATGACCCTGGTCTTTGTAACCGGTCTGTTAGCTCAGTTGATTAGAGCAGTGTTCTTTGAACTTTTTGGTAGCACATCCTTAGCAGGAAAAAAAAACAAAAAAAAAAAACCAAAACAACAAACAAAACAAAACAAAACAAAACCTACACACACAATATTTGTATCCTTAAAATTATATACACGTAAAGAAGTTCTCTTCTTTTCTTTTTCTATACCCCAAAGTGCTGTCACGTCACACTCTGAAGACTAACCAAGTTAATGGGCTGGATTCCAGCATGTGTCAGTTAGCCTCGTATTAAAAAACAAAAAAAACCAAACCAAAACAACAACAACAACAACAAAACAAAAAAACTATCTGTTCAAGAGCCTAATTGGAATCTAGCAGCCATTTATGCCTTTAAATCATGAGGTCATGAAGAACTCTATTTTGTAATGTTATATATTTTTTACATTTTTCTTTTTTAGGTAAGTGGGATGTGATTTATCAGGTTACAGTATTTTTTCACCTTATATTTCATAGCAAATCCTACAAAAACTGATGGTCACAAATAAAGATGCAACACAAGCAGGGAAGAATAATCACTGAATTATAAACACATTCCATTTTGTAGCAGGCATACAGGATCAACCCTTACCCTTAAATAGTGTGAGCTACAATCAGGCCATGAATTTCAAAATAAACAACAATTACTACTCTCATCTTTGATGACTACCCTTCCTTTCATCTCATGTCAAATAAGTTACTAAAAAAATGCAGAGTCTGGCTGGACACGGTGGCTCATGCCTGTAATCCCAGCACTTTGGGAGGCTGAGGTGGGTGGATCACTTGAGGTCAGGAGTTCGAGACCAGCCTGGCCAACAGGGTGAAATGCTGTCTCTAGTAAAAATACAAAAATTAGCTGGGCGTGGTGGTGGGTGCCTGTAATCCCAGCTACTTGGGAGGTTGAGGCAGGAGAATCACTTGAACCCAGGAGGCAGAGGTTGCAGTGAGCCAAGATCACGCCACTGCACTCCAGCCTCCTGGGTGATGAGAGAGAGACACCATCTCAAAACAACAACAACAACAACAAAAAGTAGAGTCTAGCCTGGGCAATATAGTGAGACTTTGTCTCTACCAAAAAAATTTACAAAATTAGCCAGGTGTGGTGGTTGGTGCGAGCCTGTAGTCCCAGCTACTCAGGAAGCTGAGATGTGAGGATCGCTTGAGCCCAGGAGGTCGAGGCTACAGTGAGCCATGATCATGCCACTGTACTCCAGCCTGGGCAGCAGAGCAAGACCCTGTCTCAAAAGAAAAAAAAAAGTAGTGTCTCCCTTTGGTCCCTTCAGTATAACAACCACATACCGAAACACTTACTATGTATCAAGCACAGTGTTGAGAACACTTTTCATTCTTTCTTTTTCTATTTCCAGTGGTATCATCAAGGTATAAGCCTTCATTACCTTTCAGCTAGAAAACTGAAACTAGATTGGTTACTCATAATATCCCTTTCTGCCTGCGTCCACTCCAATTCATCTTTTTGACAAATTCATTTTCTGAAATTATACAGCTCCAGTCATATGACCAGGCTGTTAAAAAACTCCAAGTTTTCTCAAATTAAATGCACTGCTTCACCTTGGCATTCGAGGTCCTCTACAATATGGCCTCAACCTACTTTTGTGATATTATCTCCCAACATTCTCTTACACATAGCCTTTTGTCAACCCAGGTTATTTCTTATTCCCTAAACTTTTTGTTTTTAAAATCAAAGTAATACATGCACATTGGTAATAAACAGTGGCAGAATAGCTTATGGTGAAAAGCAAGTCTCTTCTCACCCTCACGCCTAGACTTGAAAAAAAATTAGTTCTGCATCTACTTTGATAATTTCTTAATTTATTAACCTTAAGACAATGTCTACTGACTTAAGAAAGGTGAGGGACTTACTTACATTATGCCCCTTCACTTCATCATCTTCCTCTCTATTGTTTGGTAATTATATTACCTTTACATACACTTCTTATCTTTTCTCTGCTTTGGACAGAATCCTAACTCTTCCCTTTGCAAAAGGAGGCTAATAGTGCCCATATATTCTTCCTCTTAAACTTCTTCCCATTTGCTGCTAGCTGTATGTAATTTTATTAATATTAAAGCTATTAATTTTAAGAAAATTAACATTTCCTGAGTTAATGGGCGCAGCACACCAACATGGCACATGTATACATATGTAACAAACCTGCACATTGTGCACACGTACCCTGAAACTTAAAGTATAATAATAGAATAAAATAAAATAAAATAAAGAAAAAAAAAAGAAAATTAACATTTCCTCCTGCAGCCACAACCAAATCCTTCATGCTCTCTCTATAGCCTGATTCTAAAGTTGAAAGCCTATAGACAACAGCATCCACATTATCATGACAATATATGGTTCAAATGAAGGCTAGGTAATATACTAAATTTCCTTTTATATGGGCCCATAACAACGACTCCCAGGCCAATCTGAGGGGACTTAAAAAAAAAACAAAACTTCATTAAATGTTTAAATTCATGATAAATTTTACTTTGATTCCCATTTGGATCATGAATTTATCATGCACTTTTCTATTTTTTCCTATTTTTAACAGCCTTCCACCATTCTTGGGGAAAGGGAAAAGTAATTTGACCACTATTCTTAATGTTTTCTTAGCCCTTAGCAATATTTTCCTTTCTTCTGAGAGCTCCTTTCTATCCTGGAGACCTCTCTTACCCTCCCATCGGGATTGGTGGTTCTGTAGGCCCGCTGCACAGCTATCATCTTGGGATAGGTCTTCAGTGATTTTCTGGTTGAATTCACTGTTTTCAGTTTTCTATGTCTCTTTCTTAGATTACCCCCTTGTAACTTCCAAAGAAAGGTGATGTGGAAGAAAACTTTCTGAACCTCACACATCTGTAAATGTTGTTATTTTGTCTTCCCATTTGTATAGTTTGGCTTAGTACCAAATTCCAGAAGAAAAATAATCTTGGCTCAGAACTTTGACACCATAGATCCATTGCCTTCTAGCATCCAGTTCTGCTGATGAGATGGGTGATGCTAGTCTAGTCACACTTTTTGGTAGGTCTGGTTTTTCCTTCTGGAAGCTTTAAAGATTTTCTCTGTCCTTGTGTTTCTGAAATTCCCCAATAGTGAGATAAATAGGGTCTTCTTTCCTTCAGAATGCCAGATGCTTGGTGAACCTTTATAATCTAAAGACCTGAATTCTTTAACTTTGTGGGGAATTCTAACATATCTTTGATAATTTCCTTCCACCCATTTTTCAGGGCTTCTCTTTTTGTGACTCTTCTACTAGTTGAATATTGTACGTCTGAAATGGAATCCTTTATGTCATTTTTTTCTCCTATTTTCTGTTTCCACTTTTTTTTCTTTTTTTCTTTTTTTTTTTTTTTGAGACAGGGTCTCACTCTGTCACCCACGCTGGAGTGCAATGGTGCGATCTCAGCTCACTGCAGCCTCAACCTCCTGGGCTCCAGTGATCCTCCCACCTCAGCCTCCCCAGTAGCTGGAACTACGGGCATGTGCCACAACACCTGGCTAATTTTTTGATTTGTTTGTAGAGACAGGGTCTCAACATGTTGCCCGCCTGCCTTGGCCTCCCAAAGTGCTGGGATTACGGGAATGAGCCATCATGTCCAGCACTGTCTCTACTTTCTAAGAGACTTTCTTGACTTTATCTTCCCACTTTCATACTAAATTTTTTATCCTGGCAAATCTTAAAGTACATTTTCAAGTGTTCCTTTTCTTAGTGTGTGTGTGTGTGTGTGTATGTGTGTTTTAAAAAGCATCTTCCTCCACTCCCTACTCTCTTCCCCCCAAAACAGATGCAATCATTTCAAACCTCTTTAGGGATACAAACAGGGATTTATAAAATATTTTTCTAAATCAGGACTCAGAGAGTACGGAAAATACTCTTGAGGGTAGAGAGAAAAGATCAATTCCTGTGGCAAGTTTGGCATTGGCTCAAGTTTCAAAAACCTGCCACTGTTTTATCCTGAACACGCTTTTCTGTTCCTTCTAAGTTTAAATTTCATAAGACTTAAATTTTTACTAATCACACCAGCAAACTATTTTCTATCTACTTTATATATATGGAAAATTACAGTAGTATAATAGGCAAAATATCCTGGGTTGAGATCTCAATGCCCAGATTGTACTTAATGTCACCAGGTCATGGGACCATGACTATTTTAGAAATGAATCTAAGGTTCAACCAGGACATAATACTAATGCTTGGGCAATCTTGGACAACAGGTAGGAAAGCAACAATGTACTTTTCTAGCTCATACTTGGAATCTAATGAGATGGATGCAGAAAGGAATATCAGATTTCCAAGGGCAGTGATAAGCCAAGAACAGACTGACATGTGCATGTGACAAACATATCTTATGTCACTAAATCACCTGTTACTGAAATAAATCTGTCACATGAAAACATAAAATTATAGTTTGACTTGACATTTTGTAAAACTGTATTTTTGCCTATAAGTACATGGTAAAGCAGCTATATTAATAGTTTTATGGAAAAATATTATGTTAATAAACTGGAACACAGATATAAATTATATACATTCTAATTATTCTGTGAGGCTCACATATTTTTACATTCTCTGGCACAACTGTTTTTTAAATGATAAATGGATATCTGTCCATTCATTACCACAAAAAACTTACTTTGTGCATTTAAAAACAGTAATAATAAATTCCATGCTATTATTTTTACAAAGACTGTTGATTTGATAAGCAAAAGTCTGACTGTGGGCAAAATTTTCAGGATGGCAGCAGATCTACATCACGTCTTCTTTCATTCTTCCTACATTTCCACCCCTTTCAGACATTTGCCACCTCCCTCAGCCTAGGTGTTCAATACCCTTAAGCTATGTACGGGAATTCACTAATTCATTCATCCATCCATTTAAACATTTATTTTTGAGTACCTGATACATGCTAGGTACTCTTCTAGGCGCTGGGATATACAATAAGTCAAATGGACCAAAAACTTTGCCGTTTTGACAACAGACCAAATAATAATAATAGGTAAATAAAGGTTAGAACATGATAAATACTATGAAGAAAAGATATTGAGTTGAGTAAAGAGATGAGAATAGCAGATATGGAAAGGGGGGGGTTGTAATTTTCAATAAAGAAGTCAGGGCAGGCTTTATTAAGAAGATGCTATTTGAGAAAGACCTGAGGGAGGTGAGAAAGTCAAGCACCTGGGGGAAAAGCATTCCTGGGAGAGGGACAAGCCAGTACAAAGGCCACAGCAGGAGCACACCTGGACACTAGAGTTTAAATCAGAGAGTATGAAAGAGAGGTAGAGAAGAATGAGGTCAAGAGAGAACTAAAATTCAGGCGGCTCTCCTGCTTTTGCTTTTTCCTGAATGCCTGGTCCCAGTGAAAATGTTTCTGATCTATGACATACTCTGTTAGGACCATTCCTTTTTGTTGGAAGGCCATTCAAATTATGGGCCAGGTATTGTACTAGGTGTTAGAGATACTAAGACAATTTACCTGGATCTCAAAGATTTATTATTAGATAAATATCTGTTGAGATATGACCCCTGATGGATAAAACAAAGTCAGTTCAGTTGAAACATATACTTTTACAATTCTGTAAAGAGTGTCATTTTGGACATCATGGAAAAATGAAGAGAAAATTTATGGGCAGGTGGATCTTTTGGTGTCCCTCAGTCACACAAAAAGCCACCCAGTTTATTTCCCAGGACCAACAAAACGTCCTTAGGTTTATACCTCAATGGTCTTTAAGGTCCACTCTTTAGTGGGGAAAAAATAATCTAATGTTTCCTTTTCAAGTTGTGAGAGAAAAATATCATTTTGATCTTAAAATGTAAAAAGGATTAAAGAAAAGAAACTGAAATTAATATTGTCTATTTGAATTATCGAAAACCTAATATTGTAACATGCTAACTAAGAAAACAAACTGAGAGATATTAACTGATTTCAAAGAATGATTCAACATTTGGCATTATGCCCTGCCTTGTATACATAATTTCCTTTTTCCTCCCCTCCCCTGAGTCAGGAAGTGTGTTCTTGAGGCATTTGTATTTTCTAAATTGTTTTGAATGCCAGAAAATATTACTGAAGCTTGAAGTAAAATATTTAAATGTTCCTTGGTAAAAGTCAATAAGTACTTTCTAACTATGGATGTGTAACCATTTTTTGTTGTACCATAAAAAAGACCTTACAAATGAAAAATGCATACTTTATTTGCCCCTTAAATGTCATTCTAAATTAAACTATCACCCTTTATATAGATACCTATAGTTCTATAACATGTAGTTTTATTTTAAAAAGATATGTTAACCTCTTTGTAGATGATCAAGATACATAAAAATTATTTTGCTGTGACACAAAATTAGGCTGGTTATTCAAGCCATGGTGTGAAACTATGTATTAATATATTCTAGATTACAATCTGACTGAATTCAATTTACTTCATTTGCTGATGGAATGATAAATAAGCTCAACATTTTTCATTTAACCAAATTCTTTAAGAGAGCTTTAAGCTCTTATAAGTCAGCTCCTTTTATCTATGTTTGAGAAAACAGCAAGCTGGTTCTCCAGATTAACATTTCTAATCACCGCCACAAAGAGCAGAGTTTTCTCCCAATCTGGAATCCCGATCAGCAAATTTAATTCTCTTTAAAGAGCTGCTGGATAGCACAATTCTCATGGCAAAATATCAAGTTGATTTTGGCAGGATTGTAGATTAAATATATTGCAAATTAACATCCACTAAGCCCATTTTAACAGAATAATTCTTTGAAAATTGTTCCTACTCTAAGTCAGATAAAATTACTTGCTTAAAGTTACTTAAATATGGAGTTGCTTAAAAACTTCCAAGTTTTTACAGGAACCAATTTCCACCAAAATGTGATTTTAAGTTATTGACTGCTTAAAATAACATACTCTCCTACCCACTAAAGTTGTTTTCATTATAGTAATCTCCTAAATATTAGCAATTTTGCAATTCTGTTTATGCCTGGTTTAATTTTGAGAGTTACAGTCATTTGTTTTACTATACAAAATTACAAACACTAGCAAGATAAAAATTACTCTAGCACTAAAAAAAACAAAAACAAAAAAACAACGTAAAAGTCAGTTGACAAAATATACAGAGTTGAAATGTATAATACACATAACTGGCTTTTAGTAAACAGAGCTATTATCCTTTAAAAGTTCTATCAAAACAGGTTTTGAATTTTGAAAAGCTGCTTTAAAGAACATATAAAACGAAATAACTAATTACTGTAATTATAGTTAGCTCCAACTAAAACATTTTATTCTATAAAAGAAGCTGAACAGAGCTTACCTGTATAGAGCGAACACGAAAAGACAAAAATTTAAACATGGCTACGAAACCATGATGGTGATAAAAGAATTTCTGACGGTAAAACTTAAGTTAGAAAGGGAAGGCCAAGCCCCTGCAAAGTTTTCTCCTACCAGCTGTTCCGGCAATTAGAAAATTTCCTGTCAGGCGGGTCCTGAAAATGCTAGAAAAAGAGGCCGGACAATTTTCCTGTGGTAAAAGAAAGAAGAAACCTGCCGGCAGGGGCACTAATGTAGCTGGATAGGTAGGGAGGCCAGAATAGGAAACCAAAACAGATTTGCTGATAGCCAAATCCTGTTGAAATATTCTTTTCTCCTAGTTCCCAGCAATCCGGACAATTTTCACAACCAGTGAAACAAACGTTATTATTTTAGAATCCTGAGAAATGCCAGAATTTCTTAACTATATGACCCTTTAAAACAACTGAAACTAGTTGCCACTACTAAAAGTTGCTAAACTGATGCACAAGTGGAATTTGACCCTTTGCAGTGTGTTTATACACACACTCAAGCCGTGGTCTCAAGATAATTTTAAGGTTATACACAGGCATGTCATGGGTGTTCCCTGTCAATGAGGAAGAGTTTCATAACTATAGGTAGAAAATGAAGACCACAGGCAAGAAACTTTTAAAATTGTGATGTAAGGACAAATGCTACCTGTCTTAAATGAAAGTAAATTACTTTTGAATTTATGTTAGTCATAAGCATTAATTATCAACCAGGTTAAAGACTTAAAGGCCCATAGTTAAAAACTCACATTCCTAGTTGATAAAATATAAGTTAAAAAAAAGAAGTCCAATCCTTGGGTTATTAGCAAAATGAAACACTTAAGAAGCCATGTTGGAAAAGAAGGAGGGGTCAAGCTACCATATAATCCCTTACTCCATTTCATTTCATCCTCTAATACGTTATAGAAGTTTTTCTAAGGTATTTTTACTTTGGAAAATGACAGGTATGCCAATATTCAGAACATAATCACTGTAATAGTGGTATTTAAAACAACCGAAGGACAACAGCTTCAAGAGTTGTGGGATAATGCTCTGCTTAATGAACATTTAATCTATGTGGAACCAACAAAAACCTCAAGTGTTAATCTGCACAGCCTGTAAGAATTTAATAAAAGCACGGAATTTTCAAAATCTAAAGACACTCTAGAAAATACCAAGAATAATCAGCTCACTTTCTGGATGAAGAAACTGTGGTCAAGGTAGGCCCATATTTGGTGATAGAGCTATCTATAATGGGAGTTCAGTTTAGTACCCATTTATTGAGCAAACATTAGAGAGACCATTTTGTGCTACAGATTCTACATGAAAAGCCAGGGCTCTTCCTCCTCTATCAAATTTTTATGAAAATGTTCTATAAATGACCTAATGGAAGTTGAAGAGTAACTAAAAAAAAAACCTTGCTCAATTTAAAAAATTATCTTATACAATCAAATACATTAGCAGCAACAGGGACCCAAATAAATATCTAAGATAGAACTTTGAATTCCGCCCGGAAAACTGTGCACTCCTCTTGTTTAAAAACGCATGCTTCAGTTTTTCAGCAAGGCAGACACTTAGGAACTCTCCCATCTCCCAAAAGGAATTACTTAAGACTCCTTACAATGGAGCTCCAAAAGGGCAGCAAGGCTAGGACAACCGCCTAACACAGAATGGCAGTCTGAACATGAGGTGGCTCTTGAGACTATGTCAGGAAAAAGCATCATCTTTACTGCACAACTCATGAAGTAGGATATCTCTGTTAAGTAGCAGTCATTGACTTTATTCAAGTAATATTTTTAAACATGAGCAACCAAATACCCTTTTTTAAACTTAAAGGATTAGTGAAAATTGGCTTTAATTACTACCAGTGCTCAGGTTAATAATTCACATTTTGCGTGTGTTATGGTTTTTAATAATCAGCACTAAAATGAAGCAATATTTCAGACACCAAAATCTGAAATAAGTCTCCAAGTTGAAATGATACCTTAATTAAAACAGTGTGGTACTGCTGTAAAACACAAATAGAGTGACTGAAAAGAATGTGGCACTGTACATCAGAGGGAGATGTTAGGATATATGGCTACCTGTTTGGAGAATGCAGACACCATAAGGGAAAGTATTAATACAGATTTGATTATAAAATTTTAAAAGGTCTTTACATCAAAAGGCACCAAAGTTAAAAGACTAGCTCATGTGATTGGAATTCCTTATAATCACATTACAACTCATCAATGAGCAATTGCTTTATTCAGGTGTTATCTATCTCCTAACCAGAATGTGAGCTCTTGAAGTCCTTTGGTACATCTCTTATGGTATTTATTACTGTTTAAGCACATCCCATTGCCAGATTAATCTTGAGATTAATACCAAATATCACACATAAGACCTCAAATAAATGGCTGCCTTAATAAATATCATATGCTGAAATCTGAAATGGATGCTACTTGTGTGGTTGTGCACATGAAACTAGATACTGTTCTTTTTTTCCATCTCTAAAATTTCTTAAACTTTATCTCACTAAAGTTTTGTTTTAAACATTTTATTGATTTAATCATTTACCTTATTATTTAAAAAGTAACTACTATTATAAAAATAATGGATGCCCATTGTAGAAAACTTAGATAATAAACAAAAAGGGAAAAAATTTAAAAAAATCACTATTTTGGTGATTTTCTTTCCAGTCTTTTCTATGCACATATATGGACCATACTACACATAGTATCACTTTTTCTGTAAAGGGACAGATAGTAAATATTTTCAGCTTTGCAGGACATACGGTTTCTGTCAACTCTGCCAGTGCAGTGAGAAAACGAATGGGTAAGGCTGCGTTCCAATAAAACATCTTTTACAGAAACAGGTGACAGGCCCATGAGTGTAGTTTGCTGACCCCTGTTCTCTAATCTTCAATGCATTATTAAGAACTGTTGAAAATTCTATTATACAAATCTCCTATTGTTGGGTCTTTGCTCTACACGATGGTCTGTCCCATCCTTTGTACACATTCACATTTAGAAATAATTTCTAGAAGTAGAACTGTACATTCAAGAGTATGCAGCATTAAGGTTTTGGATCCTAACTTATTTGGCACGTTGTCCTCCAGGAAGAACCTGAATAATAAGGAAGGAACCACATCAAGACCTTGGGCAGGGGTAAACTACAGCCAGGCCTGGCCAGCCTAAGGGCCAAATCTGCCCATGTCCATCTCTGTTTAAATATTATCTTCAACTGTGTTTGCCCACAATGGCTACCGCCGAGTTGAGTATTTGCAAGAGAGATCATATGGCCTACAAAGTCTAAGATATTTATTTACTATCTGGCCCGTTATAGACAAAGTTTGCTGACTCATGGGGTAGAGTCCTCAAACAGAATGAACAGCAAATGCCAAAGCACAGAGATAGGAATTAGCTTAATGAATTCAAGACACAAAGGAAAGGCCACAGTGGCTAAAATGCAATGAACATCAAGGAAAGAGGAAGGAAATGAAGAGGTTTAGGGCCATATTAAGTGAGGCCTTAGACCCAAGAAATTTGGGTTTGGATTTTATTTCAAGTGTAATGGGAAGCTAATCTTGCTCATTTTAGGCAATGACATTATTACCTATCTCAAAAACCTATGAGTCCTTTCTGGTCTTTCCTTTCTTATCTAATTTCCTTCCTTTCATATTTAACCCCTCAATAAATTCTACTAATTTTATCTCAAAAATAAACCTAAAATCTGTCTATTTCTATTTCCTCTGCCATTCCCAGTACAAACTATCATCTATTGCCATAAGACTGGTTTCTCTGCTTCTAAATTTTCCCTGTGAAATCCTTTATCTTCACAGCAGCCAGAATAATCTTTTTTTTGTCAGAAATTTTTATTTATTTAAAGAAATAACATTGGTTATTGACTAGACATATATCATTATGGTTTAGGGTATGAGATATAGTGTCCAATGCGGTATCATTAGTTTAATAACAGCAGCCAGAATAATCTTAAAACAGAAAGCAGACTAATTTATGCCCCTACCTCAAATTCTTCAATGGCTTCCCATCACAGAACAAACTCCAAACTTCCCATCGTCTACAGAGCTTAAAGTAAGCAGTAGTAAATGCTATCTTGATCCTGACTTGGAGATACACTCACTAATTCATTCAGACATAATGTGAATATTTGGTTTTAGATATATAGTGTTAAAGTCTATTTCCTCTTTACTAAAAGAGGAATGAGTGCTAAGTTTTGTGTAATGTCTTTTTATCTATTAATATTGTCACTTAATTTTTCTTCCTTTGATCTACTGATAACTTAGACAAATAAATTTCTTAATATTGACCTATGCTTGTATTTCCGGGAAAAATCCATTGTTTTAGTATAATTCTATACGTAATTTGTAAATATTTTATTTAGGATTTTTGCATTTATATTCATAAATTAAACTGGCACATGGTTTCCTTTTCTATGCTAACTCATTTTCGGGACTATGCTAATTCTATAAAACAAGAAGGCAAGGCAGATTTTTTCCTATGTTTTGGGACAACTTAAAGACCACAGAGTGATCTATTTCTTGAAAGTTTAGAAGATTTTTCTCTTAAGAAATCACTGAACTTGGCATTATAAGGGTGGACGGAAAGTGTGGTAGTGCTAATTTTTTAAGATTTCAACTTCTCCCAAGGCTATTGGTATACTGTTTCTCTCTCCCTTCCCAAATTTAGATTTTCCTAAAAAAGCATACATTTCACCAACTTTCATATTGGTATACTGTTACACTTAGTATTCTATTAAGTTTTTGAAATTAAACCTAAGGAAAATTCCAACCATATGCAAAAGTAGACAGAATAGTATAACCTTCATGTGCTCATCACCTAAGTTTAATAATCTTCAACTCACAGCCAATCTTGTTTCATATGCTCACTTCCCCAACTCCTGTAGTTGATTATTTTGAAGCAAATCTCAGACGTTATATCATTTTATCTGTAAATATTTGGGTTGTTATGATGTTTTAATCTCCTTCCTATCTGTGCTTATATCCTGTTTTGCTTTCCTAATGTTGTGGATTTGCTTTTGTGTGTTTTCCCTTGTTTTCTAATTCGCTGATTTTTGAAATTATATTTAATTCCTTCCTCTTGCTTTTTATAGGTTTACTTTGTAGTTCTTTTTTTCTAGTTTCCTTCACTGAGTCCTTAGTTGCTTTGAGTTCTCTTATTTATTAATAAAGTTTTCTTTCAAGTATAACAATAACATTTAAGATACTACTATATTCTAGGCACTGTGCTTTACATGAAATTATCTCAGCTGATTCTCACCAATGAGGTAGGAACTATTATCCACACTGGATGAAACAGACTAAGGCTTAAAGAGAAGTTAAATAATCTGCTGCCCAAGTTCTTATAGTTTGGATGTGGAAGTGGTCATGATGTTGGTGGACGCATAACCAGGTAATTTGGTTTGGGGAAGGAGAGTGCACATGAATGGTCGGTGACTGACTTAGGTAAAAAAACAGGAGGTGCTGAACCTTTTCATCAGACCCCAAAGGAAGAGGGCTGAGTATGGGGACTGTGACAGAGTTCCTGAAAACTTTTCTACACCATACATAACACCTGTCTGGCAAAACCCCAACCATGATAAAACCCAATTATTAACCATCCTCATGACCCCATGATGACTGAACCCTGTTGAAAAAAAAATCGACCCATACGACAAAAACTTAAAATTAACATGTTCTTAATTGATTCCACTGGATACTTTTTTGTGTGTGGATCATTCCTTTTTTCAGACACTAAAAGATTTAATTTATAAGGATTTCCATCTAAGTGCAGGACAGTTAATTTTTTTAAGCACACATCCATCAATAGACAGTGTTATAAAGTGGTAAAAGCCTAAGGTTTTAAACCAGAAATGGGAAATAAGTTTCATGAAGATGATCAACTTGAAACAAATGGTAGTGTCTTCCTAGAGCACTGAGCGGGATTTCCTAGAGCACTTTCAAAGTCCTGTCTAAATGGAAAGCATGCTATGTTTCACTCACAGAATCTCCCGTCGGCATGAAGAGAGGGTGAGAGGCAGCAGCACCATAGCCCCAGGTCTGAATTTTGCAGTAAGTTACAATATACCCTAGGTGGTATCACTTCTCTTCCTGTCCACACATTTTTTTTCTTGCTTAGCCTGAAGTTCTTTTTACTTAGTCATGCTTGTCTAAAATAGTTAAATTAAAATACTCATTTAGGTAAAGGGGTTACAACTTTCCATATGCCAGTATTTCAGGTTGACTCAACCAACCAACCATTCATACTTGAACATAATTAAGTCACTTTGCTTTCTTTCAAAATATGGATGAGATCACTGAAACTGAAGGAATGGGTATTGTGATGAATATACTAGAACAGAAGAGAAGCAATTTTGGGTCAGAGGCACCATAGGAGGGAAGGTAAGCCATGATAAAAAGGGGAGGTTTTTTTTTTTTGTTTTTTTTTTTGTTTTTTTTTTTTTTAAGCTCTTAGGGGTGGAGGAACAGGACACTAGGAAGTGAAAAAATAGCCCTGAAAGACAGCCAAAAATGTAGCAAAGGGAAACCTTTGCCTGTGCTTGGAAATTTTCCTGGTGTATACACCCTATTTAATTCCACCATGCAGTACTAATTATACTGCTATTTATCTCAGAAATATTTTCCTAAGTGGTATATACTTAAATCTACTAGGGTATTTTCCCCCAAGCTCTGAGTACTCAAATACACTCTCAACCAATGAGAGTTAGAACGGCAGACAATAAACAATCAGTCAATAAGTGTTATTAATATACCATGGTACAAATTTTCCCTGCCAATGAGCACTCTATTGTATTTTCCTGTGTTGAGTGAGTAATTCACTGCCTATTGTCTACTCTGCTAGGGCTTCTCTTTCCACAGTTTGTGTTTGAACCATGATGGCTGTAATAGGTGTGCAATGGTATGCTGTTAACATGGCTGTTAAGGATCATTTTGGATGCTCAAATGCAAGTTTTAAGGCAACTTTGTGTGAAGTAAAAGTTTTTACTTCAGTTAAGTAAAGACAGGAAAAGGCTGAACCTTTAGAAAGCCAGAAGAAAGGATAACAGCATTAAAATGCCAGAAGATGGAAAAGAAGTGGGGCCGAGTATGGTGGTTCATGCTTGTAATCCCAGCACTTTGGGAGGCTGAGGCAGGTGGATTACTTGAGGTCAGGAGTTTGAGACCAGCCTGACCAACACAGTAAAACCCCATCTCTAAAATACAAAAATTAGCTGAGTGTGGTGGCATGTGCCTGTGATCCCAGCTACTTGGGAGGCTGAGGCAGGAGAACTGCTTGAACCTGGGAGGCGGAGGTTGCAGTGAGCCACTGCACTCCAGCCTGGGTGACAGAGTGAGACCCTGTTTCCAAAATAAATAAATAAATAAATACATAAATAAGAAGTAGATCTAAGATACGGGAGACAGGCAGATAGCAGGGCAAATAACAAAGGGCAAAAGAAGAGATTAAGTGTGTGAAGAACAGAAAAATCCAGCCAGAACAGAATGGCTCTATCACAAATAGAAACCAAGGGGATATGTTCAAGAGACATCACAGGATTAACTCCATACACTAAGAAGGTCTGAGTGACGGTATTTAATGTTCAGGAGAAATCGGGCTCTCCTTTATGACTATCCTTTTAGTCAAACTGATTTAGCTATCTCCAACACATCTCACTTTTCCTCCCTTTGACTTTTGTTTACACCATTTTCCCATAAAAGTGCATTTACCCAAATGTTGACATTTACTTCTCAAAAATCCTGTACCTATTTTTTAAGAATCAGGTTAAATTTCATGCCTTCTGTGAATTTTTGCCTGATCACACCAGTTACAACTACTTTTTAAATTTCACTTGAATTTTTATCAAAGGCTTTATAAAGGGTCAAAAAGCATTTCAAGGCTTGTAATGAGAAAGCAGCAATATATATGCTCTTGGTACCCTTTCAGTTCTTTTCATTGTTCCCTCTGGTATTTGCCTTTATGTGATAAATAATAACCTTATAATACTTTCTCTTGATTCATCAATTTCAGATATTACCTTTAGACACCCTATTACAGATGACTTGGCACTCATATCACAGATTTTGGTTAAATCAATATTTAGTCTTTACAATTATTATGACTATGTAAACACTGCTCACTGCCGAGGTAAAGAATATACTTTAGTTACATCTCTTGTGTACAATTTTTGTTTTTCCTTAAGTTTACAGTTGCTTTGTTTTTTAATTTGCTTTTATTTTCTTTGTACCTATTTCAAATTCTTCCTACTCTGCAACAGCCTCTCAAGTGAATTTTCAATACCCAAGTCTATTTAGATTCATCACTTCTATTCCCCCACCTCTTCCCCCAATCCTGTTCCTGGAGGCAGCATTCTTGAAATTATCTGTCTTCTTCAATCTGGACTGAGTACTCTCTAAGCTTACTGAATGAACTAGTCTTCTGAAGCTTCCTTTAATCATCATAATGGGAATAAACTTTCATCATGCTTGTAGTACTGGATCTTTTGTTGCCAAATCCCATGTCTCTCTTACTTAGTTAATAACCCTCTAGTGTTGGCAGAGCCCATTTTCCAGCGACTTCCCAAAATAGGTCCATATCTGAAAATATCTTGGCTGAAAATCATTTTCACTAAGCATTTTAAAGGCGTTGCTCCTTGTTTTCTAACTTTTGATGCTGAAAAGTCTAATATTCTTCTATCCAATCTTTTATATAGGATTAAAAAAATCTCTAAAAGCTTTTAGGGTCTTCCCTTTATCACTAGTGTTTTGATATTTCAGAGATGAGCCTTCTTGAGAGTAGGGCTTTTTAAAATTTCTCTCATTAATAGGCTTTCAGAGGGACGTTGTAATCTGGAGACTCATGGTCCTCATTTTGGAAAATTGCTTTTTTTTTTAAAATTTGGTATTTTAGTATTCCACTTAATCTAAAAGCATGATTATCACTATACCATTATGAAAGAAAAGATGCTGTCAATTAATATATGTCATACTATGGATTATAATAACCATTCTGATTTCAGAGATATTACAACGTAAAAAAAAATGTTTCTTATGGTATTTCTTTCCTGCTTTCTTCCCCTTCATTTCCTCTATTGTCTCTTTCTGGAATTCCTATTAGTTAGATGTTAGATTGCTCTTCTTTCTTTTTCTCTCCTACTTTCTACCTCTTATTGTTCTACTTTTTGAGAGCTTTCCTCAATTTTAGTTTGTAAATGTTCTACTAAAATACAAAACATTCCTATTATATTTTTAACTTCTAAGAGTTTCTTCTTTTATGATTTCTTTTTTATGGCAAGTTACTTTTTCTTGGGGAATCAATTTTGTCTCAACACTCAGAGGACACTAATTAAACTTGCTTTTTCCCTGCATTGTTTGTTCCTCCAAGATCTCATTCTTTTATACTGGAAGACTTCCTCAAATAACTGGTGATATTTGGCTTTCCATAAATATTTGCGTGAGGCATTAGGAAGTGGCCTGGAAGTTATTGGCTTGTCAACTGGGAGGCTTTCTTATAGGTTAACTAGCCAACCAGGCAGCTTTTACACTAAAGGTCTCCCAAAGGACAGTATCTGACATTTCTTCAGTCACAACGCTCATCCTCCTTCCTGGAGGATATGGTCCCTAGTGGTTGGAATGGGACCAGGTCACCATTCAGTAATAGGTTTTCACTTGACCTCCCTGTTTCCAGCCCAGTGCCTTACCCTACTTCTTCCTGTGTCCAAGGTGCCCAAGTATACAGCTTCTCTGGTTTTCTCTGTGAAATATCTTCTGTCTCCAGAGGAGAGAGGATCTAGAAACTCTTTATATCAATATTCAACCAATCTCTGTTTTCAGCCCCATGCCATACGTCCATGTTCCACAGTACCTGGCGACCCCATTTTTGAGCTCTTCTGAGGCTCTGGGGGCCTTGAATAAGACTTGCTCACCATTAGGATATTCCTCTAAAATCACTTATGTTCTATTAATTTCATCTTGTTACCACTCTTCTATCTGCTTTTCATATTTATATCTTGTGGTTCAAGTTACAGATATCTTCTGATTTCAAAGACCAAAGTTCTGATTTCTTATTCTCCTTGTTGTTTTGGGCGGTAATTTCCCAGAGAAGAAGAGGACAAAAACAACTTTATTTTGCCATTTTTAAAGCTGCAAGTTTCCCTTATATGCTTCTGTAACAACGAATGTAGCAGAGTACTTGGCACCTAATAGACATTCATTAACTACTTTGTTAGTGAATGACTAGATGTAGTTAGAATATGGACTAAGCTACTATAAGAAAAAGATCCCCAAATGCGACAACTCAAACAAAGTAAGTGCCTTTTTTTTTTTCCCCTCACAGAGCAGTCCATAGGTTAAGAGCATACTTTTGGGTGAAGAGGTGTCACTAGACCATTAGGTCATTAAGGGACCCAGATTTCTTATTATCCACCTTCTCTACTGTCTTGTCCTAGTCGAAAGTGGCTTATCATTACATTCTGCATTGTAGCCCATGGAAAAGGGGCCAATGAACCTGCAAGAAAGCCTACCAGCTGACGACCTCCATACATAAATTTATTATCTCACAGTTTTGGTGGACCAGGAATCTGGGCCAGCAACCATGTGAGCTTAGAAGCAGATCCTTCCCTAGTCAAGTTTCAGATGAAACTCTACCCCTGGTCCACACCTTAATTTCAAGTCTGAGAGAGCCTCTGAACCAAAAGATGCGGCTAAGCTCTGCCCAAATTGCTGGTCCACAGAAACTGGGAGATAATAAATGTGTGTAGTTCTAAGCCACTAAGTTTGGAGTAATTTGTAACACATCAAATAGATAATACAACATCTCAACGTTCCCTATGTAAATTATTAGTAGTTGACAAAAGGAAAACTTTTAATTATATATAAAAAGCAAATACAATTTTAAATTATAAGGTTAATAAATATTTTGACAATCTTTTGTATTTAATATCATTAAATAAATATTAAATACCAGGCTTTTATCTGACACCTAAGCCTAATTTGTATAATCTGGAATGATCTGCTCAACAGTCTCATCCACATTGCTGGTAGTATCTTAGTCCTGCATCTTTCTGACCTGTCTCTAGAATGCAGGTTCTTGCAGATGTAAATGCTACTAAAGCCATGAGTAGGAGAAAGTACAAACCATTTAACATCACAATGGAAAATGCTTTTAGACTACAGAGAATAAAAAATTTGGAGGTTTTCCTTCTGATTGTTTTTACATTAGCTTACATGTAAATATATATACTACAGACTAATGAAGTAAACTGCCTCAAATGGTTTTGGAGAGGGTAGGAATCTGAAGGTAGCTCAGGGCACTAGGCCCCATGCCTGGGTCCCTATGCTAGCTAAAACTTAATCCATTCATTCATTTAATTAACAAATACTTATTGAACACCAACTGGGTACTGGGCACAGACATAAAACAAGGAATAAGTCAGACTTGGTCACTGCCTCATTCAATTCACAGTTTAGTAGGGAATATAGACCAAGTAAATAAGCAATGGAATCTGGTATGGTGTTGCCATTTAAGGTATGCATAGGCTCCCGTGGCAGCAAAAAGGAAAAACACTTAACTCAAGGTCAAAGTGGAAGTGGTAGTTGTAAAGGGAAGACATCTCAGTTGAAATGACATCTAAACAGATCTGAAAGATGACCAGGAATTAAGTAGTGGGGATGGCGGTAAGGGAAAAGAATTCTGGGAGAAGGAACATTGCCTTTGAAAGCCCATAAGCAAAAGAGAAGCTGATACATTTGAGTGACTGGACTTTCAGTAGAGGGTAGAGGTGTGCGGCTAGAGAGGATGTGGAGAGAAGTATGCAAAACCTTATTATGCAGGGCCTGGTAGGTCATGTTATGGAGGTTGGGTTTTTATTTAAAGGAACCATAAAACTATGGAGGTGTTTTAAGCAGAAGGTTAAACTGATCTTATTCTTCCACAACTGACATAACGTTCATGACAATTTGTTTGATTTCTGAAAAGTTAACACTCCTAAGATGCTAAAAAACAGATAGAAACACCTAACATTTTAAATATACATACGCAATAACCAGATGGAAAACATAGCAGAAAAAAAATCCCACTTATGACATAACAAAGACTATACAACTATAAAATACCCATAATTTGTCTTAACAAATGCACAAGAACTGTATGTAAAAAACTATAACTTTTTTTTTTTCAGACAGGGTCTCACTCTGTTGCCCAGGCTGGAGTGCAGTGGCATGATCATAGCTCACTGCAGCCTCAAACTTCTGGGTTCAAGTGATTCTCTGCTTCAGCCTCCCAAGTAGCTGGGACCACAGCATATGCCACCATGCTTGGCTTATTTTTAAACCTGTAGTAGAGACAGGGACTTACTATGCTGCCCAGGGTGGTCTCGAACTCCTGGGTTCAAGCGAACCTCTTGCCTCAGCCTCCCAAAGTGCTGGGATTACAGGCATAAGCCAACACACCCAGCCAAGAAACCATAAAATTTTGATAAAGAATGTAAAAGAAAATCAGAAAGAATGAATGTTCCTGAATGTGAAGACTCAATATTGTTAAAATAATTTTTCATGTTAATCTGTAAATTTAAGGCAATTCTCATAAAAATCCCAATAAATTTTTCAGAAGTACTTGATGAACTGATTGTAAAGTTTATCTGGAAGATTAAATGTGTAGGACTACATTTATAAGACTACATATAAGACTTTTTACAAAAGTAAAAAGGTGGGAAGGCTTGCTTTACCACATTTAAAAAAACATATAATAAAATGACAGTAATTGAAAAAGTATGTAAAGTCAAAATATTCAGGGGGATTGTGGGTTGAATTGTGCCCTCCAAAAAGGTATGTTCAAGTAATCCCCGGTAACGGTGAATGTGACCTTATTTGAAACCAGTGTCTTTGCAGATGTAATTAAGATGAAGTCATATTGGAGTGGGATGGTCCCAATCCAATGACTAGTGCTCTCATGAGAAGAGGGAAATTTAGACACAGACACAAACAGAGAGATCATCTGATGCCCGAGGCAGAGAGTGGAATGATGTATCTACAAGCCATGGAATGCCAAGGATTGCTGGCAAACACCAGAAGCTGGAATAGGCAACAAAGGAACCTCCCCGAGAGCCATCTGTTGTTTTAAACCACCCAGTTTGTGGTAATTTGTTATGGCAAAGCAGGAAACTGATACAAGGGGTATAAGGCAATTTTATACATGATAAAAGAGGTATCTCAAATGAGTAGGGAAATAATAGATTTTATTTATTCAATAAATAGAGGTTAGGATAACAGGCTATCTATTTGGAAAGAAAAGTTAGATTTCTACCTCATACCAGGTACTAAATTCCAAGTGGATCACAGATCTAAATGTAAAACAAAACAAAAAACACCAAAAAACTATAAAAGATCAAAATGTAAAAGGATTATTTTTGTAACCTTAGTGTAGGGAAGGATTTTCTAACCAAAGCATGAAACCCAGAAGCCAGATGTGACCATTTAAAAATGAAAACTTCTGGCCAGGCACAGTGGCTCTCGCCTGTAATCCCAGCACTTTGGGAGGCCGAGGCGAGCAGATCACAAGATCAGGAGTTTGCGACCAGCCTGACCAATATGGTGAAACCCCGTCTCTACCACAAATACAAAAATTAGCCAGGCGTGGTGGCGCGTGCCTGTATCCCAGCTACTCAGGAGGCTGAGGCAGGAGAATCGCTTGAACCCGGGAGGCAGAGGCTGCAGTGAGCCGAGGTAGTGCCACTGCACTCCAGCCTGGATGACAGAGCAAGACTCCGTCTCAAAAAACAAACAAACAAACAAACAAAAAACAAACAAACAAAAAACTTCCGTACATACTACAATGAAAGGCACATAATTAATGTTTAAAAAAACATATTACAAGATACATAATAGACATGGAGTTAATATCCAGAATATATACAGAGATTGTACAGACCAATAAGGAGACAACAAGTAACCCCAGAGAAAACTGAGCAAAACATAAAATAACAAATGCCAATAATGATGGATACTCAACTTCACTAGTAAGCAAATGAGATGCAAATTAAAATGGGAAAGTCAGCCAGGCATGGTGGCTCACGCCTGTAATCCCAGAACTTTGGGAGGCGAAGATGGGTGGATCACTTGAGGTCAGGAGTTCGAGGCCAGCTTGGCCAACATTGTGCAACCCCATCTCTACTAAAATTGCAAAAAATCAGTCAGGCGTGGTGACGGTTGCCTGTAATCCCAGCTACTCGGGAGGCTGAGGCAGGAGAATGGCTTGAACCTGGGAGTCGGAAGTTGCAGTGAGCTGAGATCACACCACTGCACTCCAGCCTGAGCAGCAGAGCGAGACTCTGTCTCAAAAAAGAAAAAAAGAAAAAGACAAAAAGGGAAAGTATTATTTATCTAGAGTCACTCAAATTAAAAATATTTTCTGATAATACCTAGTGTTGAGTAGGCAATACTCAAACAAGTATTCTCATATACTGAAATTTTGACAGGAAATTTGACAAATGTCTATTGATTTAAATGTTTATGCCCTTGGTTTCAGTACATCCTTTTCTAAGACTATAGCCTACTGAAACACAAATTCACAAAAACAGGGGAAAATTACATTAAATATAGGATATTCATAAAATAGAATACTGTAACTGTGTAACCACTTAAAAAAGAGGTAGATCTGGCTGGGCATGGCGGCTAACACCTGTAATCCCAATGCTTTGGGAGGATGAGGCAGGAGGATTGCCTGAGGCCAGGAGTTCAAGACCAGCCTGGGCAACATAGCAAGACCCCATCTGTACAAAAAACACAAACATTAAAAAAAAAATTAGCTGGGTGTCGTGGCATGTGCCTGTAGTACTAGCTACCAAGAAGGCTGAGGTGGGAGGGTTGCTTGAGCCCAGGAGTTTGATGTTACAGTGAGTCATGACTCTACCACTGCACTCTAGCCTGGGTGACAGGGAGAGAGACCGTGTCTCAAAAACCCCCCAAAACAAAAAAACAAAACAAAGAAGAGGTAGTTCTATATGTACTGTCATACAAAGATGTTCAAGACATGTTAAGTAAAAAGAACAAGTTGCAGAATATGTATTTTGTAAACGTAAATAATAATTATCTTACGTACAAAATATCAAGATGACTATAACTTAGCTGCTGACAATGGTTATTCTGTGTGTGGTGGTAGGGAACAATTTATTAATTCATTTATGTAATATTTAATGAGTATCCATTATGTGCCAGGCACATTGGTTTAGTTACTGGGGATTCAGGAGTGAACAACAACAAAAAAACCAGATGAGGAAATGGTGAATGTCCACTTTCTATGTTAAACGTATCTGTAAAGTATGACCTTTATATTTTTGTCTTTAACAAATTTACGTTCAATTTGGTTATTTAAAAACATAAGCTTCAGGCTAGGCACATGGCTCACGCCTGTAATCACAGCACTCTGGGAGGCTGAGGTGGGCAGATCACCTGAGGTCAGGAGTTTGAGACCAGCCTGGCCAACTTGGTGAAACCCCATCTCTACTAAAATTACAAAAATTCAAAAATTAGCCAGGTGTGGTGGTGAGCGCCTGTAATCCCAGCTACTCAGGAGGCTGAGGCAGGAGAATCCTGTGAACCCAGGAGGCTGAGGTTGCAGTGAGCCAAGATCGCGCCATTGCACTCCAGCCTGGGCGACAAGAACAAAACTCCATCTCAAAAAAATCCCCAAGAAACAAAAAAACATAAGCTTTAGGCACTAATGAAAAACTTTCAACAATATAAAGCAATTTGTTTTATCATTCTCTTAAAATCACTCTTATCAAACAGTTTTTAGAAAGGTCCCTGGCATACTCAATAATGTAGTCTGGTAAAGTTAATGTGAAAGGATCGACAAGTTTCTAACACTGTAAAATGATTACTCTGCTCAGCTGAAAAATAATAATAACTTTACAGTATTTCATTTATCTATACCCTTTGTGATAAAATATTTTACTTACAGTTTGTGGGTTAATCTCCTCCTCTCCCATAGGTTCATCCATAATTTGCTGTCCATTCTGTGAAAAGCACAGCAAGCAGGAAGTTACCAAAACAGACCTCACATCAGTTAAAGTTAAATGAAGGCAGACAAAAAAAAAAAAAATTGAGGAAGATTTTCACCCCTAAAGGGCTCTAATGAAGTAGAACCACCATATGAGTATGCAGTTGCTAAATTTGCAACAGGATGTGCTTCAAAAGTTAATTATTTGAAACTATAAAAACATTTTTTCATGGAAATCATATAATAAATGATTATTACCTTTCCACGTGAACCCTTGAGTTTAATAGTTAAATGCATTACAAATGGTCTCATTTAAGCCTCACCAAACATCATTACAACAGTGTATGGCAAAACACACTCTAAATTCCAACTCCATTCATAATTAATCAAGGGAACTGATTAATTATTTCAGAGAAAATTAAGCCCAATCTCTACATCAAAATAAATTCCAGATGGATTAAACATTTAGATGTGAAAAAATAAAATTGTACAAGTATTAGAATACAGGTGAACAATACTCATGGGGTAAGGAGGGTTGAAATCATAAAGAAAAAAATGACATTTGAATCTATAAAAGTTTAAAACTTCTGCCAGACACAAAAAAAGATAAAAGACAAACTGATTACAAAAAAAAAAGGCAACATATAACAAAGGGTTGGTATCCTCAATACATAAAGAGCTTTGTTTTACAAACCTGTAAGAAAAAACGATGAACCTCAACAGAAATGAGCAATAAGGGAAAAAAGAGTTCAGCCTTAGTACTCATCAAAGAAATGCATTTAACCCAAAGACACCTTTTGCCTTTCAAATTGGTAATGATTTACAAAACAAAAACAAAAACAAAAACAAAAACAAAAAACCATTCAGTATTAACGAGGGTACGGGGGAGAGAGCACTCTGGACATACTGCTGGAGAAAGTGTGAATCAGCACAAACTTTCAGGAAGGCAATCCGAGTCCATATTTTAAAAAAACCAAAATACCACACATAAAATTTTGAAATGTCTCATCAATTCTACTTCTTTTTTAAAAAAAGTAGACAAGTGTACAAAGATGTACATACAAGAATGCTCACCATAACTTTTATTCCAAAAAGAACTTCAAATTGGAAACCTAAATTCCTAACAATAGAGAACTAGTTAAATATATTATGGTACATCCTTATAATGGAATACTATGCAGTCATTAAAATGATGATAAAGGTGTAAATTCATTGACATAGAAAGACAGTCACATGTAAGAAGTGAAAAAGCAGTCTACAAAACAATATGGATTGTAATGATCCCATTCTAAATAAATATATACATATTCCAATGTATATATTTTTATGGGAAAAACTCTGGAAGGATATACACCAAAATGTTAACAGTGGTTATCTCTGGGTGGTAGAATTTTAGACAATTTAAATTGTTTATTTTTGCTTATTTGAATATTCTAATGTGTCTACAATGTCTACAATGAATACGTATTATTTGTGTAATTTTTAAAAACCACAAAAACGGAAGTCAGGAACACGTAGCTTCTTCTCTCATTCCCTTACTGGAAAAAGGAGTAGTCCCGACTATTAATTCAACAAGTATACAAGGATCTAAGCTAACCATCTTTGGAACATTATCACCTGGGAAATAAAAGGCAGCCCACCTATCACCTCATACTTCACATGAGGCAGCTGCTCTAAATATGAACTCCCCTCTTTGTTTTTCTCATCCCTATTTACCATCCATCCATTCATTCATTTCATTCAAGCTATGTTCTAGGCACTGAGCTGGAGACAGAAGTTAATAAAACATAGCCCCTATCTTAGAAGGTCTACTGACCTTATACAAAGGGCACCTTTCATTTTCACCACTCATAGAAGATGTTCCTAGATGAGGGAATGCCTATATAATACTATGAAGCACAGAAACAGTGCCAAAATTCAGGAAAAGGTAGGGAGGCAAGTATAAAATCTTTATTTTCCTAAGGTATGTTCAAAGGCTATAACACTGCCCATTTCTTTGGTATAAAGATACTCATGTATCTCCAGAATATTTCTTTTTCCTCAAAGTGACAACCATTTATTCAACTGACTGACTACTGGTTGTTCTTATCCAAATGTCCCAAAGAACTAGCTCCTAACAACTGCGGCTCTGTCGTCCGACATAGAGATTCAAATTCCTGTCTCACCCTATTAATTATGAAGTCTTGGACAGGTTCTTTCAACAATCTAAGCTTTTCAGTTTCTTCATATGGAAAATGAAGATTGAAAAGTCTTATCTTCAGAGGGTTGTAGTAAAGACTAAATGAGTTAAATGATATAAAACCCTAACCATAGTGTCTGGCACTTAGTAAACAATCAATGTCAGTTAGTTTTCTTACGTCCAAAATTCAATTACCTCACCTCTGGCCCACCAATCTGCTCCCTCTCCTATATTTGTCATCTTAATGAATGGCACCATCATTCATCTAGCAGCCCAAACCAGATTTTTTCATTAATTGTAAACAGTTATCTTTCTGTAACACAGACTTGCCCCCATGACTCCCCATTGTTTGGCGTTTAGAACCCTCAGTCTAACTTGAGCTACACGTACGTTTTTCATAGGAATAAAATTTAAGAACCATCTGTTCCCTGCAATTTTTAATGTATGCAAAGCAAGTGTCACAACTTATAACTTACTTTTAAAGAAAACTGGTACAGGAGAAACAGCACTAAACTTGGAATTCGCAGACCAAGGATAGAGCCCTAGGCTGCTGCTTATAAGCTTTATGATTTGAGGCAATTCAGATTTTCTCTTAGCCTATTACTTTACCTGTTCAAAATAAGGATACTTGTCCTATCTACCCAAAGGATTATTACCAGGCTCAAAAATGAGATAATTCAGAAGAAAGAACTTTATAAATGTTAAAGAGCTGTACCAATGCACATTATTACTAAGGTGAGGTAGCTTCATGAGGATAAAATACTCTGTAAAGTCCTTTTGATCTTGGAATTTAAAAAATCTTTGAATTGATAAGGCATCTCAACAGTCTTCTGTTCCTACTACACATAATATGTTTCAACTCTTTCTACTCCATTCTTACTTACGCTTCAATACTACCAGGACAAGAATGTACTACCTCACTAGGCACTATAATATCTCTGAGAAAGTACTGCCTGCTACATGAAATTTTTCATTATATAGCAACTTTCCTCAGCTGTGAATTCTCTTTAAGAGGATTACTAATAAATGATGACTAACTTGCCTGTACTCTATCTGCAAAGTCACAGGAAGTAAATCTACATCTATGACTCTAATCCACCCTGAAACTTATCTTTTCTAGATAACTTAAGTTCCTTCAAACATTTCTTTAAGACAGATAAGACTCATCACCATCTTCTTCTCTGAACACACTCCAAATCATCTTAAAGGGTGGTATATGGAATTGCATGTAATTAACATTTCAACCCTCAAACGACCAATGCAGAGTAAAGGTCATATTATCTCCCTTGTCCTAGAAAATAAACTTATGTTAATGCAGTTCACATATGCATTATTTTTGGAATGCCCTCAACACAATGCTGACATATCAAGTTTTCTGATTAAATCCTTGTCTTGCACTGCAACCACACCCTGCATACCTGTTGTTACTCTTAGTTCCATGAATAAAACTTTATTTAAAATTTTTGATTCATCTTTTTCCAGCTCTCATCCATTGCTACAGTCTCTATATATTAGATTCCAAATCTGTCAATCAGCCTCTTCACTATTTTCAGCTTCACGTCATCTCAAATTTTACAATAAACTTTCTTTTCTCAAATACTCACCCAGCTAATAGTATAGTATATACTAACAAAGCAACCTAAGAAAAAAATTGAGTGAAACATAATCTGAAGGGTATTTTATGCTCTACTTTTTGTAAAAATAGCTACCTCCTGAGTTTGGCAATAATTTAAAATGTTGAACAATTTAATTTTTAAAGCAGCGAGCCAACATTATCCTACATACCAGTGCAGCTTTACAAAGCTTTTTCTACCAAAAAAAGCACCTTTATTTAAATGAAACTTTTCTATCACTTCATCAAAACAAGGATTCAAATGTTATCTATTAGAAATGAGCACAGAGTTACTTCTACAGTTAAGTTTCCCATTTGGAAAATGACGGTTGGTTTTATTAGAGATTAGGTTACATGGATTATGAGTCTTACTCAGTATTTTACTTTCTATTGTTTCCTAAGTTTAAGGAATAGTACTTGTTAAACAAGAAAATATATTTCTCTAATTTTAAAAAACAAGTGGGAAAAAATGTGTTCTAAAGCTGGTCAGTACCACATTTAAACCCCAATTCTGTCACTTACTGGTGTAGTTACCTGAACTTGGGTAAGTTATTTAACATTTTGAGCCTCAGTTTCTTCACTCACAAGATGCACATAATATCTACCTCACAGGGATGTTGTAACTAAAAAGATCCACCAAGAGACAGTCTATGTTCAGTAAATGTTACTTCTTCTCCTCTCTTTTGCCTCAATTGACTGTGTAACATTACATTTCTATAGGTAACTTCTAAAGATGTAATGCAATGAAGAAGTATCGGAGAGTGTTGAAACACCTGTTCCATCATTCACTACAGTCAATTTTCCACTAAGCAGGGTGGAAGAGATCATTTATGTATGTGCTATATTTTTATACAATGTAGCTAGAGAATGAGTATGGACAAAAAATAGTTTAAAAGTGAGGCAAATGTATTTATCCTCTCTCATCCCACCATAATGCCTTCCAGCCAAAAAATTTCAGAGCCTGGCAGATTGTATATATGCAAATGTGATGTGAAATACTGGAAAAGGTTAGGAAATGCTAATCATGCTTTACTTTGTTAGCCTGAAATGTGTATAAAGTCACACATTAGATAACCTACAATATGGGTCTCATCAGAACAAATCAGATAAAGGAGACTGTTCCCTTGACTTTCAGCAGGAATTGTTTTCAATGTTGTAAAAAATTATCACCTAAGATCATCTTCCAGGCTTAAAGAGGAAGAACAACTCCAATCAGTATTTCTGAATCAAGGTTTCAGGAACTCTAGAGTATTCCTAACTATTTTATGGAAAATTCTGAGGTTAAAAATATTTTGTTAATTTAAAAACTTTCATTTTAAGCAACTTTATTAAGCAGATTGCTTTGTTGTAATGGCATGATACAACAATGTACTTTTCCAGGCTGCTGTTTGATACCTCTGAAAATATATAATTAGTTAAAAAATACTTTGATTTCAGCAGGAGATCATCATGTATAAGTATGCTAGGACCAAAAGATGATCTGTGACTGATAAAATGCTACCTTGAACTCAGCAGGGTATATCATCTACTGACATTCTCCTACCTAGAAATGAAATGGACGTACGGACATTAAGAGAAGAATCTTCAGAGAGAGTAACAATCTGAAATAACAGGAAGGGAAGAGGAAAAGAAAAGATCCAGAGCCCTAGTATATTAATATGGAGACCCAGGCTGTAGGAATGAACAAGGACCATACTTTTTTTTTTTTTTTTTTTTTTTTTTTTACCACCCTCAGGTTTCCACAAGTATATCTACTTTCCAAACTCCCTGATATCAGCAGTGGTTTTCCTGTCCAAAAGCTTACACAATAGGAATTCCATCATGAAGGTGCTGAGCATGAGGCATTAGAAACCTCTCTCAAACTTTGGTTAAGATACCACCAAATTGTTCAGAATCCAAAGAATCTTCTATGCAATCACAATGAAACAATAAGAAACAAGCACTTTATATTCTTAATAAGGAATGTATATAATCCTTACCAATGTGACAGGATTAAGAATCAGCTCCTCATTTATCCTAAGGAAATATCAGAGATGTGCATAAAGACTTATGTACAGTGATATTCATCATACTCATTATACTGAAAAATAGAAAACAATCTAAATGACCAACAAGGGACTGGTTAAATAAATCATAATACATCTATTCATATGTAGGAATACTATGCAATGGTTAAAATCAGGGCCTCAAAGAAAATTTAATGATGCAAAAAATATGCTTGCAATATATTACATTAAAAAGGATACAAAACTATATAGTATGACCCAATTTTGCATCCCCTCCTCCCAACATGTGTGCATGTAGCTGGCAAAACATATATAAAATCTTATCAGTCGTTACCTGGGTCACAGGCTTTTCTTCTTTGTAATGTATTTTCAAAGTTATATGCACTTATTATGTATTAATTTTATAAAGAGAAAAACAATACATGTAATTAGAAAAATCAGTTTATTTCTAGTTAAGGTGCCCTTATGCCTGCTTTACTATTCCTCTAGCTACTTAAGGTCTGTTAGTACCCAACATTGTTCTATTTTCTAGATGAGGGTAGGAATGACCTCTGGTTATATTTACATTTTTATGTTTAAGAGGACCCTTTCAGAAACTTTTTTTTTTCCTGGTCCTGTGGTTGTGGCCAAGTTTCAGGCTGGGATCCACCTCATGTTTTTTGAAGTGTTACCGTCTAAGGGGGATTCTGCTTATGAAACAAGAGTATGTTGAGATAAGAATAAAGAAATGAAAACATAGTAGCCAAAATTAAATCTGCACTGTGAATAGCAAGTATTAGAATTGACACTACAGAAAACGGAATCCATGCCACAGAGGACAAACTTGAGTAAATGAAAAAAAAAAGAAAGAAAGAAAGAAAGAAAAGATTTAAAGAAACTATGGAAGACAGACATAGAAATAATCTATGAATAACAGATGTTCCTAAAGAAAAAAAAAAACAGGCAGTTTAATCAATCAAAAGTATAAGAAAACTTTCCAGTTCTGAAAAAAAAATACCTGAGACTGGAGACTGAGAAGGTTCAACAGAGATCATCAACACCAAGACATGTCCTGGCAAATGTTTTTAAATTTCAAGGATAAAGATATAATCCTACAAGCATACAAGCAGAAAAAAATAGGTTATTTCAAAGGAACTGAAATCAGACTGACCTCAGATTTCTCCTCTGCAACAATAAAATGCCAGAAGACATTGAAGTAATCACTTACAGAGAATTGAAAAGGAAAAGTTATGATCTAAGAATTTTATACCTCATTCTAGTTTTTCGTGTTCAAAGCTCACAGGAAATTATTCTTAGATCTGCAAAGTCAAATTTTCACCATCCTGGTAGTTTTTTAAAAAAATAAATTGTTCAAAGGTACATCCTAGACCATCAAAAGAGAATAAGAGATAAAGAATATTGAGGTAGGAAAGAACTGGTGAAGTATACTGACACCAACCTAATATCTAGAAATAACTGAGTAAAACAGTTAATCCCACTAAAAGAAAAGGGTTCAATAGTGAAGAATAATTGATATAAGTATATAAACAATATAAAAGAAAAAACACTTCAGAAAGTTCAAAGTAGGATTTGTAACATCAGGTTAAATTAATGTGAACTCAAAATAAAAGAGGTAGTGGGAGAAGCCAAGATTCTAAATTCTCTTTCCTAGAAGGATATTTTAAAACCATTAGTTTTAGTAGTTATCCAGTAAATACAAATTTTGGAATGTTTTGAAAAACCATACAGTAACCAAGAATAGATATTACAGTTCGAATCACTAAAGATAATAACTGGCAGAGACTATTAACAATACTTTATGCAGGCATCACATTCAACCCTAAGAACATGAGTCAGGTATAATTATTCCTATTTTATAGTTGAGGAAACCAAGGCTCAGCAAAGTTAATTACTGAATGGCAGAAGCAGGATTCAAACCCAGATCTTTTTAGCTCCGTAATTCATTCTTCTATATTTCATAAGCTCCTCAAACAAAACAATTTATATGGAAGAAGAAAAAAACCTCACAAGAATAAAAAATGTAAAATAATATGACGGAAACCATTCCAAAAGTAATAATGTAAGAAATGTAAAGTTTAAAGTGTTTAATTATACAAGGAAGTGGCTTGCTGGATATTAGATGTCATTAAAGAATTACTGATGTTTTATGAGTGATGATAGTAAGGTCCTTATGAATTTTAAAAGTCTATCTTTTAAGAAGTATAAATGCAAATGTTTATCGGAGGGTGGTTAGGGGAATGAGAAGAGGAAACAGAAATGGAACAAGATTGGCCATGAGTTTGATAATCCTTGAGGCTGGGTTATGGGAATATGTTGGTTCATTACACTACTCTCTCCAGTCTGGTATGTGTTTGAAATGTTTGATAATCATAACTTTAATAATCAGGTTATATTTTTTAAAAAGTAAACCAACAACTATTTACTACTTTAAAGAGAAACCCAAACCAAACAGATAAGTATAAAAAAAAAATAAAACAAGCGTTTATAACATTAATACCAAAAATAAAATGTAAGGCAAAAACCTTAAGCTGAGTTAAAAAAGTCATTTTATTTGGATTAAAGATATAATCAATATTGAGTACACACAGTAAAAATGATTGCTATCATTTACTGAGCTCCACATACCAGGCAAATGCTAAGGACTGTTATCTTTGATGCTTCTTAACCACTCTGTGAGGTATTATCACCAGTTTACAAATGAGGAAATTAAGCCAAGATAGGTATGTCAAACTTTCTAAGCACTGGATCCCCAGTCCCCTAGCAAAATGCCTGGCACACACAGTAGGTGTTCAATAAATATTTGTTGAATACATGAGAAAGTCTAATATACTGCCTAAGGCTAATAAGTAGAGCCGAAATTCAAACCCAAATCTAATTCTAAAACCCCTACTCTTTTGTTTTTTGTTTTGAGATGGAATCTGGATCTGTCACCCAGGTTGGAGTGCAGTGGCACAATCTTGGCTCACTGCAACCTCTGCCTCCCGGGTTCAAGGGATTCTCCTGTCTCAGTCTCCTGAGTAACTGGGACTACTGGTGCGTGCCACCACATCCAGCTAATTTTTGTATTTTTTTTTTTTTAGTAGAGACTGGGTTTCACCATGTTGGTCAGGCTGGTCTCGAACTCCTGACCTCAAGTGATCCACCCGTCTCGGCCTCCCAAAGCGTTGGGATTACAAGCGTGAGCCACCACGGCTGGCCCTAAAACCCCTACTCTTAATCACATAAAAGTCTTTTAATAATATTCCATAGTAAGAGTGCAGAGGTTTATTTCCTTCTCTGTATTTTCTACAATTAGCATGTATCACTTTTTAAGCAAAAAAGTCATTAAAAACAGTAAATGCATAATAGTATTGAACATTTAACCATGACTAAACCAACCACAAAACACAAGAACAGATGCCTTGGAGAATATAACATAAACTAAATGGAAAGAAAATGGATGGGAAAATTTTAGTGCACTAATATCAACTAGCATAATAAATAAGGACAAAGCATTTGAAATAATTTATATTAGAACAGGTAGATACTGAATTTTATAATGTAAAAAGAATATGGGTTGTTTTCAACTTATAAGTTTCTATGAAAAGTTATAAAAACTGACCATGTCACCTAGGATGGAGTGCAGTGGTGCAATCTTGGCTCACTGCAGCTTCAAACTCCTGGCCTCACGCAATCCTCCCACCTCAGCCTCCGAAAGTGCTAGGATTACAGGCCAGTTTAAAATTCTTAAAGGCAGGAATTACACAGGTCACATTTTCTGATTACAATAAAATATTGAATAAGGAAATAAAGCACTCACTCAGAAATTAATATTCTTCTAAATAACTACTGGGTCAAGGAAATAAGTAACAGCTATCATTTATTCATTGCCTATTTTGTTCAAACTACAGTGCTACCTGTGTTACACATATTCTCTCACTGAATCCCAATTAATAATTAAAAATCATCCATGAGGTGAGTTATTACGCAGAGAAGAAAAAAAGTTAGGTTGAGATTTTAATAACTTGTACAAGATCATAGAGCTATTAAATTTGCAGATAAGATAATTAAATTCAAGTTCAAATACAAAGCTCCTACTACTTACATAGAAATGCTGTTATACTGCTGTTAGAGTTCACGTACAAGCATCTAGCTATGCTCATTTTTCTCCATTCATAAAATAGTTTTGTAATAAAAGTGGAGAAAACTAGAGTTCTTCAGCACATGTTCTGAAAGTATTTATTTGTTAAATACACTATTCTAGGAAGGTTATGGTTCATTTTTCTATCATTGATCAGATAAAATACTTCAAATTACATAATCTCCTAAAAGGGATTTCTTTAAATATACTCATTTTTATTAGGACAATGAAAAATGAAAGAAAACATAAAAATTAGGTAAACAAAATAGGGAATATAAGGAAAACATGACTTGCCACTACATTTATTTCTAAAAACTGGTGTATCCTTGGAAAAGTTGCTTTTTTCTGGTATTTATCTGTAATCCATGAGTTCTATGGAATCTTGGCCAGCATGGATTTGAAAGTCTGCCACTAACTGTGGGCAAGCCCCCAAGCCTCTCTAAGTTGTGGTTGCTTCATCCATAAATATGTGACTATCCAGGAGCTCTCCCAGCTTGAAAGTTTTACGATCTTCTATAAAACTTTAAGGATTAAAGTTTTAGATTAAGGTTATTTAAAATTTTGGGGGGTTTTCGTACCCAAGGAAGTTACTGATTCTATGTTTAAAGCTGTTTTTAACGTTACTTCTAAGTATAACTTTTTCTTCCACTTCTGCATTTAGAATAGTTTTATCTATACCTGTCAATGGTGCTTTTGTTCCCCAATGTAAACATAGATAATGCCAAAGAACTCACTGTACGAATGTTGTCAAATAAAAGAAAAAAATACAATATTGGTTTTTGTGCAGATTAAGGGAACTTAAAGCAATTTTATAATTTCCACAATCTGATCTATTATTTTACTAGAGAAAATTAGTAAAGTATCAATTAAAAAAATTGGGATCTACTCCTAATCCTATTCCTGCTTCTCCAATACCTTCAAACCCTCTTAGTACACAATGGCATTGGTAATATTTTCCAATCTGCCTGATGATCAAAATTACCTATGGTTCCTGTTAAAGATATATTACCTGGACCTATCTCAGCCCAACACTGAATCAGAATTCCCAGAAGCCCCATTGTTAAGTATATTATTTTTTAAACAGGCACCTTAGAGGATGCCTGTGATTACACAAGACTGGGAGGCCAGGCGCGGTGGCTCACACCTGTAATCCTAGCACCTTGGGAGGCCGAGGCAGGAGGATCATGAGGTCAGGAGTTCGAGACCAGCCTGGCCAACATGGTGAAACCCCGTCTCTACTAAAAACACAAAAATTAGCCAGGCGTGCTGGTGCATGCTTGTAATCCCAGCTACTCAGGAGGCTGAGGCAGAAGAATCACTTTAACCTGGGAGGCGGAGGCTGCAGTGAGCCGAGATCGCGTCATTGCACTCCAGCATGGGCAATGGCATGACTCCATCTCGGAAAAGAAAAAAAAAAAAAAAAAAAAAGGGAAATCCCAGTGTAAAGATCATGAGCTCTGGAGCCTGATACATCAAGTTTCAAAGCCTGGCTTTGTTCTTTATTATAGGTGTGACTTTGGGTAAGTGACTTAACATGAATCTCAGTTTTCTAATCCATAAAATTTGGATCCTAATTATGCTGGAGGTTGTGGTACAGTTCAGTATGCCCAGCCACACTGGGTGTTTAGGAGGTGTCAGCTTCTCTTTCCTCCTGCTCATCTTGTCAGGGGAAACGACAATTACTGTTATTTGAGGGGATTTTGAAGAGCCCTTTGCCCTAATGGGTCCACTTCCATTTCTAGGGCTAAAAATCTGAGTTCTGGATAACCCTTTAATATATTACTTGGGTTGGCTAATTCAGGGGTCCTACAAACAAGTTAAATGATTTATTCTGGTTTCCAGAGGTTTAATGAAGCCCTCCTACCCAAAATAGATACACCATTATGCTGGGCTTCAAAGTCCAAGCTTTTATTTGCTGTGACTGTGGCAAAAATCATTTAAACCTCTGTTTCCCCATCTGTAAGACAAGTGATGCTAAATGTCTACTGAACTAATAAACATTATTGATAACATAACTATTAATTAACACTTAAACATATATATTCTTACAAACATCTTTATGTACAAAAAGATAGCATTAATAAGTTACAAGGAAAACGATACAATGGTACTTGCTCAAATACACAATAAATCAGAACCTGTTTAACACAATTCTTGTTTGTGTAATATCAACTGTATCTCAATACAAAGTGTCTTAGGCATGTTTTTAGGTGAACTGACTTAGGAAGAAACAATCCAAATGATCCACTCTAATTAAAATATGTATATATATATTTAAAACTCACCCTAGGTTTAAACATAACCTAGTAACAAAGCCATCAAAACTAATTTCTGAAAAGATAACCACAAATGTAGTTTCTAATTAGAGTTCCATGATTAATTCTACATGCATATTTATTAAGCATAAATAAAGAGTATTAATAGGAATGCTTTACTAGGCTGGGCGCAGTGGCTCATGCCTGAAATCCCAGCACTTTGGATAGGTGGATTGCTTGAGGCCAGGAGTTCAAGACCAGCCTGGCCAACATGGTGAAACTCTGTCTCTACCAAAAAATACAAAAATTAGCTGGGCGTGGTGGCACATGTACTCGAGTAGTCCCAGGTACTCAAAGGATTAGGCAGGAAAATCACTTGAGCCCGGGAGGCAGAGGTTACAGTGAGCTGAGATCGTGCCTCTATCTCAAAAAAAACAAAATAGAACACTTTACTAAACATTGTTAAGTTTTAACTGCTCACATAAGCTATAACTTAGAGAAACCTAAGGAAATTTTTAAAAACGAAAAATCTGAGGCCGGGCGCGGTGGCTCATGCCTGTAATCCCAGCACTTTGGGAGGCTGAGGCGGGTGGATCACGAGGTCAGGAGATCGAGACCATCCTGGCTAACACGGTGAAACCCCGTCTCTACTAAAAACACAAAAAAATTAGCCAGGCGTGGCAGTGGGTGCCTGTAGTCCCAGCTACTTGGGAGGCTGAGGTAGGAGAATGGCATGAACCCGGGAGGTGGAGCTTGCAGTGAGCCGAGATTGCGCCACTGCACTCCAGCCTGGGCGACAGAGCGAGACTCCGTCTCAAAAGAAAAAAAAAAAAAAAAGAAAAATCTGAGAATACTTATTCAAAACAAAGGAAAAGTTACCCTCAAATCTTAAAAAAATAAAAAACAAAAAAAACCTTCAAATCCTATTGAAAGTAATTTAAATTACATTAAAGAACCATAGCTTTTTTTCTCATTTTTTCAAATTGTTCTTTAATGCAATTCAGTGATTTTCTTCATTTAGGTCTTGTCCTTTGCTTGTTATATTTCTAGGCATTCAACATTTTTGTCGCTATTATGAATGAGATCTTTTTTCCATTACAGTTTCTGTTTATGGCTCCTAAACAGGAAAGCTGTTTGTTGATTTCTGAATACATTTTGTGTAATATCACCTTAGTAGGCTATCATTTGTTTTAATAAACCTTTTTAGTGGATTTTCTTAGGTTATCTAAGAGGATAATTATATCATATATGAATAATCTTTTATCTTTTTGAATACTCTTTGATTTTCTTATTTAATTGCATTAGCAAGCTCTTCTAGAAGGTAAAATAGAAGTGAAAATAGCAGGCATAGTTTTAATGAGAATGCCTACAATATGTCCCCATGAAGCATGATGCTGGTTATTGGTTTGAGATGATTTTTTTAAGTATTAAGGACATACCCTTTTATTCCTATTAGTAAAATTACTGGGAATAAGTTTTTAATTGAGAATAGACACTTTAATGCTTTTTAATTTTTTTTTATTTTTTGAGACAGAGTCTCGCTCTGTCGCCCAGGCTGGAGTGCAGTGGCGTGATCTCTGCTCACTGCAAGCTCCGCCTCCCGGGTTCATGCCATTCTCCTGCCTCAGCCTCCTTCCAAGTAGCTGGGACTACAGGCGCCCTCCACCATGCCCAGCTAATTTTTTGTATAAACTTTTTTTCTTACATTTTATTTAGACATGATCAAATGATCATAAAGTCACAGGAAGTTGCAAAAATAATACAGAGAGGTCCCATACACTTTTAACCTACTTCACCCCAGTGGTAACATCTTATATCACTTCCTGTCAAAGCCAGGATATTGCAACTGGTACAATGCACAGATCCTACTCAGATTTCACTGGCTTTACAGGTATGTAGCTGTGTTTTCTAGGCCATTTGATCACGTGTGGGTCTCTATATCCACCACTACAGTAAAGATACCGAACAGTTTATTGCCACCAGGATCCCTCATGTGGCCCCTTTACGACCACACTTCCCTCCCCTTTTCCTAATTCCTGACAATCAGTAATCTCTTCTCCATTGCGATAATTCTGTCATTTTAAGAATGTCATATAAATCATATAGCATGTGACCTTTTTTTCACTCAGCATAAATCCCTTGAGATTCATCCAAGCTGTTGTGTGTATCGACAATTCATTCCTTTTTAGTTAGCGAGTAGTATTATTCCATGATGTGGATGTGCTAGACTATTTGACCATTTACCCATTCAAGGACATTTGGTTTCTAATTTTTGGATAGTACAAATAAAGCTGCTAGGAACATCTGTGCACAGACTTTTATGTGGACATAAGTTTTCATTTCTCTGCGGTGAATGTCCAGGAGTACAACTGCTGGATCATATAGCAAGTATATGTTTATTAATAAATGGCCAAACTATTTTCCTGAGGGGCTGTATCATTTTATGCCCTCACCAGCAATATATGAGTGATCTAGTTTGTTTGCATCCTCGCCATTTATTATTGTCACTATTTTTTATGTTGGCTGTTCTAATAGGTATGTAGTGATACCTCATCATGTTTTTTCACTTCCCTGATAGTTAACCATGCTGAACATCTTTTCATATGCTTATCTGCTATTCATCTTTGGTGAAGTGTCTGTTCACTTCTTTTGTCTATTTTTTGCCTGGATTGCTTGTCTTTGTTATTGCTGAGTTTTGAGAGTTCTTTGAATATTGTAAATACAAGTCCGGTCTCAGTTACAGGTTCATACCCTTCGCAGAGTCTTTTTCATAGATAAAAGGTCTTGAATTTTTCAGAAGTTCAATTTATTGTTTTCTTCTTTTATAGAATTTGCTTTTGGTCTCAGGTTTAAATGCTTCATTTAGCCCACAGTCCTGAAGATCTTCTCCTATGTCTAAATTCTAAAAGTTTTCTAGTTTTACATTCAAATCCATGATCCATTTTAAATTAACTTTTACACAGTACGAGATTTGGGTTGAGACTTATTGTTTTACCTATAGGTGTGCAATAGCTCCAGACACCATTGTTGAAAAGGCTATTTATCCTTCCTCTATCAAACTGCTTTTGTAACTTTGACAAAAATCAGTTGGCTGTACTTACGTGGGTCTATTTCTTGTTCTCCATCTTATTCCACTGATCTATGTGTGTATCCCCTTGCCAATACTACAGTATTTTGAGTACTGGATATAGTAAGTCTTAAAATCATTTGGAAGGGTTCCTCCCATTTTGTTTTTAGAGACAGGGTCTTGCTCTGTCACCCAGGCTGGAGTGCAGTGGTGTGATCATAGCTAACTGCAGCCTTGAACTCCTGGGCTCAAGGGCTCCTCCTGCCTCAGTCTCCCAAGTACCTAGGACTATAAGTGCATGCCACTATTCCTTGCTAATTTTTTAAAAAATTGTTTTCCTAGACATAGGGCCTTGCTATATTGCCCAGGCTGGACTTGAACTCCTGGCCTCAAGTGATCCTCCCACCTCAGCCTCCCAAGGTGCTGGGACTACACCATTAAGTTTTATGTTAGCTGTAGGTTCATTATCAAGTTGAGCAAGTCCTCCTCTATTAGGTGGCTGAGTTTTTATTATGAATGAATGTTTAACTTAGCTAAATTTTTCTCTTTCCCATAAGCCATTTTATGATCAAGAAAAAATACGTTTTCTCCATTAGTATCATGTGACTTGTCTTCTTTAACCTTTTAATATGGTAGGCTACCTTGAATGATTTTTGAATACTGTGTCTGATGTGGAATAAAACCCACTTGGTCATGGCATGCAATTCTTATATGTTGTTAGATTTGTTTTGCTAGTTTTTGTTGAGGATTCTGTGTCTATGTGCTTCAGGGATATTGACCTGCAGTTTTCTATACTATCTTTAGGTTTTGCTATCAGGATAATACTGGCCTCATAAAATGAGTTGTAAACTGTTCTCTATTTTCTGGAAGAGACTATGTAGAATTTATGTGATTTCTTTATTCCTGACAGTCCAAGTTTCCTTCTTTTATCATTCTCTTTCAGGGTCTGCTACTCACAAATTCTCTTAGTTTTCCTGCATCCAAGACCACTCTGATTTTACCTTCATTCCTGAAGGATATTGTCACTTGGTATAGAAATCTGGGTTGACAGTATCTTCTTTCAGCACTTGAAAAATGGTGTGCCATATCCTTCTGGCATCCATAGATGTTTTGAGATGAGGTCTCACTGTGTCGCCCAGGCTGGAGTGCAGTGGTGTGAAGATGGCTCACTGGGGCCTTGACTGTCTGGGCTCAAGTGATCCTCCAGCTTCAGCCTCCCCAGTAGCTGGAATTACAGGCACGTGCCACCATGCCTGGCTATTTATTTTTATTATTGTTATTATTTGTAGAAATGGGGTCTTGCCATGTTGCCCAAGCCGATCTCGAACTCCTGGGCTCAAGCAATCCTCTTGCCTTGGCCTCCCAAAGTGCTGGGATTATAGGCGTAAGCCCCTCAAAGTGCTGGGATTACAGGCGTAAGTCTCCCAAAGTGCTGGGATTATAGGCGTAAGCCACTGTGCCTGGCAGACGTCCATAGATTCTGATGGAAAATCTGCTGTCGCATGAGTTGTTCCCTATAGGTAACAGTTCATTTCTCTCTAACTGCTTTAAAGATTCTTTAATTTTCAAAAGTTTGATATTTTACTTTTTCAATTGTCATAAAACATAACATAAAATTCACTATCTCAACTATTTTAAGTGTATGGTTTAGTAGTATTAAGTATATTCACATTATGCAACTAATCTTCAGAACTATCTTGCAAAATTGAAACTCTGTATCTATTAGACAATAACTACTCATTTTCAAAAGTTTGATTTTGATTTTGTCTAGGAGTGGATTACTTTGCATTTATCTTATTTGGGATTCAGTCAGCTTCCTGAATCTGTAAGATTATGTCTTTTGCAAAATTTGGGGAAATTTCAGCCATTATTTCTTCAGGTCCAGTTTCTTTTTTCCCTTTCTGGGACTCTGATGACATAAATGTTAAATCTTTTGTTAATGTTCACCAGGCTCTTGAGGCTCTGTTCATTTTCCAGTTTATTTTTTCTCTATTGTTCATTTCTATTGCTTTATCTCCAATGTTATTCTTTCCTATCATCTCCATTCTTCTATCTAGCCCATGTAGTAAGTTTATTTGTTACTGTATTTTTCAGTTCTAAAATTTCTATTTGGTTCTTCCTTATGGCTTCCATTTCTTTTCTGAGACTAATTTTTCATTTGTTTCAAGAGTGTTTGTGATTGCTCACTGAGGCATTTTTGTGATGGCTGCTTTAAAATTCTGGTCTGATAATTACAACATCTGAATTATCACAGTGATGATGTGTGTTGACTGTCTTTTCTCACTCATGTTGCGATTTTCCTGGTTTTTGGTATAAGTGATTTTTTACTGTCTAATGGATATTTGGAGATTATAGGACTCTTTCCTATTTAATCTTTTTTTTTTTTTCCCCGAAGCAGGCAGTCCTCCTGTTGAGGTGGAGTGTGTATGTTCAACTTCCCTCTGGGCCGCACCAACATCACCCAGGCAAAAGTGGAGCAATGACTCACACTGTTTTGTTGCAGATGGGTGGGACGGAAGTTCAGCTCCACTCTTAGTCCCAATGAAAGTAGGGCACCAACCTGTATCACCTCACTGCCTCTGAGTAGGGGTGTAAGCTCACCTCCCTGCTGGGCCCCACTGATGACAGGGAGGAGGAAAGCAGAGGGCTGACTCAAACTTCTTTGTTGCTGCACTATAAAGCCAAAAGCTCAGCTCCCCAAAGGACCCAGCTAACAACAGGGGAGGGTAGAGAAGGAAGCAGAATGCCAACTAGCCCTGCCACCCATCACTTGCCAGATGGGAGTGAAGGCTCAGTTCTCCACTGGGCCCCACTGACATTAGTGGAGGTAAGATGTGTTGAGAATCCTACCTCCAACCATCTTGTTCTGCCTCGTTGATGTAAGGTGAGGGTAGAGTATGGATTAGCCCTGGCTCACGTCACCTTGTTAAGTGTCATTGCTTCTGGGTTGGGGTGGAGGCTCAATCTGCTACTAGACCCCACTGCTGCTAGACACCACCCTGGCAAGAGCATAACTTCCTTCAGCTTGAAGTGGAATGAGGGAAAACGCTTCCTGCCTGGTCTGCCAAAACCACCCAGCAGGGGGAACCAAAGTGCTGTCTGCTTTTGCTGGGCAAAGAAATGGGTGCTTAGGTCTCTGATCTCCCCAGCCCACACCACTGGGTTGGGGAGTGAGAGCACTGTTATTTGCTTCTTTGGGGTGGGGTGGGGTGGGGTTTTTCTGATGGTATTTGGCCAGGGTAGGGTGAGTATTGTCAAAAAGGTTTAGACTTACTTGGCTACCTTTCCCCCAGTTGTTTGTCTAAAGGAAACAGGCTTTTTCTCAGAGCTCTTTTTGTCTGTGACTGTTGGCAGTTCTAGTTTGGAGGCTTTCATAGCACCCTGTCTAGGATATATGGGAGGTGACAGGAAGAACACAAATAGTGAATTCCCTGGGTTTTCTTGAGTCTCGAGGTCTGCAGGCTGTTTGCCTTCTTTTTCCACCTTTAGAGTGTTCCTGTGCTTGTTTGTTATGTCTACAGTGTTTTCGCTGTAAGGGAGATCAAGGAGGAATAGGGGTCCTCTATCTTGGCAGAACCAGATGTATCCTCCAAGTGATTAATTTTTATGTTGAAAATAACATTTATTTTCTAATTTTCCACATTATGGTTGAAAATGTACTACAGAAAACTGCTGTAACATTATAGGTCATAATTTCCTCCTAAAGATCCAATTACATCTGCTTATATTATTCTTTACTAATTTACCTTGTTTCATGCTATTAAACTTCCTGCCCACCCTAGTACTTCTAGACTTTAATGTTCCAAAAGAAAATAAATCCATTTAATTCATTTTCACCTAGTAGTATACTATACATACTCAGAAGAGCTGGCGGGGGAGGGGAGGTGGTGGGCAGGAGATAGCTTTAAAACTCATTTATGAGCTCTTCTTTTTATTAATCCAAGGCAAAACTTATTTTTAATTTGCCTATGACATTTCTCTAAGGATTACTTAATATGAACATCCATTTTGATAGCTATTACTCTTGAATTATACCAACAGCCAGCAGGAACTTGAAGGAAAAGAGGCAAATAAGGTTTTGTTTTATTTGCATTTTTACTTCTTCAAATAACATACCTGTATACGTTACTTCACTTGAGATGGATTCCTGAATTCATTTATCTGTTGACTTATATTTAATTTCAGAGATTCTAGGCATATTATCTTCCTATTAAGATTAATAATTAATCTTCAATTAACTCTTGCACTTTTGCTTTAAATAAGAAACTATAGACTAGTTTAGGCCGAGGAGACTCTAAGGAAAAATATCACTGCCCCAATCTTTGTTTTCTTTCTGTAACTTTCTTTTTTAAGTTCTATAACCAATATTTAATTCTTTGTTGTGTTCCTCTAGGAATTCCACTCTGGCTGAGAGAAAGGGTGCCCTAGGTGAGAGGTATCCTAAGGCACTTTCATAGAACCTAGAGCTCTATTAACCCATTTGGAAAACCACTATTTTAGGAAAAGCCTTGTATTTATCAAATCTAAAAAGAAAGAAAATATCTTAAAAGCACGTATTGAAACTAAGTTTTCTGAGAAGAAATACATATACAAGGAACTTCCCTATCAGCATTAGAACAAAAGCCAACTTAAGTCCCTAAAACGGTAACAAAATAAGCACGTGAATTATGTATACGAATGGACAAGAAGCACATGAAAAGATCCTTAACATCATCAGTCATTAGAGAAATGCAAATCAAAACCACAATGAGATACCATTTCACACCCAGTAGGATGGTTATAGTAAAAAAGACAATAATAAGTGATGGCAAGGATACGGAAAAGCTGGAACTCTCATACACTGCTGATGGGAATGTAAAATGGTACAGGCCAGCTGGAAAAGTTTGGCAGTACCTCAAAAAGCTAAACATAGATTTACCATATGACTCAGCAATTCTACTCCTAGGTATATATCCAAGAAAACTGGAAACATGTGTTCACATAAAAACTTAATACGAATGTTCACAGCAGCATTATTCATAATAGCCAAAAGGTAGAAACAATTTCCAACGTCCATCAACTGATAAATGGATAAACAAACTGTGGTATATCCATAAAATAGATTATTCAGCCACATAAAAGAATGAAGTCTTCCTACATGCTACAACATGTATGAACCTTGAAACATGCAAGAACCTTGAAAACAGACACAAAGGCCACATACTGTAGGATTCCATTAATATGAAATGTCCAGAATAGGTGAATCTAGAGACAGAAAATAGATTAGTGATTGCCAGGGACTGGGGGAATGGAGGAAATGGGGAGTGACCGCTAACATGTATGAAATTTCTTTTTGGGGGTGATGAAAATGTTCTAGGAAATAGATAGTGGTGATGGCTGCACAACCTTGGGAATATAGTAAAAGCCACGAATCATATACAAGGGTGAATTTTATAGTATGTAAATATCTCAATTAAAAAAGGAATTAGGCTGGGTAAGGTGGCTCATGCCTGTAATCCCAGCATTTTGGGAGGCCAAGGCGGGCGGATCACCTGAGGCCAGAAGTTCGAGACCAACCTGGCCAACATGGCAAAACCCTGTCTCTACTAAAAATACAAAAAATTAGCCAGGCGTGGTGGTGGGCACCTGTAATCCCAGGTACCTGGGAGGCAGAGGCAGGAGAATCACTTGAACCCGGGAGGCAGAGGCTGCAGTGAGCTGAGACTGCACCACTGCATACTCCAGCCTGGGCAATAGAGCAAAATTTCGTCTCAAAAAAAAAAAAAAAAAAAAAAAAAAAAAAGGAATTAGGCCGGATGCAGTGGCTCATGCCTGTAATCTCATCACTTTGGGAGGCAAAGGCAGATGGATCACCCTGAGGTCAGGAGTTTGAGACCAGCCTGGCCAACATGGAGAAACCCCATTTCTACCAAAAATACAAAAATTAGCCAGGCGTGGTGGTGGGCACCTGTAGTTCCAGCTACTCGGGAGGCTGAGGCAGGAGAATAACTTGAACCCAGGAGGCAGAGGTTGCAGTGAGCCAAGATTGAGCCACTGAACTCCAGCCTGGGTGACAGAGAAGAAATACATATACAAGGACCTTCCATATCAGCATTAGAGCAAAAAGCTCTGGGTGACAGAGTGAGACACCGTCTCAAAAAAAAAAAAAAAAAAAAAAAAAAAGAAAAAAAAAAGGAATTAATTAGGGCTATTTGACCTGACAGTCTAAGAAAAAAAAAAATGATTGCATAACTTTCCTTTTAAATTTCCTTTTCTTATACGATAGCAAGATAATTGTTAACATTTTTGGGTTGAGCCAAATTCTGTTTTCTGGCACTTTGAGGGAACATCAAGTAGATTTTTCTGAAAAGAGGATGCAAAGATAGAGAGGTAACGATTTAATAAGCTGCAATCAAAGAACAGAGCACATTTACTCATGCATACACCTAGAGGCTTCTGTAAAGAGAGCTGTTAAGTAATGTCTAGGCAGGCCCCCCTTTTTCCAAGTACTGTAATTTTTGTTTCAAACGTTAGACATTTTGTTTTATTTGTAAGACAGCTGGTTAGAAATCTCAAATAATCTTCCCATACAATGCCATAAATGCTGTTTTTCAGGCCAACTCACAAAAGCCTATTTAACCCACTGTATTTGGAAACTAACATCAACTTCACTCAGTTTTACTAACTTTTTAAACTTTACTTATTGACTACTTAAGCACTGTCTCTATTGTGAACAGCATTCCTAGTTCATGCCAGGATCACATCATCTCTACAGGCCTCCTTGGTGAGAAGAGGGCTTCATGCTACATACATACATATATTTATATATGTGAGAAGTCACCTATCTCTCTAGGTTATTCTCTACATCTCCACAATAGCTACCCATGTAAACTACCTGGAACCTTTTTCCCCTGTAGCAGATTTCATTTAGACTGAGTCACTCACCTGGATGTTCTCAACTCAAACAGGGCTGTGTAGTGAAAAGTCATTAGAATTTGCAATCTGTGAGACTTGGGTTTGAATTCTGGCTCCTTCAGTTACTAGCTGGGCAACCATGAGCACGTTATTTAACCCTTCTAGGCTTCAGTTTCCTCATCTGTAAGTTGAGGATAATTCTGTATACTTCATTCAAGTTGATATACACAAAGTGACTTGTCAAGGGGGGCACTCAATAGACGTGAGCTTCCTTCCATCTTCACTTGGGAAAGAAAGAGCAGTGATCTTAACGTACCCCTCACCCTTGGTTTGTAGGTAGGAACATTCTGAAGTTGTTTTTGTAAACTAAGGACTGTATTTTCCAGACTTACGAGTTAAAATTAGCAGAGAGTAGAGAAAAAGTAATATTTGAACTTTTGTGCATTGTGGCTCTTTCAGAATTTGTATTTAAGATAGTTTACATAAAATTAAAGAGTTGTATTGATATGATGTGGATGACAAAATGAATTTTAGTGAAATAAATGTGCTGCACACGCCAACTCTGACTTTGTTAACATATCACCTGCAGCAGGTCTGCCTGAACAGGTCTCAATTTTCTTACATAAATAGGGTAGGGCTAAGTTGTTCTCTAAAATTATATGCTAAAAAAATTTAAATGCTTTCATATTTCAAAATGCACCAATCCACTTTTTCCGTTTTAACTAGCACAGTACAGTGAATGCAACACAATATTTAAACAAATTACCATACAGTAATTTATTTATCCAATAATATAGAAGATAATTGTATATTTTTCTCCCCAGAGACATTAGTCTTACTGTTTATGTCTCGGTCTGTAAGCTCGGTGCACAAGAGGAAACTTGTAATTACAACATTTTTTGATATTTAAATTTGCCCCAATGCTTTAGTGTTATCACTTGAATGAGATGTCACAGTAAAACTATTAAAGCTGTAGGAAGAGTAGAATGGTGATTTGTGGGGTATGTACCACCCTAGAGGGTTTATCAGAATCTTCAGGGTAGAAAAGGACAAAACTAACCTGATTAAACATAATTTGAAAAAGCATGTTAAATATTTGTTTTTAGAAAAGGTTTAGCCTATTAATTTCAAGATACAAATCATACAAGGTAGAAATGAAAAAACACTGGTGTAAAAAATGCATTCAATTTGTACTAATCCTGTAATCTGGAATTGTACTGTTCAACATGGTAGCCAATAGCCACTGGTGACTATTAGATAAAATTTAAAAGTTCACTTCCACACTAGCCACATTTCAAGTGCTCAACAGCCACATATAGATAGCAGCTACTGTACTAAACAGTGCTGATCCAGAAATTTTTTGTGATTTTAAGTAAATCTTTATTATTTTACATTATTTTCAGATAGATGCCTCTGTTCCTAAATGTGAAGAAATGAAGTAACATTCTAGGTAGCTGAGATTTTTGCCACAGGTTTTACAAGATTTCTGGAGTGAAGATTTATCCCAAACCACTGCACTTGAGATGCATTTCAATCTATTAATGTCAAAATGATCTTTTGCTTCAGGCTATCATTTGACATCTGCTTCTAACACATATCAAATGACTGAACCAAGTTTCCTAGGACAAGCTTTGTGGCCCAAAGAATTAGAGACAAGCTCACAGAAATCTAAATGACCAGGTCAGATTTGAAGATGAGATTATCACCATATGTAAGATTATAAAAATCAATTTATATGGTGGACAAAACAAGTTTTTAAGTTATATAAGAGACCATGGATATATTAGTTAAGATGGGAAAATTCGATTTAACTTATGGTTGTAATTCTACTATGACAAGAAATCTAAAAGTGCTTTTAGATTTACACCTACGTGTAGAGTAACAAATATTTAGGAAACTAGCACTACTTTATGAGAACAACAGAAAAGGACTCACAATGTGGAGATGTGACTCCAGGCAGGGCAGTAGGCTAGCTTTCAATTTAAAGCTGCCTGTTTTTTAGTTCATTCATGTTCTACTTTCTAGCTGACATCTTCAAGAGAGGAAGGTAAATATGCAGGGCAGGTAATGTCAGCAATTGAGCCATTCTGTTATGGTATGTAAAACATAAAATCACTATTTATTATTTGGTAATATGCCCAGCAAATACCCCTGACCCCAGAGGTATTTGTACATGATGAGCAGAGACCAGAAAAAGAGTGAGGATGCTATTTTACATTATTTGGAAACTGTAACTTTTTTATATTACTAATCCTAGCTATCTATTCTCTAGTAAGTGAAAACAAGAAGCAATTAATTTAAACAGGAAAATGGGAGAGAAAAGCAGATTAACAGTGGCATAAAGTGGCATATAAGAGAATTTTTAAACTACAAATATTAGACATAAGTTACAGAAACAGTCAAGGTACAGGCCATTTAGTAGGGGCAATTAGCTTGATATTAAGTAGAATATGACCATTAATTTTCAGAACAGTGAATCAAAAGTGTAAATTATTTTTAACTTTTATTTAAATTATTATTAAATTTATATTCACTATTAAGACGGAACATTTTTATACAATTTAATTTAGAAAGATTTCAATTCAAAATGAAACAAAACTCTTGACAGTTAAAGAAAACACTTCAATATAGTCAATTAAACATAACAGCTCATTTCCAGGCAATACTGGATCGCGTTACTGTAGTTATCAGACTTTCCAAAACTGTGTTCTGCAAAGCACTTTGTGTCCACTGAGACTTCAATAGATGGTTTACAAAAAAGGGGTTCTGACATCAAGTCTCAAATGCCGTGGGCCATATCCATTTTGCAGATTCATTGTATACAACATCTTAAAAGTTCTAAATTATACAGTAAAGACAGGTTAAATCTTATTTAATGCCACATTTCCCCAACTTACTTGATTATGCCACACTACCTTATTTTTTGGAGGGGGGTGATTCTTGAGGCATGGATACACCTTTTAACATCATATCTCCAGAGACTTTTCGGCTTGAAAAATACTATATATACTATTTAGAGTTCTGTAAGAACCAACACCACATTACAGACAAAATCTAAAGGATTACATTTCTAGACAGGAAAACCCAGTTACCCTATGGCATTTCGAAATAACTAAAACAAATGTATTTATAGTAATGGGGAAGGAGGTGTGACATATTAATTTCCTTCCCTAAAAATTAACAGAACGGATTCATCCTAAAATATAAAAAGGTGTGCACATTTTGTGTTGGTATGTTTTAGAAAGAAAGTTAAAATTCTACCTATTGATGCTATAAACTGACTTTAACCATTTCTTCAGGGACACATTATCTTCAAGAGGTAGACATACAGAATACACTATATTTCATTGATTAAAAGATACAATCAAGTGTAAGATACACTATTATTTTATATATTGTTAAGGAAAAACATGCTGCTAATTAAACTATGACATCCCATGGACTGTGAGACATCTTCCAATTTGAGCAATGTTAAAAATGTGAACAAACTTTCCTTTCTTCCTTCTTCCACATATATTCTTCACAATGTTGTTTTTTCCCTTTAAAGACAATACTGAGGAAGGGATCAATGCAAAAAGGGTAAGATTAAAGAGATTTCTGTTCCCCTTGCCCTTTCAATTACGTTCAGATATTACCATGACTATTTAAACTGATCAATCAAATAAATCACTTTTAATTGCTTTGCTGGATTCTAAAAAATTACCCCAGAGGAAAAACAAAGAACTGAGACAGTTCTTTAAGAGGGATGATTCATTGTAACTATTGTTTATTAAAAACTTAAACCATGTACTGAACCAAGTACTTTACATATATTATCATTTCATTTAATTCTCACCAAAACTCTATGAGGTAGACATTATTTTCATCCCTATTTTACAAATTAGGATGTTGAAGTATAGAGATATTAAATATAACTTGCATAGGGTTACAAAGTTATTAAGTGGCAGAGCCAGGACTCAAACACAGGTCTTTATGGCTCCAGAGCTTATGTTCTTTAACACTTTGCTATTAATCCAAATAACCCCACAAAGTCCCTTCTAAGTTTTAAGAATGAGCAAAAACCAAATTACTTAATTACTAGTAACTAATGTATTTGCTTAAAATAGGTCACATGACAAAAAGACAAATACTGCATGTTCTTACTCACACGTGGGACTCATAGGTAGGGAGTTTCTACTCAGAATGAGAGTTACTAGAGGATAGGACGAGTGTGGGGGTTACAGAGGGGGTGGGGGTGAAGAAAGGTTGGTTAATGGGCACAGTACATACAATTGGATAGAAGGAATAAGTTCTAACAATGGATAGCAGAGTAGAGTAGGGTGACTATAGTTAATAACAATGTTTTATATATTTCAGAATAGTTAAAAGAGAGGATTTGAAATGTTCCCAACACACAGAAATGATTAATGGATATCCCAAATACCCTGATGTGATCATTACACATTCTATGCATGGAACAAAATATCACATGACCCCATAAAAATGTACAAATATTATTTATCAATTGAAAAGTAAACATTTTGGTGTGCCAAAGTTTATCTTTCAACAGTTTGTTTAACCAAAGAGACAACTTCCTCCTATGTTTCTGTACATTAGGGATTAATAAATATTGGCTTTTAAATTGTACAACTTGATAAACTGTCAAAAAATAAATAGGCCAAATGTATTAAAATAATCATAATGTGCTATATGGATACATTTTATCCTGAACCTGTTTTATAAAACACATACACACACAGACACACACACATTTGCGTTTGTTTTGCTAAATCATGACAAAACTTAATGATTAAATATGGTAGTTTTTACTGAACGATTAAATAGGGTAGTTTTTCTTTGTTTTAATGCTTTTTGGTGTTTAACTGATAAACTAGAATATCTGAGATCTGATATCTCCAGGTTAATGATACAGGTCACTGTATTAATTCCAAAAGAACACACTGATGGGAGTGGGGTGGAAGGAAGACATTGAATGCTAGGTATTACAATTTAGATACTTGTTTTTTTCTATTTATGTGAATTGGGGAACGGGATGTATAATATATGTACTTGCACAGCTGCATTTCAATGCTTTAAAATGTGTTATCCACCAAAGCACATAAACAACTGAGCACTATCACACGCAGGCATTACCAGTGAGACCACCACCATGTCAGTGTGTCATTCATTATAATCTGAACCGTTGGGTCTAAAGCACCCATTCTGCACTGGGTCAACCAGGCAAGTGTGACCTTACCCATCATTCACAGCCTGGCAGATCACATGTCCCTGAGCATTGAACTGTAGAGCAAATCTTGTTAATTATCACAATGGTATGAATTTCTTAGTAATAAAAATTTTTAAAAACTTTAGGACAATTGTTCTGCAACTCAGACTTCTAGATAAGTGATCTGTATTTTTGGTCATTCTATAATTTAGCAAATGTCAAGTCCTTGGTCAGGAGTACACAGTCCAATTATGCCACCTGTCTTATTAAAAATAAGATATACTTATTGTGGTTTCCAGAAATGTATACTAAAGAGAAGACAAAGTCTGCCTATATTTGCTCCTGCAATTAGATAAAAGTTTTATTAATAAAATTTAAATGCATCCAGCAAGTTTCACATTTTGAATCTACCCCATTACTACAGGATCAAGCTGCCAAAATAAAGCAAAGTTTTCTAGATTTTACAAAACTGACATCCTCTATCATAATCACTGAAAACAATGAAGTGTTCAGTAATGGGTCACAGTTACTTGACAGTTGACATGTAACAATACCTGTCCTCTCCTCAGATCTTCACTTAGGGGAAAGAAAAAAACCTGAAAGGTGGTAAAAATAAAACAGGAAAAGGAAAAGAAACAATAAAACATTTTTTTTCAAAATCAATGATTATACTTTAATAGAGCATTTTCCCTATAGATAAAATAAGAAACCTATATAATATTGATATAGTAGAAATACTATAAAATCTATGTACTATACTATAGAATACTACATAATCTTTGAGGTTAAAAATGGCTGCACATTCACTAAACATGATCTCCCACACAAAGGCCTCATTTTCTATAATAAAATACTTATATAGTTGATTTTTTAAATATTTTTCAGTGCATCATGGGTACCTGTTATTTAAAGGAAGTCGAGGTAGCTATTTTCATACAACACATTGTTTAATACACATTGTATACAACACATTATATTGTGGCTATTTTATATAACACATTTCTATAAAACAAAAATAACCTCCATAATTTTATCATTTTGAAAACTTCATATTTAGATTTACTATCATTTATACCTACTCTATTGCAGTGGAGAAAAAAGTATCACTCTAGGTCAGGCTTATGATCCACTAAATGCTGTCTCTGACAGCACTGGCAAAGAATTTGTACAACAGAAGAGCCATAATTCCTACCTATCCATCCTCTAAACAGTCAAATATTCAAAAGCATATTAGCATCTTTAAGTAACTCACTAAAGAGTTCACCTAGACCAGTTAGGAAGCTAGTTTGTTTTTTATCTTGTACCAACCCTTACTTTGCTTACATAGTACTTCCTTTATTATCCTAAATTTGCTTCTTTAAACATTTGGCCTAGTTCTAGCCTATCATGTTCTGACCCACGTTTGAGTTTAACCACAAGGGTTTTTTTGTTTTGAACACCATGAGATTCGTGTGAGGTCTTAAAGCAGGAAGGCCAGTGTAAAGGAACTGAAGAAACTGCCTGTGTTTTTACTGAGGCACTGAGGTCTTTTTAAATTGTTCATATTTTAATGAGATTAAAATGATAAAAAACAGATAAGATTCATAATCATCCTATTCCTGACTTTCATGATTCATTCAGCAGATATTTATTAAGTCCACAATATGTCAGGGCCAGGCATTGTGCTGAATGCTGAGGATTCAGAGAGGGGGGGAAAAATGTCTGCTTTCAAGAATTCACAGTGTACTAGGGATGAGACCATAAATGTAAACTCCTACACAGACCAATCCTGAAATCTTTTAACCTGGAGAGAAATATTTTGATGTATTCACTCAAGTAAATGACTCTAAAAAAAACTATGTTACTCTGGTAAAATACAATTATCTGATAGGAACCTACTGGGGGAGGAAACGGTATAATAGTGAAAATATTAGACCTCTGAGTGGAACTTTTCAACCTTTCCCTCACTGTCTTCAATATTTCCAAATTGTATCAGAAGTAATTTACTTGAAATAGCTGAACAAGCAAAGGAAATTAAATATCTAAAGGCAATTTGTTAGAATTTAATTTTAATAAATCTTGGCAACACTGGCTCTGTTTGACATACTTTATGCCAGGATAGCAAGAAAATTCTTTGAAAACAGCAAATTGTGGAATCCTATCTGTCAAGTTCTGGAAAACATGATAGTAACTGAAATAACAAGGCTTTACCAAATGAGACCTCTTATAATACTCTATTTGTTTCTGGAAAATAGATGACCTCTAACTACTGGCTTATTTATACCCCGAATTTTTCCACAAAAGATTTGGAACAGCTACCCTGATATAAAACGAAGCACATGAATTGTATCCACCTGGCTTTGAATTATGGCTCTGCCATTTACTATTTATCATCTTTGTACCTTTTAAATTCTGAGATTTGGTTTCCTAATCTATAACAATGGGGACCATAATCCTACCCTGCTGGGTCACAGGAAGGATAAAATGAAATAGTAATGTAGCACAGTACCTGGCATACAGTTGGTGCTAAATAAATATGTTTTGTCCTTCCTTATCCAAATGCATTCCAGATAGAAAAAGGATAAGGTGGAATTCTAAACGATATTGTTTTCCTATCACACTGATACATGCCAAGCAGAAATGTGGACTGATCTTGAGTTGCAATTGTTAATGTTTGTATGTAAAAGTCAGGCTCAAAGCAAATTTAATTTCTTTCCACAAGTTCAGTACTTTGCGAACATTTTATTAACCTTTTAGCTATATTATTTAATGCAAAAAATTTTCTGGGGAAAAATATGACGAGCTCTTGCATACTGTTTTTCACACTACCCATCTAAAGGATTATTAAACATCATAAATTTGGCTTTTTAATAAAATATTTATAGTATTAGTCTGGTTAACAATTTTAAATAAAGTTCTTGTGATTCTGCCAGTCTTAAAAACATGATTTCCTTTCTTTCTTTCCTTTTCTTTCAACATATATCAATGTCTTTTCCATTGAAGAGCAGCATTTAGTTCAGGTTTTACAAGTATGATCCAAGTCGCAAAATACTAAGCACCAATCATAAGCACTATTACAACTCTGCGTGCGTTAAGGAGAACAAGCAAAATTGTTATACAGCAGCGGAGGTGACTGGGGGAAAAAGTGAAAAGCGATTTGAACTGATCCCCCGCCCTCTCCATTATACCGGAGAATGCAAGTGTCCCGCATCTCAAGATTAAACTGAGCCTCGGTTTTACTGACGTAACCAGTAACCCTATCTACTTCTCACACTGCGGAGGCCGGCAGGGCAGCGGCTGCCGCCAAGCACACCACTCATCAGAGCCTGCCCCGTTCCACCCCCGCGTTTCAGTCATGCTTTCCAGAAATGGGGTCACTCACTCAGTAACTATTACACACACGCAGCCTATCATCCTGTAATCCCCTAAAGTCCGCTGCGGGGAGAGAAGGCAGCAAAAAGTCAAGAAGGAAGAATCACAGACGCGCCACCATCAGGAATTGATTTTCCACTCCGGAGAGGAGCGGTGATACCTTGGAACGGGTCTTGTCTGGATTATTTTCGCAGACCCCGAGTTGTTCTGGGATAGGGGCGGTTCAGGAAAGCTCGGTGTAGTGATGCGCCCGGGGAAATTCTGTTTTGCCCTGTTTGGGTATATTGTTTGGGTTTTGGGCACTAGGATGGGTGACTCAGGGACGGTCACCAGATCCCGGGCGAGGAAAACCAGAAAGCCTTTTACGGCGGCCGCTGATCTCCTTGAATATCACCCTCTCACCTCCATGGACAGGAAACTCAAGTTAAACTCACAGGGACGGGGGTCTAGCTCTGCGACCTCAGAAACGGAGGGGGTAGGGGACCTTAGGCTTCCGCTTTCTTCTTTGCAGCAGCAGAAACCGCTGCGGCAGACGAGGGGGAGGCAAAACCCTGCACCCCCTACCCGAAACCCCCACAGGTCGCCGCCGCCCGTGCCCCGCGCGCCGGTCTCCCCGCAGCAGCCCCTCCCTCGGCTGGACTCGAGAGTCCCTGCTCCCCGGTGAACCCGATCCCTACCCCTCCCTCATCTCCCAAAGTCGCCAAGGTCCGGGAAAGCCCCCGACCCGGCTGGGCCAAACTTCCCAACTCCCCGCCGGCCCCCGCTCCGCCTCCCGCTTCCCCCACGCAAAGTTGATTAAAATTGGCTTCTTGCAAAGCCCCAGCGCCCACTCCAAACCCCACGCGCCACCACACTGGCAGCCCCCCGAGCGAGGGAAGGAGGTGAGGGTGAGGATGGAAGGAACAGACAGACCGGCCAATAGACCCACCCCAACAACCCAAACCAAAACCCTGAGCCCGGGGGAAAGACGCGAGCGGGATCAGAACGGGCCGAGTGGCCAGCTCCGGGGAGCGAAGCGAGCCGGCGGGGGCGCGAGGAGGAGATGCGCCGGCCCCGGCCGCCCTGCTGCACTCACCTCAGCGCTGTCGGACGGGCTCTCCACAGCCATCTTCTGCCACGGGTCCGCCAGCTGCGCCAGCGGCATCTTCCCCCCCGGCCCGCCGCCTTCACCGCCTCCTCCCTCCCCGCCCGCCCCACGGCCGGCCCCGCTCCGTCGCCGCCCGAGCCCCACGGCAGCGGCGGCGGCGGCGGCGGCGGCGGCAGCGGCAGCGGCAGCGGCAGCAGCAGCAGCAGCGGCGGCGGCCCCAGAGAGGGCTCGACGCCGACGCCGACCGCCCGAAAGCCGCGCGCCTGGCCAGAGACGCCCGCGCGCTGAGCGAGAGCCTCGCGCCTCCGCTGGGCACCGGGTCTCGCCCCTTTCTTCCTCTCCTCCTTCCGCCGCCGGGACTACGGCTCCGCCCCCCCCGCCGGTTCCCGCGCCCGCTCCCAGCAGAACAGCGACCGCCGCGCGCTCCCCCACTTCCGCTCACAACATGGCGCCTAAGCGATACCTGTCTCTCAAAGCGAGGCTCGGCCGCCGCCACCACCGCCGCGCGCACCCAGGGGCTGGGCTAGTGGAAGACACGCCCCCGGCCGCTGCGCTCCGCTCCTCCCTCTTCCCACCCCCCTCCTTCTGCGCCCCAACCTCAGCTTCTGGGCCTCGCCTACTTTCAGGAAGGGCGAGCCCAACAGATCTGGGGGCGTCGGCGGGAGGCGGGGGAAAGAAATGGGAAAGGCAGGAGGGGCGAAGGCTGGGAGCCTTTCACCGCCAAGGGTCCAAGGAGGTCGGAGGCTCCTTGGGAATGAGGGAGAACAGTGGTCCCCGCCCAGCTGGGGAGGGAGGTGGGCAAAGTACCGGGGGCGCAGTCCCGAGCCAAGGACCCGGGGAGGGGTGCGGAGTGTCTTTTCGGCTTGTCTCCTCCGGGGGTGCGTGCGTGCGGACGCGCCTAGTCTCTGGGCGCATCCCGTAATGGCCCAAGACCCTCCCTCTTCAGGGTCACATGCTGGGAAATCACCTGCCCCCCATCTCCCCCGACGGAGGCAAGGGAGGCTTCGTGCCTAGGAGCCTCCTGGGGGCTCGGCTCCCGGTTTGATTCAAGTCTTTTCAAGTTGACGCTCTTTTGTTAAATTGTGGCTATTTGGGATTAATTCCTCTTGTATTAGTCGCTTCCCCCGCACCGCCCCCAGCCCAAATTCTCCTCCCCAAGTGCGCAGAGCTCTCGGCCTTCAGCTGCGACCCTGGAACCGCTGCCCCCCGCCCCACGTCTGCTACCTAAATCTTCAAGAGGGGAAAACAGGGAGGTTCCTTAAGGCTGTCCCTCTCGGTAGAGGTTGGAGAATTATTTAAAAATATCTTGTAGGCAGGAGCGCGGGGTTCCTGCTCCTCTGTTGACTTTAAATAAGAGATTAGATTTAAAAATCAGGCTGGCCGTGGGCGGAGGAGGAGGAGGAGGGGGACAGAGGGAGGGGAGGGGTTCTGACTCCTCCTCCTGCCCAAGATGGGGAAGCCCTGGATTAAGGAAACCCAATGCCCCGACGGCGACGGAGCCCCACAGGACGGCGAGAGCTTTGGGGGGAAGGCCTGGGCGTCCGGGGTGCGTCCCAAGAGGACTCGACCCTGTGTTCACTGCGCCAGGAGCCGCTGCGCGCTAAGTGCGCCCGGGCAGAAATGTGTAAAAGTCGCAGGGCTGAGTGGAAAGCTACTGCAGCCCCTGGCTAGTCGCCCAGCGAGGGGAAGAGAAAAAGCAAAGGGAGATCTCCGAGCCGGCCTGTCCCTTCAAACCCTCAGGCCGTGGCCCAGGCATCCCGGTCTTCCCACGCCCAGCGACCACGGCGCGTCCGCTGCTGCGCTCCCAGCGCACGCCTATTAACAGCTTCCTTTCATCCTCCCGGGACCCAGACACCTGGAGAACCCTCGCCTGCCTCCCTAAGCAGGTGTGAGGATGAGATTAGAGCCCCAAACCCAGCCGGCCAGGTCTGCGCGGGCGGTGCGAGGTTTCTCGCTGGGCCTGCGAGAGGCAGGTGTTGGGCTCTTTCTGCTGCCTTCGCCAGCGCGCCCCTTGGCACAGGCTCGAGGCCGGGGAACCTCGTGGCCATTTAGGGAGGCTCCAACTGTTTAGGGAGCCTGAGAAGGCGGCAGGAAGTCCTCGTTGCGCGCCTTCTCCCGAAGCTTTGGACTCAGGGGGACCGCTCAGGTTGGACAACATCTGGGCAGACTCAACGTGGTCTGGGGAAGAAGGCGAATGGGGCCACTTGGCTCTTGCCTTTGTCACTTCCCTTCACATGCTATATTCAGGTGTTGCAAATCCAACCTGGGCCCAAACTCAGCTAATTTGGCAGCACCTTCTCTGTGTAATTCCCGACGGTAAAACGTGCTTGCAGAAGTTTGGAGGATAAGGAGTTGTGTACTATTTTGCATTTATGTACAAAATGCTTTATTCATTTACATTGCAGAGTCACATGACCACTCCTTATAGCGAAAAGAAGTTCGTTAATTCGGTTGGCTTAAAGTAAATTAGCTCCCCCTACCCTTTGATCAATTATTTCAGTTAACATTCTTGCATTAGTAAAAACATACATAGTTGAAGAGAGACCGTTATGTGGCTAACACTGTTCAGTGCTAATTACCCCCACGCAAAGAATGAATATTTTAAAATAAAGCAAATTGTATGCCATTTTCAGTATCAACTTTTATTCATCTCTGTTAACCTTGAGAACCAGAGGAATAACTTTTAAAACAGAGTTACCTGATCTGTAAAAGTAATGTGAGCGGTGGTCACGTTTCAGTGAATTAAGCATTACATGAACTGTTAATAATGGGTTAAAGTGGCCGGGTGCGGTGGCTCACCCCTGTAATCCCAGCACTTTGGGAGGCCCAGGTGGGCGGATTACCTGAGCTCAGGAGTTCCAGACTAGCCTGGCCGACATGGTGAAACCCGGTCTCTACTAAAAATACAAAATTAGCCGGGAGTGCACACCCGTAATGCCAGCTACTCGGAAGACTGAGGCAGGAGAATCGCTTGAACCCGGGAGACGGAGGTTGCAGTGAGCCGAGATCGTGCCATTGCACTCCAGCCTGGGCGACAAGATCAAAATTCTGTCTCAAAAACAAACAAACAAACAAACAAACAAACCAGTTAAAGTACCACTACCACAGATGTCTTGCACAGAGGATCAATTTGATAAGTATTTATGAATTGATTGAATTTATTTAGAAGAACATTATTCTTCCTTTTGCCCCAAAAGCAAAGAAAATGATTTTTTGTTGTTAACAATAAACTTTTTCTCTTTTATTTCTTCTATTAAATCCAAGAGCAGTGCAACCACTCTCTTTGGTTAGGAGAATTTGGAAAAATCAAATGAGGCTGGAGGATTTTTCTTGAAGGTGGTAGCAAAAAGAGTTACTTGAACATAGAAGCTGATATTGCCCTAAGCAGGATTACTTTTCCCCTCTGTTTAACAAAGGAAAACTCTAAGTGTAGCTGTTCAAAGAATAGCTGCCTCAGATCGCCAGACCTGCATGGGTTAATACGGTGGTTAGTAGCCACACATGGCTACTGAGCACTTCAAATGAGGTTGGCTGGTCAAAGTTGAGATGTGCTGTAAATGTGAAGTTCTTTCTAGATTTCAGACTTAGTAAAAAAAAAAAAAAAAGAATATAAAGTATCTCATTAATAATTTTTTATATTCACAACATGTTGAAATGATATTTTTGATATATTGGGTTAAATAAAATATTTCATTAAAATTAATTTCACCTTTTAAAAACTTTTTAATGTGGCTACTATAAATGTATACTTACATATGTGGCTTTCGAGACTTTTATGTATTCCTACAAGTCATATAATGTTAAGTGATATCTTCAGATTCCAATGTCTTTTTGGCTTCCTTAGTGCAGAATCAGCAGAAAGGGCTGATTCAGTTACCTACTGATCCCCACCCTCCCCAACAAATCTCCCAGTCAGAACCAAAATATTGGAAAGTTCTTACTTGAAACTACAGTAGAGCGAAACAGCAAACCTCAGTAGAAAATCTGAAGGAGGTTTCCAAGAAATCATTCCTAATGTATGACGGGACAACTAGATTTAACCTCCTCTGCCCCCAACAATTTCCTGCTATAATTATAACCTTTGTATACAAGTTTAAATGGGCATTTATTTAACAAAATAACATTTGTTCAAAAAATAGAGTTACATCAGTCTGGAAAAGTTGCAAGATGACTAACTATGGCTCATGGCACAATCTCTACCTCATATACATCCAAAGTTCACAGCTCTGTACATATAGATTTGTCACTACTGTAGAAAATCCCAAAAGTGTAATCATCATCACCTCTAGGAAAAAGTTTTTTCCTTTCATCTGGATTATCCAAATTATATTATCCAAAGCATATTTATTTCGATTCATATTTATCCAAAGCCTATTTATTTTTTCACAAAAAAAGGAAAGGTAATAGCCAGAGACTATTTAACTTTCTTTTCAGAGAGAAAGAAAGGTAAGATTTAGGCTCAAATCTTATCTCATATAAGACAATAGTTTAACAAAATACATGGTTACATATGTTTCATGTGTGTGAATTTTGTTTTTTCCTTGAAATGTCTCCAATAAAAATTATTAAGGCTATTTTCCTGATTGACACAGATCTTAAAGAACAGGCATTTCTACATCAATTTGAACATTTTATTTGAGAAAATTCAAATTTTGGAAAATGTAAGGTTCTAGGTTCCCTTCCAGATACAAAGTTCAAAGATTTTAGAGTTGCATATGATGAAAGACAGTAAAATCTATAAAGGTGAAGACAATCTATAATACAAATACATGAAATGTTTAACATTCTTTCCAGTTAGGCAGGATGGGGTCATGATAAGAGCAGAGACAGGCCTGTGTCCAAACTTCAGGATTCTTTATCTTAGCTTCAGCTTTGCTTAGACCGGCATGTAGTTGCTGTTCAACAAATATTTGCAGAATAAACTTTGTTTTTCTCATCTGAAAATAGGAATAATAATACTTGCCTTGTATGATTGGTGGGAAGATTAAATGGAGGTAATGTCTGTAAAGCATTAAGCATGGTGCCTGCCACATAGGAAACATTCAATAAATGGAGGTATTGTTATCAGCTGCAGAAAGGGAGTACTCCTGCATACATAATGTAATTCAAATATCTCACTCTTGAAAGTTACCTCGTTCCATTTGCTGTGTGAGCATTTTATTGTAGTGTGATCTATTTCTTTAGGGCACTCTTGTATCACAAAAAATGATACTGTAAGTAACCTGTGAAATGCAAATAAAAGAATGTAGAGCAACTTACTCTTCTGTTTTTTGAGCTACATATGTTGAAATGCAAATGATTACAGGTCAATTGCCTCATAGGCTATGATCAAAATCTAGTTTATGTAATGCTCAAAATAAACTAACAAATATATGATTCAAAGTGAACATTACCTGACTCATACTTATGTAGGGAGAATGAGAGGAAGAGGGAACTATGAAGGAGAGGCCTGTGTCAGACATGCTTTAATGTCTTCTTCTTTTATTGGTTTCCGAAATGTTTAATCCTTAGAGGTGTCATTTTCTTCCAAGAGTCATTTGAAGGGAAAGAATTATGGGGCTTTGATACTTGACAAGGAACTGAGAAGCCATTCTGGAAGCTTTAATAAGCTACTGTTTTACTTTAGTTTTCATTTTGCTAGAACTGAAAAGACCCTCTAAATTTTCTTGTTTATAAACACTAATTCATGAGGGAGATAATACATTAAAATTTCATTTCAAACTGATGTTGAAAACAGTTGCTTTGACATTAAGCAAAAATCTCAGTATAAAGTATTCCTTCAGAGAATAAACGTTCCCATTTTGTAACTATCAATTTACTTTGGTTGGTTAGAACAGTGGTTCTCACATTTTTTTTTTTTCAGTCCACAAACCATTTTGAAGCAAAAACCCAAGGACCACCAGTTCCTACTCATCGCCATGAAAAAAAATTTTCAAACTTTATTGAACTCTTGCTTTAAAACATGGCTGTTATTGTGGTTATGTTTTTTAAAACTTTATATTTGTGCTTTTGAATGCAAATTTGAGTCTGCAACTGGAAAAGATACTTTTTTTAAAAAATTCTTTTTTAGTGACTTGTATTTAAGACCAGCCCGTAGCCAGACCTCAACTGGAAGTGTCTTTGCAGAACACTATGGAATTAAATGGAACTCTATTCTTTGACCACCAGCTGAATCCCAAATCTCCATGTTTGGAAACTCTGCAGCTTTAATCACAAAAATTGTGTGAGTGAGGCACTATCAAATCAGGTCCATTGCTGGAAAAACTGCTCATGGATTAATAATGCCATATTTGTAAGTAAAGTACATTTTCATTAAGCAACAGATCAATTATATTTCAGTAGCTTATTTTCAAGTCATGTTCTTGGTAACTAATAAAATAAGAATAAAAACCTGGGAAGGGGTTAAACATTAAGGAATTCCTTTTTTAAATAAGAAAACTGAATTGAAATAACTTACAATTGCCTAGAAAATAAGAGATGAATTCTATAGATTAAATGGCTTTATTAAAAATTTTAAGACTAATAAGACTGTATGCAAATAGTGAGTTCACGTTTAAGCAAGAATAAGCCAATTCGAAGTAGTATTGGCAGTTTTGGACACTTTACCAAAAGTTTTGAACACTTTTTATAATGATGGTGATGATGATAATAATAGCTAGACACTTACTGAGTACTTACTGTGGGTCAGGCATTGATGTAAGTGTTTCACATGTAATTTAATCATCATTGCAATGCTAAGAGTACTAAATATATATTAATAGCAGCTAACAGGGCTGGGTGCAGTGGCTCACTCCTGTAATTCTAGCAGTTAGGGAGGCCGAGGCGGGAGGATCACCTGCGGTCAGGAGTTCGAGACCAGCCTGGCCAACATGGAGAAACCCTGTCTCTACTAAAAATACAAAAATTAGCCGGGTGTGGTGGCATGCGCCTGTAGTCCCAGCTACTCGGGAGGCTGAGGCAGGAGAATCAGTTGAACCCAGGAGGTGAATGTTGCAGTGAGCTGAGATTGTGCCACTGCACTCCAGCGTGGGCAACAGAATGAGACTCTGTCTCAAAAACAAAAAACAAAACAAAACAAAACAAAAAACAAACAAAAAAAAGTAGCTAACAGCTGTTGAGTACTTGCAAACTGTTAAATGATTTACATATGTTATCTCATTTTATTTAAACAATAGGTACTGTTAGCAAAGGTTAGTGTTTCATTCTGATAAAGAATGAGTATTTCTTACTATAATGAGTTCTCCCAAAGATTTCAGGAAAATGCTTAGGAAAATGTACCACAAAATACAATTAAATAAGTATTTAAACGACTATGTTTATTAAATATATTCATATGCTGTATTGCTCTGTTAGTCTTTATTTTATTTTGCCTTGGTGGACACTGTAAGATTCTATGAAATTTCATTTTGAAAAAAAAAGAAAATAAGTTTCAGCTTCTCCAAAGAGCAATATAAAGCTTTTGAAAGGGTGTTAAAATAGATAATTTTCAAATGAAAATTTTTGTTTTCATAGTTTACCATGGGTCTTTAGACCACTGTTATGGGTTGAATTATGATTCTCCCAAAAAAGATACGTTGAAGGTCTAATCCTCAGTACTTCAGAATGTGACCTTATTTGGAAATAGGAGTGTTGCAGATGTAATTAGTTAAAATGAGGTCATACTTGAGTAGGGTGGGCCCCTAATCCATTAGGACTGGTCTCCTTATAAGAAGATAGCCATGTGAAGACAGAGACACAGGGAGAATGCCAGGTAATGACAGAAGATTGGAATGATGCATCTACAAGCCAATGAATGCCACAGATTGCTGACAAACCACCAGAAGCTAGGAAGTGGCAAGGAGCTAGGAAGAGGCAAGGAAGGATTCCACACAGAGTCTCTGAGAGAACATGGCCCTGACAACATCTTGATTTTAGACTTCTAGCCTCTAGAACTCTGAGACAATAAATTTCTGTTGTTTTCAGCCACCCAGTTTATGGTACTTTGTTATGGCAGCCCTTGGAAACTAATACAACGACTGGGAAGATTTTTGCTTATACACTTGCAAAGCATTTTTCACTTCTGAAAACACTACATCCACTATTAAGGATTTCCTAAAATAGTAGGCATATCTCTGTAAGCAATAGGGAAAAAAATAACAACAGAGAGGAATTTGGAATGTGTTTACAAATGGATTAGGAATAGAGCCTAGAATTTAATTTCTTCAGGTTAAACATTTAATGCTAACAAAATAATCCCTGATTCTTCTTTATAGATCTCCAGAATCCAGACAACTCTATATATGAGTAATTTCCCCCTAATATGTACTCACTATTATTTATTAGACTGAAGTGAAAAAAATTATACTGTAGCTTCTTAAATCTTTCCTTCTGTCTGGGAAGTCCATGTTTGGGCAGACTTCGTTTTTCATTTAGGAGCTAACTCCTCTATACTTCTCTTCCTGTATTTCTCAAGGAGTTTTGTGGCATCACCATTTATTTAATTGACCATATCAGAAATATAGGGTTCATTATGTCATCCTACCCTCCTCCATCTCCCCTTCTTCTCGCACCTCCCACATTATTTTACTAGATTTTTGGATTCTCCTTTCTAATCTGGATTCTGTCAAACTCTCTCTCGCTCCACTACCCCCACCCCAGTTTGGGCCCTCCCCATCTTTGGCCTGAATTATGACAGCTCCCTTCAGAGCCTTCCTGACTTTCACCCATTCTCTACACAAGGGATAAAGGGTGCATCCTAAAATGAAAATGTTATCTTGTTCATCCTATGTGCTTAAAACCCACAGTGGCTTTCCATAGCTCAGGATAAAATCCTGGCACCTTTGCCTAGATGCAAGATGCCTACCTTTCTTTCTTTTTTGCCAGCCATTAATGGCAATATAAAAAAAATTAAGAATTTATCATGCTTTTTCTTATACAAACTGTATTTCAGGTGAACCGTATAGCATTAGTTGATGAAAGAATGGTCTTTACAGAAGAATTCTGGCTTATAAATGTAGAAGGAATGCTGGACTTAGAAAAGCACCACTTTGAGACCATCGACACTATGAAGAAACTGCATCAAGTAATGGGCAAAATAACCAGCTAGCATCATAATGTCAGGATCAAATTCACACATAACAATATTAACCTTAAATGTAAATGGGCCGAATGCCCCAATTAAAAGGCACAGACTGGCAAATTAGATAGAGTCAAGACCCACTGGTGTGCTGCATTCAGGAGACCCATCTCACGTGCAAAGACACACATAGGCTCAAAATAAAGGGATGGAGGAAGATTTACCAAGCAAATGGAAAGCAAAAAAAAAAAAAAAAAAAAAAGCAGGGGTTGCAATCCTAGTCTGTGATAAAATAGACTTCAAACCAACAAAGATCAAAAAAGACAAAGAAGGGCATTACATAATGGTAAAGGGATCAATTCAACAAGAAGAGCTAACTATCTTAAATATATATGCACTCAATATAGGAGAACCCAGATTCATAAAGCAAGTTCTTAGAGACGTACAAAGAGACTTAGACTCCCACACAATAATAGTGCAAGATTTTATCACCCCACTCTCAATATTAGACAGATCAATGAGACAGAAAATTAACAAGGATATTCAGGACTTGAACTCAGCTCTGAACCAAGCAGACCTAACAGACGTCTGCAGAACTCTCCACCCCAAATCAACAGAATAGACATTCTTCTGAGCACCACATAGAACTTATTCTAAAATCGACCACATAATTGGAAGTAAAACAGTCCTCAGCAAATGCAAAATAACGGAAGTCATGACAAACAGCCTCTCAGACCACAGTGCAATCAAATTAGAACTCAGGATTAAGAAACTCACTCAAAACTGCACAACTACATGGAAACTGAACAACCTGCTCCTGAATGACTACTGGGTACATAACAAAATTAAGGCAGAAATAAATAAGTTCTTTGAAACCAATGAGAACAAAGACACAACGTACCAGAATCTCTGGGACACAGCTAAAGGAGTATTTAGAGGGAAATTTGTAACACTAAATGCCCACAGGAGAAAGCAGGAAAGATCTAAAATTGACACCCTTACATCACAATTAAAAGAACTAGAGAAGCAAGAGCAAACACATTCAAAAGCTAGCAGAAGATAAGAAATAACTAAGATCAGAGCAGAACTGAAGGAGATACAGACATGAAAAACCCTTCAAAAAATCCATGAATCCAAGAGCTGGTTTTTTGAAAAGATTAACAAAACTGATAGACCACTAGCCAGATTAATAAAGAAGAAACAAGAGAAGATTCAAATAGACACAATAAAAAATGATAAATGGGAGATTATCACTGATCCCACAGAAATACAAACTACCATCAGAGAATAGTATAAACACCTCTATGCAAATAAACTAGAAAATCTAGAAGAAATGGATAAATTCCTGGACACATACACCCTCCCAAGACTAAACCAGGAATAAGTCAAATCCCTGAATAGACCAATAACAAGTTCTGAAATTGAGGCAGTAATTAATAGCCTACCAACCAAAGAAAGTCCAGGACCAGACGGATTCACAGCCGAATGCTACCAGAGGTACAAAGAGGAGCTGGTACCATTCCTTCTGAAACTATTCCAAACAACACAAAAAGAGGGACTCCTCCCTTTTATGAAGCCAGCATCATCCTGATACCAAAACTTGGCAGAGACACAACAAAAAAAGAAAATTTCAGGGCAATAACCCTGATGAACATTGATGTGAAAATCCTCAATAATATACTTGCAAACCAAATGCAGCAGCACATTAAAAAGCTTATCCACCATGATCAAGTCAGCTTTATCCCCGGGATGCAAGGCTGGTTCAACATACGCAAGTCAATAAACATAATCCATCACATAAACAGAACCAATGACAGAAAACACATGATTATCTCAATAGATGCAGAAAAGGCCTTCGACAAAATTCAACACCGCTTCATGCTAAAAACACTCAATAAATTAGGTATTGATTGAACATATCTCAAAATACTGAGAGCTATTTATGACAAACCCACAGCAAATATCATACTGAATGGGCAAAAGCTGTAAGCATTCCCTTTGAAAACTGGCACAAGACAAGGATGCCCTCTCTCACCACTCCTATTCAACATAGTATTGGAAGTTCTGGCCAGGGCAATGAGGCAAGAGACAGAAATAAAGCATATTCAAATAGGAAGAGAGGAAGTCAAATGATCTCTGTTTGCATGTATATTTAGAAAACCCCATCGTCTCAGCCCCAAAACTCCTTAAGCTGATAAGCAACTTCAGCAAAGTCTCAGGATACAAAATCAATGTGCAAAAATCACAAGCATTCCTATACACCAATAATAGACAAACAGAGAGCCAAATCATGAGCAAACTCCCATTCACAATTGCTACAAAGAGAATCAAATACCTAGGAATACAACTTACAATGGATGTGAAGGACCTCTTCAAGGAGAACTACAAACCACTGCTCAAGGAAATAAGAGAAGACACAAACAAATTAAAAATCATTCCATGCTCATGGATAGGAAGAATCAATATCATGAAAATAGCCATACTGCCCAAAGTAATTTATAGATTCAATGCTATTGCCATCAAGCTACCATTGACTTTCTTCACAGAACTAGAAAAAACTACTTTAAATTTCATATGGAACCAAAAAAGAGTCCATATAACCAAGACAATCCTAAGCAAAAAGAACAAACATGGAGGCATCACACTACTTGACTTCAGACTATACTACAAGGCTACAGTAACCAAAACAGCATGGTACTGGTACCAAAACAGATATATAGACCAATGGAACAGAATAGAGGCCTCAGAAATAACACCACACATCTACAGCCATCTCATCTTTGACAAACCTGACACAAACAAGCAATGGGGAAAGGATTCCCTATTTAATAAATGGTACTGGGAAAACTGGCTAGCCATATGCAGAAAACTGAAACTGGACCCCTTACTTACACCTTATACAAAAATTAACTCAAGATGTTTTAAAGATTTAAATGTAAGACCTAAATCCATGAAAAACCCTAGAAGAAAACCTAGGCAATACCATTCAGAACATAGGCATGGACAAAGACTTCATGGCTAAAACACCAAAAGCCATGGCAACAAAAGCCAAAATTGAACAATGTGATCTAATTAAACTAAAGAACTTATGCACAGCAAAAGAAACTATCATCAGAGTGAACAGGCAATCTACAGAATGGGAGAAAATTTTTGCAATCTATCCATGTGAGAAAGGGCTAATATCCAGAATCTACAAGGAACTTAAACAAATTTACAAGAAAAAAACAAACAACTCCATCAAAAAGTGGGCAAAGGATATGAACAGACACTTTTCAAAAGAAGACATTTATGCGACCAACAAACGTGAAAAAAAGCTTATCATCACTGGTCATTAGAGAAATGCAAATCAAAACCACAATGCGATACCATCTCACACCAGTTAGAATGGCGATCATTTAAAAAGTCAGGAAACAACACATACTGGAGAGGATGTGGAGAAATAGGAATGCTTTTACACTATTGGTTGGAGTGTAAATTAGAACCAACCCAAATGCCCATCAATGATAGACTGGATAAAGAAAATATGGCACATATACACCATGGAATACTATGCAGCCACAAAAAGGATTAGTTCATGTCCTTTGCAGGGACATGGATGAAGCTGGAAACCATCATTCTCCGCGAACTAACACAGGAACAGAAAGCTAAACACCACATGTTCTCACTCATAAGTGGAAGTTGAACAATGAGAACATATTGGCACAGGGAGGGGAGCATCACACACTGGGACCCGTCGGGGGGTGGGGGGCAAGGGGAGGGATAGCATTAGGAGAAATACCTAATGAAGATTATGGGTTGATGGGTGCAGCAAACCTCCATGGCACATGTATACCTATGTAACAAACCTGCATGTTCTGCACATGTATCTCAGAACTTAAAGTATAATAATAAAAAAAGAAAAGCACCACTTTGAAAACCATAATGGAATAATTGATTCAGGCAACAATCATAAATGAATAAAGCCATTAGATGAAAGGTGGATGGGGAACTTGAAATGGGAAGGATCAGGCTATCACCACCTGAACCCACTGATTAATCTCAGCATTGGTAAAGGTGAACAACCAGTCACTATAAGCCTCTTATGTCATGCAATAAGAAATACTTAGTACTACCTATGAAGTATTGTTTTCAAAAACCTGAAGCTGAATTCAGTTAAGCCTCTATAGCTTCACTGTCCAATACGGTAGCTATGACATGTGGATATTTAAATTCAAATTAATTAAAATAAAATAAATTTAAAAAATTCAGTTCCTTATTCACACCAGCCACATTTCACGTGTCAGTCTTCACCTGTGGCTATGGTATCAGACGGCGCACATTATAGAACATTCCCACCACGGCAGCGAGTTCTATTGGAAGGTACTGCTCTAGAGCTTTCATTTTTGCGGGGAGACAAAAGGACTAGAGAAATAAATTAAATGACACACAAGGAAGCAAATAGACAAATACGGAATGTGATATATTCTCTAGGTTTGGTTAACTTACTTTCTGCAGCAAGTCAATGGAATGAACGAAAAAGAGGAGGGGTAATTCTTTGCATTGAGAGAGGCAACCAGAGGTAATGTGTGGACCTTGTTTGGATCTTGATTTGAACAAACCAATTGTAACTACATTTTTGAGACCATCATGAAAATATGATTATGGACAGAATTTTGGTTGTTTTTAAATGTCGCTGCAAATTGGTATCCCATTTGGCTCTTGGAATCTGCCCATTTCCCCAACTTTAACATCTGTGGTAGCTTCAGGTGAGTTTTTCAGGTCTGATCACAAAACATCCTGGATATAATGAATGAGCAAGCAGGGAGCAAGGCTGAACCAGGCAAATGTGGGCATCTGGGATGGCAGAAGGGCTGTCCTTTCCCTGGCAGCAAAAGAACAGCCCACGGTAAACAAATCCCTGAGTGTGGCAGAACTTTAGGACCACTCTAGGCATGTATCACTCTTCTAGAGATGTCTGCTCTCTGGGAGCAAGACGGGGCTGTGGTTCTGTGAAGGCTTGGAGGCCGACCATATTATTAATAGCGGATAGTCATTCTGATGTGAAGCCAAGGCTAGATAGAACTGAGGTCCAGGATCAGGAGATGGGACTGGCAAAAATAAGAAAAGAAGGTAGGTCCAGGGCTGGAATTTCCACAAGGATATTATCAGCCTGGAAAATAGGATAAATCATGTGAACTCTAGAATCCTGGAGAGATGAGGGCCAGATAAGCAGATGGCTCTCTTCCTCCCTCCAGTGAGGAAAGGCTAAATTCTGGAGCCCCTTATCTGAAAGTGATAGAGAACAAAGATAAGAGAACCATTTTCAAACTCCACCTGGTAGATTGGTTTCCATTAGTTCCAGATTGGGCAACATTTGTTTCCTTTTGTTCCCTTTTTCCTGTTCACCCTAAATATGGATCATGTCTAAAGTTCTATTTTTATATTTTATTTTTAATTGTGGTAACAAATACATAACATAAAATTTGCCATCTTACCGATTTTGAAATGTATAGTTCATTAGTGCTCAGTACATTCATATTATTGTGCAACCAATCTCCAGAACATTTTCATCTTACAAAACTGAAACTCTGCACCCACTAAACAGCAACTCCCATTTTTTCCTCTATCCTCAGCCCCTGGCAACCACCATACTACTTTCCGTCTCTGTGAGTTTGACTATTCGAGATATATAAGTGAAATCATACAGTATTTGTCTTTTTGCGACTGGCTTATTTCACTTAGCATAATGTCCGCAAACTTCATTCATGTTGTAGCATGAGACAGGATTTCCTTCTTTTTGTTTTTTGTGACGAAGTCTTGCTCTGTTGCCTGGACTGGAGACTGGAGTGCAGCGGTGCAGTCATAGCTCACTGCAGCCTCAAACTCCTGGGCTCAAGCCATCCTCCCACCTCAACCTCTTGAGTAGCTGGGACTACAGGCGCATGCCACCACTCTTAGCTAATTTTTTATGTTTAGTAGAGATGGGGGGGGTTTCATTATGTTGCCTGGGCTGGTCTCGAACTCCTGGGCTCAAGCAATCCTTCTGCCTCAACCTCCCAAAGTGCTGGGCTTACAGGCATGAGCCACCGTGCCCGCACCCTCTTTAAGGCTGAAAAATATTAAATTGCATGTTGTGACATAATAAGAAATATGCATTAGGTCTCTTTCCCCAGTTCCTGACACAGAGCATCTAAAGCCATCATAATTTCCTGAATGATAGGAGTGCCTTTTGTTCTAATGAGGTGACTCTTGCTGGGCTTCTGGATGAGGGCTACTCACTAGAAAGACTGAGCATGATTAGAAACTTGGAACTTTCAAGCCCCCTACTCCACATCCTCCTGGGAAAAGAGAGAGACTTGAGATTGAGTTAATAATTGATCATGCCCAGGTGATGAAGCCTCCATAAAAAATCCCTAAACTATGGGGTTTGGAGAGCTTCCAGGCTGGCGAACACATCCATATGTTAGGAAAGTGGTGCATCCCAGCTCCATGAGGACAGAAGCACCTTTGCTTAGGACCCTTCTGGACTTCACTCTATATACCTGTTCCTCTGGCTGTTCATCCGTATCCTTTGTAATATCCTTTATAATAAACAGAATGTTTATGCCACATTTTGTTTATCCATTCATGGTCAATGGACACCTGGGTTGCTTCCACCTCTTGGATATTGTAAATAATTCTACTATGAATATGGGTGTGCAAATCCAAAGTTCTATCCTTGGCTATGTGGTAGATTGCAAAATGACCACAAAGTATTCCCCTTCCTGTATCCATGCTCCTTTGCAATGTGACTTTGCAGTCTCCCATCAAACTATAAAGTTTATTTTCCTACTATTTGAATCTAGGACAGCCTGATGACTAGCTTTGGCCAACAGAATGTAATGGAAGCAATGTGGTACTGGGTCCAAGTCTGAGCCTCAAGAAGCCTTGCACACTTCGGTTTTCTCTCTTGGAATTTGTGTGAACAAACCCAGGTTAGACTATTAAAGGATGAGAGGGCACATAGAGCAGAGATGAGCCATCTTAGATAAGGCTTGAAAGATGGGAGGGTTCCTGACCCAGATCAGCAAAGCTGACCTGATAGCTGACTGCAAATGCATGAGTGAACCCACAAGAGACAAGTACAAATGTCCAGCTGAACCCAGCCCAAATTGCCAGCCTGTGGAATTATAAACCAATCAATGGTTGTTGCCTTAAGCATTTGTGATTTGCTACGTGGCAATAGGTAACTAATACATATTATTTCTCTTTTAACTATGTACGTTTTTCTTTGGAAATCTAATATAATTTCATACTTCAATGATCACTTGAAAGACTCGAAATTATTCTCCCCAGCCTTGACCCTGCCTTTCTTACAGATCCATCTTGAATTTGCAACTCCTTGTTGAATACTACAACTGGATATCATGTTAACATTTCAAACTCAATATTTCCAAAATGGAATTTGTCATCCTATATCCAAGCCTTATGTTCTCCATTGATGTTTCTGTTTCTGCTGGTGGTACTACCATTGTTTCAACCACACTTGAAACCTCAGTGTCATCTGATTCCTCTTTCTTCTTTCCATAATTAAATGACATCTTTCAAAGTATCTTTTTGTCAACTTTACTCTCTTTGTGTCTATAGAACTACGGGCCTATCAATAGCTTCCCTACCTTTTTCCCACCTCTGGCCTCTGCATCCTCAATTTTTTTTTTTTTTTTTTTTTTTTTTGAGACAGAGTCTGGCTCTGTCGCCCAGGCTGGAGTGCAGTGGCGCCATCTCGGCTCACCGCAAGCCCCGCCTCCCGGGTTCACACCATTCTCCTGCCTCAGCCTCCCAAGTAGCTGGGACTATAGGCGCCTGCCACCACGCCTGGCTAATTTATTTTTTTTTGTATTTTTAGTAGAGACGGGGTTTCACCGTGTTAGTCAGGATGGTCTCGATCTCCTGACCTCGTGATCCACCCGCCTCGGCCTCCCAAAGTGCTGCGATTACAGGCGTGAGCCACCGCGCCCGCCCAAATTAATCTTATTTACCAGTTAAAGATTCTTCTGAGATACAGAATAATAAATTTATTCCTCAACTTTATTCACTACGGGCATATTTTCCTTTTGTCTGCTAATTCTAACATCTGGGTCATCTCCATTGATCCTCTCCATTGATTACCTTTTCTTCTGAGTATGGGTCTTGTTTTTCTATTTCTTCATATGTCTAACAATTTTGAATTATATCCTGGATATTGTAAATGACACATTTTAGGGATTCGGGATTCTGTTCTGTACCTTCAAAGGTCTTTTTGTTCGTTTTTGCAGGCAGCGAACTTGGTTGAGCTCAAATTCCAAACTCTCTCTCCCTTGTGGTAGGCAGCAGCTGAAATCTTAGTCCAATTTTTTTAGCCTTAGCTAGGCTTCTTGGAGTCTACCCTATACATGTGTACTTCCAGGATCAGCCAGAGATTTAGACAAAGTTTAAACTTAAGTACCCCCTTTCAAGCTCTCTCCTTTCAGAAATTTCCACCCCCTTTCCAAACTCTGTCCTCTGGTTCTTCAAGCCAATAAGACTGCTGGTTTTAGCTACCAGGCTCAGTGAAAACTGGGACGTGCTCTTCGGGCAAAAAGCTGTAAAATCAATATGGGAAACTCACAAAGATCTGGTGCTTTTCTTCAAGTATTGACCCCCTCTAGTATCTGCCTGCTTTTGTTTTTTCTCTGTGCCTTTAGGTAGGGTTTAAAAAATATTATTGTCCAATGTTTGTAGTTGTTATCTAGAGAAGGATGATCACATATAGGAACTACTCATATATTATCAGAAGCAGAACCACTTTGTTAAGTTTAAAACCTTCCATGATTCTCCATTGAAGTCTGTGGACCAAATCTAGGCCTTGGTATCTGTTATGAGCTCTCCCTAAATGGATTACCCATGCTTCCCCACTTATGCTAAGTACTTTCCTGTCTTTGAGTTTTTCCTTCCTGTTCAATGTCCTTTCCATCTCTGGCCATTAAAATAGTATCCATCTTTCAAGTGCCCCAGGGCTGGGTCCCGGGTCCCTGTCCTACTCTATTAACACTTTATCCCTGTTGATCTTGTCCAGGTCCATGGCTTTAAATACTGTCTATTTGCCAATGACTCACAATATATCTTCAGCCCTTATTCCTCTACTGAGTTCCAATTTTGTATATGTAATTGTCAACTTGATATCCCCACTTGGATGTCCAACAGGCATCTCAACTCAACATGGTCAAATTAGAATTCTTGTTCATCTCTCCCCTCAAATTCACTCTCTCTGTAGGCCTTCTCAATTCCAGTAAATGCCACCACCATTCACAAGCCAAAAGTCTGAGAGTCATCTACATTCTTGTACTTCCCTTGCACTCCACATACAGTCTGTCAGGAAGTCCTTTTGGCTCTGACTTCACAATAGATCCACTTTTCTCTAGCCCCTTGGCTACCATTAGAATTTAAGTCACCATGATCTTTCACTGGGACTCTTTCAGTAGCCTCCTGAGAGATGTTCCTGCTCCCGCTCTTACCTCCCTATAATGCATTCTTCACCCAGCAGCTACAGTGATCTTTAATGAAAACCAGATCATGTTATCCTCCTGCTCAGCCTGTCAGTGGTTTTCCAAAGCATTTAGACTAAAATCCAAATTCCTTTCTATGGCTTACATGGTCTTACATGATCTGAACCCTTTGACCTCATCTCTGATCACTCTCCCTTTTTCTCACTACACTCTGCCCACATTGGCCCTATTTCTGTTTCTTGATTTTACCAAGCTCTTTACATTTCCCTACAACACTCCACTCCTAAATCTTTATCTGCCCATTGTCTGTCTTCCCTATCAGGTTGCACTTTCTGTGAAAGTAGGGGCATTTCCAGTAAATTTTTCTTGAAAGAAGGAATGAATTCAACATCAATACACTTTCTCCATAAAGCCTTTCTTATACCTCTCTGATGGCAATACACTCTATGCTCCTTAAATTTTATGTCCGTGCCTCTTTTAGCATTTACTACCTCTTATATAATGTTATGGTGTTTTTTGTATGTGTTTTATCTTCCTTAAGTCATTAACTATGACATCAGAATGGGCAGAGTCCCTGCCTGATTCATCTGAGCATTCCCCATGTGGCATACTACAGGCCTTTGCACAGAGCAATGCTGATGAATGTTGAGTAAATGAGTGAATAACAAAGTCAATATTCATTTCTATTGAAAGGGAGTATTATTAATATTAAAAACAGTGCCAACAACGGTCTTAGGTTATTGCTAAATTTCTTTGGAATTAATGAAACATAATTTTTAGGTTATTGCTAAATTGCTTTGGAATTAATGAAACATAATTTACTCAATCAAGTCTATGTTATGAAGTTTTTTAAATATCATTAATGGTTTCATATCATTAATGGTTCTTAATGTTTTAGTGCTTCATTAGAAATAGTAGAGACTACTGAAGTATTCTGACTGAGGCACATTTGAACAACGCTCCCTGAAATGTTCATGCAACTAATATATCTAAATGTTATAAAAACATGCCAATGAGTCATGACTAATTTGGCCAGCAGAATTCCTTGGGTATATTCAATATAATGGATAGGTAGCAATTATAGAGTTTTACTCAAAAAGTTTGAATAGCGAGTTTTATCAAAATTCATTTAAACATAATTCCAGTCCCTAAAATGGAAAAGTTTTCACTTTAATTACACAAATATCAGACTTGAACCTTAAGTAGACTGCTTTTTATGATCTCATCTTCCTCCTTGGCTTCATTTTACTTATTCTTTCTAGTTTTCCATCCCTTGCTGCCGAACTATGCTTTTATTCTAGTACTATTTCAAGCTTCTACTCAGCATCTAAACTCGTTCACCAGACCCATTAATGTCATAAGAGCTTCACCTCAGAGAGACATACTTTTTTTTTTTTTTTTTTAGACAGAGTCTTGCTGTGTCGCCAGGCTGGAGTGCAATGGACTGATCTTGGCTCACTGCAACCTCCGCCTCCCAGGTTCAAGCGATTCTCCTGCGTCAGCCTCCCGAGTAGCTGGGATTACAGGCACCCACCACCAGGTCCAGCTAATTTTTGTATTTTTAGTAGAGACGGGGTTTCACCGTGTTGGACAGGATGGTCTCGATCTCTTGACCTCTTGATCTGCCCACCTCGGCCTCCCAAAGTGCTGGCATTACAGGCGTGAGCCACCGTGCCCAGCCAAGACATACTTTTTAATATTTTTTTAATCCAATAGAACTATTCACAAGTTTTATTGCCATAGTTTGCTGGTTATTTATAGTTCTTTTTACTTGCTGTGTTAACTGTTTGTATAACAAGATCAATGTTTTAGATTGTGAATTGTTTATTTGGGGTGATTGTTTACTTATTCCCATTTTCCCTGTTTTTGTATTTTGCACATATTCTGTTGTATTTTGCACAGGTTCAACCCAGAAGATTTCAATAAATTGAAAAGAGAAATTGAAGCATAGCCAATATGGAAAAATATATGATCGAAGACTATGTGACCAAGGTAAATTAAATGCAAAGTTAAGATGCTTCTAATCTTGAACTGCAAAAGACATTGCTCATAAGTGACAGTGTGGAACAAGGTATTAAATAATTCAAGACCATTGATGTCATTGTTATCTGTACAAACGTATTTGACTGAAGATGAAAAATCTTTTCTCCTTCAAGTTATTTTGTAGAAGAGATTTTCCCCTTTTCACACAAAATTTTTATTCTATTCATCTTTTTATCTCGGCGGTTAAGCTTTTAGAGTGGTGCACAAAAGCAAATGTAAAATGAAGTTGAAGTGTTGTACTTTGTATTTACACCAAGGAAGGTTTCTCATTTGAAATGTTTTTGACTGCAAAGAACTGAATACTTAAAGTAACTTAAGGAATAAGGGTATTCATTTCCTTATATAACAAGAGGACTAGTCGTTGGGTGATTGTGAGGTTAGTTAATTCAGTGGCTTGAAAATGCAGTTGGAGCCCAGGCTCTTTCCATATTTTTGGTCCTAGAATTCTCAGATAATTTGTTTGGTCCTCTGGCTCGTCCCATCATGGTTGCCAGATGTGCCCAACTGTTCTAGTTGTCATATGTAGACAATATAGTAGCCTAAGGAACAGTAGGTTCTCCTCATAGCTCTCTCTCTCTCTTTCTCTTTATTCAGAAGAAAATACCTTTTATAAACCCAACAACCTGCATATCTCCCCTCATGTCTCAGTGGCCAGGATTTGTTACATGCCCATACACTAGCTGCAAGGGAGGCTGGGAAAGCAGATATCTGTCAGTTGCAGCCTTCAATGCCTAGAGCTCCTTCAAGGCCCAATACAGTCCTCCTTCTATGTAGCTTTATCTCATACCACTCTCTCCCTTGCTGTCTCTGCTTCAGCCACACTTTCAGGCTTGTTGTTCTCTTAACAGGGCACGCATACATGAAGGCTTTGCACATACTATTCTCAGTGTTTAGACAGCTCTTCCTCCAGGTATCTGCATGACTTAATCCCTCATTTCCTTCAGGCAACATAAGAACAGAGACCACTCTACCTAAAATAGCAGCCTTCCCCTCCATTGTTCTCTATCCTTCTTCCCTGTTTAAATTTTTGATAGCTCTTAATGAGAGAGAGACAGAGTCTGAGTAAGCGAGAGAGAGAGATAGAAAGAATGTTTTTCTGGCTAGATTATAAGTTCTACTGGAACAAGGTGGTATGTTTTGTTCACCACTGTGCCTCCAGAGCATACAACAGTGACAGCTACATGGCAGGTACATCAAGAAATATTTGTTGATGAATGAATTAATGAAGTTGTATTCTCTGAGCAAGGAAGAAGGTAGGGACAGGCAATTCCTTGCTGGTGGACAATCAATAGTGTTAACCACAGGAGGAGATGCCAATAAGAGCACCTATGCTGAACACAGATCAGCTGGTAAGAGAAGGAAAATGGAGTGTTTGTGGGGTGAGTGGGGAAAACATAAAGCTACAGGGCCATGACCCAGCTCTACCAGGTGGCAACTTCCTGCAGGGGTTGGCAACCTCCCACAGTGTCTAGCACAATCTCAGGCACTAAGTAGATCATCATTGCACAGAATCAGTTATTGTATGTGGCTTTGTGAATGGTCCCCTCAGAAGCTCTAGAAAATGGCGACATCAGAATGTACTTCCTATTGACTACCCTATCTTGGAGACTATTCCATCCTTCAGATATATAGACTCAGCAATTCCTGATAATCCTTTCTACTTGCATGATGGTTGTATTAGTTTCCTAGGGTTGGCATAACAAAGTACCACAAACTGAGTGGCTTAAAACAATGGAAATGTATTCTCTTACGGTTCTGTTAACTAGAAGTCCAAAATCAGGTGTCAGCAGGGTGGTTTCTTCTGGAAGTTCTAAGGGAGAATTCCTTCCATACCCCTCTCCTAGCTTCTGGTGGTTGCTGGCAATCTGCGGCATTCCTTTGCTTATACCAAATAAGGTCACATTCTGAGGGTCTGGGTAGACATGAATTTTGGGGGACACTATTTAACCAAATATGGTAGTTAAATGCTTTCTAGGGGCCTTTGACCTTTGGCAACTTAATGGGAAAGAAATAATTGTCTTAAAGGAAAATCAGTTGCCTGTTTGAAGGCAAGTGAAGAACATTGTAATGAACTTCCTTCGTTATTAAAAAAATTATACTCCTATACATAAGTGTTTAACACATTCCTCTACATACAATTCTGTTAAACCTGTTTTATTTCTGAAGGGCTCCTTTTAAAATCTCTGAATACATTATAGGTATCGAGCAATTCTCTGTTTAATGCTCATGCACTATATGTATACATGTATGAAACTCTACATGAATACTGTAGATGGAAGACAACTTGCTTCACAGTGAATGATTAATGGCAAATAAGCATTTGAAAAGTTTCAAGAAAATTATATTAAAAGACAGCAAAAACAGCAACAGCAAATCCTTATTGAACAGTAATTAACAAAGAAGGATTCTTAATACAATTTCCCCAAGTGTGTCCAGTCAGTTATAAAGTTCTTCATTCAATCTCTCTCAGGGATTCTTCCTCCCATGAATATAAACTCAAGGAAACCCATTCATAAATTTCTCTGGTGCTTTTCTCCTACTACTTCTTGGATGTTCAGATGAACACAGATTTTAACATGCTGGACTCTCAGGATAAAAACTGACCAGTAATTTATCAGAGTTCTGTGGAAAATTGGTGAACTCACACCACTTCCTAGCATTGATAGAAAGAGGAAGAAAGGAAATAGGGGAGCAAGGAGCTAGTTAAAGTCCTAGAAAATTCCTTTTTGATCCTTGTGACAAAAGATGGGGAATGGATATCATGTTCTTTCCACATCTATAGAATATAGAGGAATTGGTAGATAAATTGATACAGATATAAAAGCACCATGTTCTTTCTCTTTTGTAATAATCATCACACTTATAATTACTTATTTATGATCTTACCCATTCTAATGTAAGTCCCATGAGAAATGGGAGTAAACATGTCTTACTTATTTTTTGTATCCCCAGAGCCTGGTCCACTGACTGGCAAAGGGAAATAATCAAATATTTGTTGAAGTGAATTGAAATAGAAAGGGTCTTAATTTCTTATGGATGTGAATAACTCCACTGATAAATACTGAATGAGATTTCCTGGCACCCTATTAGAAGCATCAATTCTTTTAGATCATGTATGTGTCTGACACTTCAAGGTGCTCCTAGTAACCATTCTCCCCACCTTTAGTTGGGAACATGGCCACCCAAAATGAACACTACATTTCCCAATTTCCCTGGCAACTCAGTGTGGCCAGTGGGATAGTGGCAGAAATGATGCTTGGCAGTTTCCAGGTGTGTCCCTTAAAAGACAGGTGGTGTGGCCGGGCGCCGTGGCTCACGCCTATAATCCCAGCACTTTGGGAGGCCAAGGCAGGCGGATCACAAGGTCAGGAGATTGAGACCATCCTGGCTAACACGGTGAAACCCCATCTCTACTAAAAATACAAAAAATTAGCCGGGTGTGGTGGTGGGCGCCTGTAGTCCCAGGTACTCGGGAGGCTGAGGCAGGAGAATGGCATGAACCCGGGAGGCGGAGCTTGCAGTGAGCCAAGAGCGCACCGCTGCACTCCAGCGTGCCTTTTGCTTCTCATCTTATTTTCCTTTTCTCCATCTAGCTGTTTAAAGCATGGATGTGATGGTAAGCTTTAGCCACCATTTTAGACAATGAGGATGAGGGCCACACCACAGGGTTGTAAAGAGCTTGGGTTCTTGAGGAATTGTGAAGCAGGGTTGCTATACTGGGTCCGAATTGAGTACTTTTCAATTTCTATGTGTGAGAGGAATAAATCTTTATCTCGTTTAAACCACAGTTATTTTAGGTCTTTGTTATTTGCTACCAAATCTAATCCTACTGATAGAAATAAGATTTTAGGGTGTTACAGCTGGAAGATCGCTCAATCAGAGCTTATGTAGTTCACTGCTCTCATTTGACTGCTGATGACCAGGGACATTAAATCATATACCAAGATCACAAAAGCAGAATGGGAATAAATCCAGGTCTAAAATCCAGTTCACTTCAGATCTTTCTTTCTTATTCCACGTTGCCTATTTAATGATATACATCTATCAAAGCAGTTTGTAACCTGATTCCTATTTTTTCCGTCGACTTAAGTTACATTACAGGTATCACCAGTCACAAGTAAATAACCTTTTAGTGAGTTGACTTGAGTATTTGATGGAAAAAGAGGTGCTCCTGCCATATCTGTTAATCCCTTAGCTGCGTGCTTGAAAATACCATAATTTTGTCTCTGTTTATGAGGGCATCAAATTGGGCTAATACAGCTGGATTATAAAATAATGCTTAACTAATTGGTATAGCCATATACAATATAATCTACTCTAACTTGAATGTTCTTTAGGCATAAGTTTAGGTTGATGCAAAAAATAGCTCCTTATTTTATTAAGTCTGTATGCCAAACTTATTAATAACTCATACTATTTTGTGGCTTACATAATAAAGGCTGAATAAAGAGGTCATGAGAGTTGATGCAGTTTCCAGAAGTTATTACCTTACAAAGAAGCTCAGGAGAAGGTATTGAGAGAAATCCTTAACTATCAAATACATTAATAGCATTCAAGGACAGAGGCAGGGACTTCTCTAGTGAGTTCTGGTTCTCATTCTGAAATTGCTTATGCTCCATTTCTTACTAGTATAAATCTTGGAACTATGATTGCTAGACATTAACCAAAGATCACACACATAATGATGATCCTTTTCCAATCGTAGACATGATTGGTGCCTGCCATCACAGAAACTGAATAGTAATGTATAGCAAGAAAAAAACAATTAAACACTGTCAAGAGGTTGACTATGGAATCTGTATGTCTGGGATGATAAAGTTGTTAGTTTGGATTCTAATAAGTTGGAATTTGTGGCAATTTTATTTGTATTAACCTTGTGCAAACCTTAAGAAAATTTAAGCAATAATTTAGTATAGAAATATTGAGGAGAATATATATTTATCTGATCTGGGGTGGCAGAATGTTTAAGAACATAAGCTGCACTCAGACAGCAGTTCATAAACATTTTGAGGTCAGGACCCTATGAGAATTTGATGGAATTTATGGGTTTATCTCTCCACAAACCCTACATACAATGGCAGACACATATTGGGATTATCTGCTTAGTACCTCTCTTCTGGGAACTGCTTTTCCATCTGCTTGATTGTCTATGAGCCCCAATCCTGGTACAACATGAACCCATCCATGTCTGCATTTGATTGGTTAGCAGATGACTACCTGACCCAAGGCAAGCCAATCAGAGTCTGAACCTAAGACTTTAGAACTGGAAAGGAGAAAGACAGCCAGTCTCTCTTCAAGATGCTTGAAAAAGTAAGACATAATGCTCAGAAGCACTTGTTAGTGTAGGGGATGAAAAATATCTTTTCCTCACACATCGCCAGGTTCATGGCTGAGGCCTCTGTAACAAAAGACAGATAAACAAGAAAAAAAGCATATAAATTTGTAAAATATAAGCTTTATGTGACATAGGAGCCTTCATAAGGAAATTAAAACACAAAGAAACAGGTAAAATTGTACACGTTTTCTGTTAGGTTTGATGGTGAAGTGGATAGTCTTAGAGAAGTATGATTGGATTAAAAAGTATGATCTAATGGTAATAAACTGGAGGGGAATTTAGCAATACCTGTTTGTTCAGATTCTTTATCTTCAGAAATAATGATTTTGGCTATGGTTTGAATGTGTCCCCCAAAGTTCCTGTGTTGGAAACTTAATCCCCAATGCAATCGTGTTGAGAGGTGGGGTCTTTAAGAGGTGATTAGGTCTGAGGGCTCTGCCACTATGAATGGATTAATGTTGCTATCATGAGAGCGGGTTTGTTATTTTGAGAGTGAGTTTGTTATAAAAACAAGCTTGGCCCTTTTTTGCTTTCTTTCTCTTGTGCTCTCTTGCCCTTCCACCTTCTGCCATGGGATGACACAGTAAGAAGACCCTTGTCAGATGCTGGCACCATGCTCTTGGACGTCACAGCCACCAGAACTGTGAGAAATAAATTTATTTTCTTTATACATTACCCAGTATGTGGCATTCTGTTATAGCAACACAAAACAGACTAAGACAACGTTCCTTTTTTTTTTTATGTTTTTGAGATGGAGTTTCACTCTGTCACCCAGGCTGGAGTGCAGTGGCCCAATCTTGGCTCACTGCAACCTCTGCCCCCCCGGGCTCAAGCGACTCTCCTGCCTCAGCCTCCCGGAGTAGCTGGGATTACAGGCACCCGCCACCATGCCTGGCTAATTTTTGTGTTTTTAGTGGAGACGGGGTTTCACCATGTTGGCCTGGCTGGTCTCAAACTCCTGACCTCAAGTGGCCCATCCCCACCTTGGCCTCTCAAAGTGCTGGGATTACAGGCATGAGCCACTGCACCCAGCCCGACAATGTTCCTTATAGATACAAGGAGGGCACCTCTTGAATGAGGATCTTATGACTTGCTTCAGGGGAAGGTTAGAGGATCCTTCCTAGGTTTTATGACCTGATTTAGGGGATAGGGGTGAGGGGAAGGTCAGAGAGTAAACTTCCTGCTTCTGTGGTTTTCTCAAATGCTAAGGCCCCATGTTTTGGGATAGTGTGTCCTGAACCCCATCATTAGCCATGTTTCCCATCACATGGAGGAAGTCAGTTTGCAAGGAAGAAGAATAAAGCCAAGGAGTATAAAGAAGTACGAGAGAATCCACTTCATAAGAGAATCTCGATGTATCTCTTATTCTAGTAGTTTCTAAGGCTCAGCAAATCACATATCTGATTTTAGATTTTATGAGAAATCTTTATCCTAACTTTCCTTTTTCTGCTCTAACAAGTTTGAGTATTTCTCACTTGCAACAGAAAGAGTACTCCTAATACACACAAGTGTACATGAAACTGTCCTTGCAATATCAGGGGATTCACTAGGAGCTAAGAAGTCCTCTGTGCATTAGTGTAATTACTCATGATCAAATGGATTTTGCTAATTAGACATGAATCTCCTATTAAATGAAGTAAGTTCTACATGTCTCCCATTTACAAAAAGTCTGTTAGCAGGTTAGATTATTGTATACGTGCATGTAACAAACTCTGTTTCATTAGCAGGGTCCTACAATTCAGACTTTCCCCTATTTCAGACTTCTCCATCTGTATTTACTAAGATTGTTTGAAAAAGTTTTAAGTGCTTTTAACATTAGTGTATTGATTTTCCTTTTGAATATAAAATGAGAAAGAAAAGAAACAATAGCACACCACTTTATTTCCTCCTGCTCTGGAAAGCAATCAGGTCCCAGCAAACCATAAAATAAAATTTATAGGTGTTCAGTTTGTGAACCAGAATGAAACTTTTATTAATTTACAGAAGGGTGTAGACTTTTCTAGTGACTTGAACCACAGAGTCTTTCCTCCAAGGTACTACCTTGCTGGTATACCTAGAAGCCATCTTATTTATCAGAAGGTCATGCTGCTGAGGATGGAATTACAGAGAGAGGAAATCAGATGATGATAAGCAATATAGTATCCAGGTTTTGCTAGATGCTAATGAACTACTCTTCTCAAAAACAAAATTGTAGTCGGTGGGAAAGTTATAAATATCCCTTTCATCACACTGACAATTTTTTCTTGGCAGCTGTTCTGCTGGATGGGTCCTGTATATCTTCTTGAATTTTATTAGTTTCCATCAGAGACATTGCCTTCTTTCTGACTTTTGCCTGATTGACCCAGTTCTTGGCTTCTGCCTTTACCTCCTGGGCCTGTAGTTCTTTATTACTTCTCAGGTTCAGCAAGTTTGATCAGGAGAAGGTCCACAGAAAGCTGGCTACTGAGAGCAACTCCACTTCCCATAATAAGAATAAATTTAATAAAATAACCAAAAAGATGGAACAATAACTTATGCAAAGTGTAGGGTCACAGCCTGAGAATAAGCTTGTAACCTAACTCTGAAAGAAGACACTTGGCTACTGGCGGATGGAGTAATTTTCTCCCGCCCAGTCTGCTCCCATTTCATTTATATGGGTCCTCCCCTTTTATAAATAGGTGGCTGTAATAGAGCCTCTGTGCTGAGAGATACTATGTTTGCAATAGAATAGGAGCTACATACAGTATGTTGTCAAATAAATTATCTTACAATGTGTAGGCTCCCCATACTTCCTGCTTTAAAATATTCATGCTTCCTTTCTTACTGTCCTCTTGATCTCATAAATTCTATTATGTTTCCAAAAGAGATTACTTATAGGCTTTAGAAATATACATGGGTCATGACATTTGTAGCCAGGATTTGACATTTAGATTAATTCTTATTCAAAACATGTCTTTCAAAATTAGCATAGAAGCCAAGGAAATATAGTCAAAGAAATGTGGTTATGCACACATTTCAGGGTTTTACTTCAGGCATTAAGTAGGAATTGGCTTTGGATGTGTAAAATCACAAATAACCACAGCAGAGTTCTTACAAGTAAGCCATCTTAGAATTGGATCCTCCAGCCCCGGTCAAACCTTCAGATGACGGCAGCTGTGGCTGACATTTTGACGTTAACCTTAAGAGAGACCAAGGGCCAGAAACTCCTAACTAAACTACTAAAAAGTTTCTGATCTGCAGCTACTGTGAGCTAGTAAATGTTTATTGTTGCTTTAAGTTGCTAAATGTGAGGTAGTTTGTTATGCAGTAATAGATAACTGATGAAGCCTGTAAGGTACTATGTAATCTTGTTCAAGGATATTTCTCTGATTCCACCTTCTACTACTGTTCCCACTGCCCCCTAACACCAGCCATGGTGATAGCTTTAATATTTAAAAAAAAATCCCATGAGATACATAACAGAAGGATATCAAGAAAGATTCAGAACTGCCATGAAAGGACTATAAATTTGAATTGAAGGTCATAAAACAAGACCTGACCAAATGGAAAGACACTTCAAATATTAGAGAAAGAGACAACATAAAAAACTTGATTCTCAGCTGGGCACAGTGGCTCATGCCTGTAATCTCAGCACTTTGGGAGGCCAAGGTAGGAGGATGGCTTGAGGCCAGGAGTTTAAGATCAGCTTGGGCAACATAGTGAGACCCTATCAGTAGAAAACTAAAAAAGTTAGCTAGGTGTGGTGGTGCACACCTGTAGTCTCAGGTACTCAGGAGGCTGAAGCAGGAGGATCGCTTGAGTCCAGGAGGTTGAGGCTGCAGTGAGCTATGATCACACCTTTGCACTCCAGCCTGGGTGACAGAGTTGAGACTCTGTCTCTAAAAAAACCAAAAACCTTGATTCTCTTCAAATTCTTATACAAATTCAATTAATTCAAGCTAGAACCCTAATAGGTGATTTTTTTTGTATGTCTTTTAAAAAACTGAATAAAATATTCTTTTTTCTTGAGTAGAAGAATGTCTGAGAAAAGTCAACGTTTTAGAAAATATCAGAATATAAAGGGCAATACGTTTTGCCAAATAAGTGAACATATTATAAGACCCAGTCAATATGGTAATTAAATAAGAATAGACAAATAGTTCAATGGAACAATATAGAGAGTCCAGAAAAAGATTTCAATACATACAAGAATTTAATACATGACAAGTAATCGTGGGAAGGACAGGGCATTGTGGGAAAGAATGGAGAATTGTTGGAGAGAGCAGAGAATTGGAGGAGCAACAAGGAATTATGTGAAAGACAGGGAATTTTAAGAAAGCAGAAGAGGGAGGGAATTCTGGGGGAAATAGGGAATTGAGGGAGATAACACAGAAATGTGGGAGAGACAAGAAATTGTAGGAGAAAACAAAAAATTGTGGAAGAGCATAGAGAATTGTGTGAGATAATGAGAACTGGGTGAAAGATATGGAATTGTGTAAGACTGGGAATTGTATGAGACACAGTTAATGAGAGAGAGAGAGAGAATTGTGTGAGACACAGGAAATTGTGATAGAAACAGAATTGTAATAGAGACCGTGAATTGTAGGAGGGAATGGAGAATTTGGCCACAACAGGAAATTGTGAGAGAGACAGAATTGTGTGAGACAAGGAGTCAAGAAAGAAATCAGAGAATAGTAGGAGAGACAAGGAACTGTGGGAGAAAACAGAATCGTGGCAGAGGATGGACAATTGTGGGGGAAATTGGATGATTGTGGGAGAGATAGTGAATTGTGGGAGAACTGTGGGAGAGACAAGGAATTGCATGAGTGACAAGAATTTGCGTGAATGACTGGGAATTGAACGAGAGTGGAGAATTGTGGGAGACAAATAATTGTGGGACAAAATGGAGAATTATAGAAGAAATAGGGAATTGTGGGAGAGAATGGAGAATTGTGGCAGAGAATAGGGAATTGTGAGAAAGATGGAATTGTGGGAGAAACAGGAATGAGGAAGAAAATGGAGAATTGTGGGAGAGATGGGGAACTGTGGGAGAGAATGGAAGAATTATAAAACAGAAGGGAGAAATGTGGGCGAAAGATGGACTTAATATTAAATACCTAGGGCATGCACAAGTGTCCTGTGCATCTGGAAGAAAATAAAATTGGACCTTATACATTGTAGTCAAAAATAAATAAATTTAAGCTGGATTAAATAAATAAAAAACAGAACATCCCATCAAAAAGTCTAGGAAACTACATGTAGAAGCTGGAGTGAGTTGGACCTTCTTAATCAGAACTGGGCTGCGGTATATTTGACTTTATAGAAATGTAAAAATGCCCACAAAGTTAATGGACAAACAATATATTTGGAAAAACATTGGCAATAGCAGACAAACACAATAATATCTTTAATAAAAGGAACTTTTTAACTCAATATAAAAATGGGCAAAGGATTTAAAGAGGCAGTTATTTCAAAAATCACTTTTGAAAGTAATTTATTAACTTAATTTTTTGAAGGGACACATGTTTTACTAAACAATTGAAAAACATTAAAAATCTAGATCAGCTTACTCTTTATAGGTTTCAACAATATCCTTTGTAGAATAGGCAATTTGAAGATAAATATAAAAATCATTGCTGTTACATGTCCTAAGCTTTCAACATTTCTATTTTATACATATAATTTCTCTGCAAATAGAAAAATGGGACAAAGAGCAAATCCAGATGGTCAACAACACAAAAAAAGATACTCTTAGCAAAGGGAAACACAAATTAAAGTAACAATACTATTTTGCCAATGAAACAGGTACAAAATTTGAAAGGATCTATAACAATTATTGTTGGTTGAATGCAGGGAAAAGGGCACTCTCATTTATTGCTAGAGGAAATTTGATCTGCTACAGTAAATTTGATCTGCTACAGCTTTTTGCAAGACAATCTGGCAACATCTATTAAAACTAAAAATACACATACCAGTGGACAGAGTCATCCCTTTTCAGGGTATCTAACTCTTAGAAATTAAAAACAACAATTGTGAACACACACACACACACACACACACACACACACACACACAACTTATAGTGGTAGAAGATGGTTACCAAAGTCAATGCCCATCAATAGGAAATGGTTGAATAAATTATTGTATATCCATCCAATGCAGTATTGTTCAGTCAGCTAAAAAATGAATGAGGGGTATACTAGTGTACTTGAAAACTTCCAAATGGTATTTTTGAGTGAGAAAAGCAAGATGCAGAAAACACGTATAATATAATCTTATCTTTCTAATGCAATGACCAAAATAACCCCTTATTTGTGTATGAGCATACAAGCATATGTGTGTGTTATGAATAAAATTATATGAGCTTCGAGAATATATGTATGGATAGACTAAATTGCTATCATGGATTATTTGGAAGGGAGATATGTGCAGGAGGTGGGGCAAGCTTCAGAAGGGGAGAGGGAAGCCAAGCTGAACAGGAAAAAGAAGGAAAAAAGACTGCACCGAAAATCCAAATGTGTATAATATGATCACATTTATGCATTTTTGTAAAATCATATTTGTGGGTAGAAATGTAAAAAGAAAAAAGTTTTAAATGTAAAGATTCACTTTTTAAAAATAGGAAATTAAGTGTTCTGATCTCAAGGCATAATTTGAAAACATTTTTATATGGTGAATTCCTGCCATGAAATTCTTTTCATTTTTTCTTCTTTCCTTTTTCTTCTTTTACTAAAAGCCAAAGAACCAGAAAAAGTGGTAATGCAGAAGTTCTGATTGAGCTCTGTTTACCATACATTTTCCCTAAGGAAAGAGAATGACATTTGCCAATGCACCCTGAAATTTTCCACGGAGATGCCCTTTATCAGAGAACAATAAATTCATATTTTGCATTCTACTCTTTTATATATCCATGTTTGTGTTTTAAATAATATAAAAATATTATATGTTTGTGATATCATAAAATATAACATATTTTATATTTTTATATTGAAATATAAATATATTTTTATATTGAAATATAAATATATTTTTATAGTAATATATATTTATATTAATATATATTTTTATAGTAATATATATTTATATTAATATATATTTATATTAAAATATAAATATATTTTTATATGAATATATATTTACATTAAAATATAAATATATTTTTATATGAATATATATTTACATTAAAATATAAATATATTTTTATATGAATATATATTTACATTAAAATATAAATATATTTTTATATGAATATATATTTACATTAAAATATAAATATATTTTTATATGAATATATATTTACATTAAAATATAAATATATTTTTATATGAATATATATTTACATTAAAATATAAATATATTTTTATATGAATATATATTTACATTAAAATATAAATATATTTTTATATGAATATATATTTACATTAAAATATAAATATATTTTTATATGAATATATATTTACATTAAAATATAAATATATTTTTATATGAATATATATTTACATTAAAATATAAATATATTTACATTAAAATATAAATATATTATATTAAAATATAAATATATATTATATTAAAATAGAAATATATATTATATTAAAATAGAAATATATTTTATATTAAAATAGAAATATATTTTATATTAAAATATAAATACATTTTATATTTATATATAGTTTATATTAATACATAGTTTATATTAATATATATATTTTATATTAAAATAGAAATATATTTTATATTAAAATAGAAATATATTTTTATATAAAATAGAAATATATTTTATATTAAAATAGAAATATATTTTTATATAAAATAGAAATATATTTTATATTAAAATAGAAATATATTTTATATTAAAATAGAAATATATTTTATATTAAAATAGAAATATATTTTATATTAAAATAGAAATATTTTTTATATTAAAATAGAAATATATTTTTATAATAAAATAGAAATATATTTTTATAATAAAATAGAAATATATTTTTATAATAAAATAGAAATATATTTTTATAATAAAATAGAAATATATTTTTATAATAAAATAGAAATATATTTTTATAATAAAATAGAAATATATTTTTATAATAAAATAGAAATATATTTTTATAATAAAATAGAAATATATTGTTAAAATAAAATAAAAATATATTGTTATAATAAAATAGAAATATATTGTTATAATAAAATAGAAATATATTGTTACAATAAAATAGAAATATATTGTTATAATAAAATAGAAATATATTTTTATAATAAAATAGAAATATGTTGTTATAATAAAATATAAATATATTTTTATAATAAAATATAAAAATATTTAAATTACTTAGTCAAATTATTTAATGTCCTATTTGACTCTATATTGGTTAGGGTCTTGCCTGGAAACAGATGGCCCATTCAAACTGGGTAACCGAGGAGGGTTTAATAGAGGGACTATTTACAAAAGTATCCTCAGGGATTAGGGAAACCAGGAAGGGCTAGTGCAGTACCCTGGGATAAGTAATGTTGAGGAGCTATTACCACCTCTAGGCCTGGAGGAGCAAAAGGAGAGATTGGCTATTGTGACTCAGCTATCTGTAGAGGGCTGTCTGACAGTAGCTGTGGCCTTCCACGGTGGGAGATGCAGCCAACCTGTAGAGATCCTGTGGAGACAGAACTGGAAGAATCAATACTTCTTGCGCCCTCTGATCTCCCATTGGTGCCCCTCGTTCTTCAAACCCAACTGGGAGCCAGAAGACGAGGGAGCCCATTGATGCATTGCATACAGGTCAGCCTCCAGGAGCACAGAATCACGTAGAGAGGGGTAGAGAGTGGATCTGGAGTGGGGCAAAGATATTCATCACTCTCTTCCACAATCAATTTCTTCAGAAAGTTTGATGGCTGATGAAGACGGACCATAATATTTTATCCATGGCTTAACTTAACCCACAGAAGTTGGTCTCATACTGATGGTAATCTATATTTGAAAAGCTTAGCATGAAGCCACATGACACTCAGTATTATATGACTTAATTACTTAAGTAATTAGATGCTACCCGAAACACAGAAGAAAAGGTCCTGAGTTTAGGACAAGTAAACCCTGCTAGCGGTTGGGAATGACAACAGGGAAAGAAAAGCTGAAGTTTTCTTGAGGAGGAAGGAAAAGCTCAGGGCATAGGGGATGAGATTCAGGATACAAATCTAATATAACAATTTTGCCTAAAGTTGGTAGGTTCAGATGTATGTACTGTACATGTAGGCCAAAGACCATTTGTCCAGGAGTTAGAACACCAGGGTTCTGTAGGTATATACATAAGAATGGAAGAATGAAATTATTAAAAAAACATTAAAAAAGAAAAAAAAAAGGAACACCTGGGTCCTAGATCCCTGTTACTCCTTAGTTCTGTGACTTTGGTAAATTATTTTTTCTCCCCGGGCTTGTTTCATTCTCCGTATAAGAAGAGGTTAGGTTTCCATTCAGTTATGCGTTATGTGATGTTATTATTTCACCCAATCAGAAATCTTAAAAATGACTTAATGAAAACCTTAAAGCTAAGTTAGAAAACAGTTCAGAATATTCTGAACAATAGTCAAATTAAAATGACCATTTCAAACAACTTCTAATTTTCCCTTTAGGGTACCTTCACCATGCAATTCAGCAGGCCACCACAGACAATAAATATCCCTGTTCAATAAACACCAAGTTGAAAGTATAATATCCTTAAAGAACACTATCATTGGGTAATGACAATGGAGCATTTTAGGAAGAGGCAATTAAAAGCAGAGGATAATCTGGTTTCAGTATATTGTATTAAAGCTGAAAACCACTGACTAATCTACATCTTCTTGTAGTTTCGCAGAGAAATCTCAGAAGAAAAAAACTGGTAAAAATGTAAAAGGAGTGGAAAAAATTCTGTCTCTCTCATGCTGTCACTCATTCATTCTCTCTCATTCTCATGATTGGAGAAAAAATACTGATACCTATAGAGATATTTTGGTGACTGTACTTGCTATCCATAGTATCTGTTATTTTTAGAGTTAGATTGATTTACGTCTACTTGATTAATTCACATCAACAATAAAAAGCAGGAGAGGGTCCCTCAAAACAGGAAGAGGTGGAAGAAACTTATAATTTGTCAAGATATGAGTATCTTTATTTTAGATATATAAAGCTTGGAATACAGAATAATACCTAGAATCCAAGAAAGCCAATATTTCATGATAGTCCATGTTGTATGGAGGAAGGCATTCTATGATAGAATATGGCATGGCCCATTACTCAGTCTTTCTTCTTCGCTAACTTGTCTCTCATCTGTGAGGTTCCACACACTCTTTTCAATAATCCAGTTAAACTCTGAAAAAGCACTTTAGCCTATTCTCCTTTTATGACTCCCCTCCCAACACAGAAACCTAAAAGTATCAAGAACCCAAAAGCAACCTATTGGCTTGCACTGAATGCCTGTGCCCCTGGGAACACACCACGGATAGTTGAGGAATCACCATCATTATTCCCCAGGACTAGTTTCCCTCCCTTGAGTACGATTTACATTTTATTTGGAAGTTATGTATATAAAAAAAGTCCTAGTGGATTCCCATGTTGTTAGAAATGATTCTTTTTCTTTGGCTCTCATTTAAAAATGAGAATTACAAGAGAATCTCTCAGGACTCTTTATTGTTGCTTAATAAAACACATTAGTGGTATAGCTGTCCCTTGACTGGAGCTCAACCGGAGCTCAAACAGCACAATGTGGGAAGCGTGAATTATTACATCATCCTTCACTCTGTTTGTGCTTTTTCACTTAATAATGCTCTTTTACATAAAGTGTAAGTGGGCCACCTAAGAAATGATTACAGTCTCATGCTTAATAGGTGGCACATTCGCTTGCTGCTGCCTCTGCAAAAGTTGTTCCGTGATCAAAGCATTTAATTTTTATTTCAATCCTCTTTCATTATTTCTGTTAACAAATTTTGGCACCAAATAAAGGAACACATACATAAATGAAGTAATAAACAGCTTGTTCCTGGAGAAAATTGAGTGTTAGCAGAGACATGCTACTATTGATAATTCAACTAAAGTGTTTATAACTTATCATTCCTTATTAGAAAGTACTGTGACATTTCACTGTACCAGTTTAGTCCTCCTACCCCCAAAGGATTCCTTAAGATAAACAAGCATATGTGTTTGAAAAATAAAATAAAATAAAAAAAAGAACAGTAGTAGATTTGCTGAGAAAAATACATCCAAAGTCAATCTATGGGGATGCTGGAATGTTCTCTATTTAGTTTTGTTTATTTTCTACTCATATTTCTATGCAAGAATGTGGAGTAATAATTAAGGCATTTCTAAGGAAATGAGCATAATTATTGATTTGCAGTGTTATTTATGGAGAAGCCACTAGCAAGATGCATTTATGCCTAGGGTTTATTTTTGTCTTGATTAGGAAGTAACCATATGAATTGAGCGCTATCACAAATGGATTATGTACCTCATTTGTTTACTGAAACTCTGGGTTCTTTGTGGGCATGGACCTGAAGGGGATGGTAAGGCCCCTCCTCATATTTTCTCTAAGTTCAGAGATTTAATACCAGTTTTAAGGAGTTTGTTTTCTCGTCTGCAAGAATTGAGCCTCTGGGCTCTTATGCTTTCATGTTTATCCTTGGAAAAGCAATACGTCTATATTATGAGGTACTTTTAGTAAGACATTTATTACTTATAATCTTTAAAATATTGTTGTATTTTCATTAAAGTTTATAGTGATTTTCTCTTGCAACTTGATCCAGACCCTGGAATTCATGCGAAATGGCTTAAATTTTCTGTATTTTTGAGATTAAAAACAAACGCACATACTAGTAAGACATTTGTAATAGGTGGAGTATGTGTGACATTAAAACTACAGGATTATAATGGCTCTACCGTGACCACTTTGACTTATTTAGGACATTTATTAAAGGTCAGAGAAATGCTGCTTTTAGGTGTCAATGGAACCAATGGTAATTTGAAATTCAAAAGGTTATCATACCCTCTCTGCAGCAAATTTGGCTTTCTCTCCCTCCTCCCTACCCTGTCCTCACTCTCAATTGTAAAAACAATATTATAACATCTAAGAGTGCTCAGAGAAAAAACTTCAAATTCCTAATATCACTACTATCATTTCTGTTTGTTGGTTTTACTCTTTGCCCATACACATTTATGTTTTTAAACATAGTAGCAATCATACAACACTGTATTCTTAAACATATTCAACCTGTATATTGTATTTAATACATGATATTGTATTCTTTTTAAATGTTTATTTTACTTTTTAAATCGACAAATAAAATTGTACATATTTGTCATGTACAACATGACATTTTGAAATCCATGTATTTGTGGAATGGTTAAATTGAGCTAATCAACATATGCATTATCTCACATAATTATCGTTTTTGTGGTGAGAATACTTAAAGTGTAAATTCGTAACATTTTTCAAGACTACAATATGTTGTTATTAACGACAGTCACCATGTTATACAATAGATCTCTTGAACTTATTCCTCCTATGTAACTGAAATTTGTATTTTGCTTGTTATTCTCAACTCTCTTTTGAAAAGAGACCTGGAATTTTCTTTCTTTCTTTCTTTTATTTTTTTATTTTTTGAGATGGAGTCTCGCTCTGTTGCCTAGGCTGGAGTGCAGTGGCGTGATCACTGCAACCTCCGCCTCCGGGGTTCATGCCATTCTCCTGTCTCAGCCTCCTGAGTAGCTGGGATTACAGGCACGTGCCATAACGCCTGGCTAATTTTTTGTATTTTCAGTAGAGACGGGGTTTCACCGTGTTAGCCAGGCTGGTCTCGATCTCCTGACCTCGTGATCCACCTGCCTCGGTCTCCCAAAGTGCTGAGATTACAGGCGTGAGCTACCGCGCCCGGCCGAGATCTGACATTTTCTGTAGGGATATTCTAGCTGGAAGAAGTCAGAGAGAAAGAGAGAGAGAGAGAGAGAGAGAGAGAAAATGTGTTGATTGTGTGAGTTTCAGGCTTTTCAAAAGTGATGTAACATTTACCTTAGATTTTCTTAACCAGAAATTTGAACCCAACCATCTTGGCTTGGAAAAGGGTACGGAATGTAATTAAACTAAAATTTGTGAATGAAAGTAGAGCAGCATTTTCTTTCTGCCAGATTGCTAATTAAATGCCACGGAAGACTTGCATATTTAATTTTAGCCATGTAAAGAATGTGCAATAGTTGGTAGGCAAGAGTTTTGGCCAGGAAAGAAATGATTATATTTTTAGATCATTTTGCTACCCCTGTTAATTTATTATTCTGTGATGTAGCTCCAGTTTAGAAATGGAAACGTTCCTTGATTTGATCCAGAGTTAGGGTTTTGCCAGGCGAAAGGGCAAAGTACTTGAGAATATCAGCAGAAGAATGATCGAAGTGATGGGCTGTGAGTTCTAGGCAGAAAGGGCAGGAGATGGAGGCAGATGAAGGTTGATAGATGAAGACAAAGTAGGGGATGTCAAGGGGCCGGAGTTCTCTGTAATAAGAACAGACGGTAGTGGTAAAAATAGAGCAAGAGAGCTGGAAGACTGGGGGTTGTGTTCAGCAGGTTTATTAAATTTGAAATAAAATCTGAAATGCAAGTGAGTTGGCCTATTTAAAAAGTTTTTTTTTTTTTTTTTGGCTTTTATGTTGTGAAACATTGGGACAAGAACAGAGAATAAGGCATGGGAATAGAAATCCATTCATTAAGTTATTCATGCATTAATGCAATAGTTACCTTGCTTAGCCCCTCCTATGTGCCAGATACTATGTTGAGTGAGGGAAATACAGTAGTGAACAAGGCAGAAAATTTTCAGTTGGTTTGACATTTATACTCTAATGGAGGAGTCAGGCACTTAACAAATAAAATATCAAGTTGTAATACGAAAAAGAAATTATAGGAAGGGCATAGAGGTATGAGGGCTGGGGAGCAAATATGATGGTCAGACAAGTGAAAGGGGGATAGAGGAAGGGGAACATGAAGGAAATGAGGGAGGAGGCTAAGTAGAGATCTGAAGAGAGGGCAAAAGAACCGCAAGTGCAAAGGTCCTGAGAGGGGAATATGCTGGGCAGGTCTATCCCTACCATGTGGCAAGCCCAGAGCAAGAGTACACACGGAAACCCACATACTCTATGCCTGATTGTGAAAAGTTATAAAATATTATAAAATGTATTCTATCATCTTCTTGACATATCAATATTGGCCTGGAAGGCCAGGTCCAGATTTAGAGTTCTTGGCCTCCTCAGAGTTCTGCACCAGAACCTGATGGTACAGGGTGAGCCAGCCCCTGGCTCCTGAGCCCAGCCAGAGGTCAAGCTCCCTTTCTCTTCCCACCCCAGAATCCTCCAAACACCACGAGGGGTCTTGCACAATGTGGATGGACACCCTGCCTACGTGTCCAAGCTCTGTTTACACAGCCCCAAACAACTGCCCTTTGATGGTTCCTTGGGACTAGAGATGTGCTCATTTGTAACACGGTCTGCTGTTGGGAAGATGGACCAGGGAAGGGGACCATGGTGGCTGTGGAAGCCAGCTCTTGGTCCCCTGGGCAGTGTATTCTGGGGTCCTGGTACCTGGATTGTGGTCTAGGTGGGGCACAGGCTCTGGATGGGCATAGCCTTTTGACCCTACTGACTCCTGCCCTATGGGGAAGAATGTGGCTATGGGGGGTATCAGAGCAGAACCCATTAAATCATGGGGCTCAGGGAAGTAGCCCCTTTTGCTGCTTGCTACCTTTGAGTGTGGCATTTTTGCTTGCTACCTTTGAGGAGGAACAAGGAAGCTATTCCTATATCCTCAGGATTTGAACTGTGATGATGGAGGAGATATGAAGCTTTCGTTCTGTAGAGGGTCTATAAAAAGTAAAGGAAGGAAGAAAAGGAAACCAGAATGTATGGAGCATCTGTGCTGAGCCTGGCTGTGTGAAATACACTTTTGCTTGTGTGATCTAATTTAATCTCCCGAATAACCCCGGGAAGTAGACTTTGCGTGCTCCTGCATAAGGTTAAGAAAATAAACTTAAGGAGGTCACTTCCGTGCCCAGAGTCACATAGCCAATGAGCCAGGGAGCACAGGCTCAAACCCAGGGCTCTGGCTATTTCTAAAGCCCATATTCTTTCCACTACAACACATTGCTTTGAAAGACCTCCTCAAAGAAAGACTTCCTCAAAGAAAGACTTCATTTGTAATGAGAGTAAAGAGCAATATAGAAAGTAAAATCTCACACTGTTCAGACATGAAAATCACGGCAGGAATCCTCATTCCAGGACTGATTCCTGTCTTGAGGTCCCCAGCTCTCCTGGGAGTCCTTGACAACAGTATGTGAGTTTATGAGCTTTAGGTATTTTTAAAAATTGAGGTAAAATTTATCTAGGGTGAAATGCACAGATCTCAGACATACAATTTGAAGAGGTGTTTTTATTTTTTTGCAAATGCAAACACTCATGTAACCACTACCCCAATCAAGACAACAGGGGGACTCTAGCCAATAATAATTTAATTGTACATTTAAAGAGAACTAAAAGAGTATAATTGGATTGTTTGTAACACAAAGGATAAATGCTTGAGGGTACGGATACTCAATTTTCATGAAGTGATTATTATGCATTGCATGCCTGTACCAAAATATCTCATGTACCCCATAAATATATACACCTACTATGTACCCACAGAAACTAAAAATACAGAAAAAATTTAAAAAGATATTTATTTCCTCAAGACACGTCCCTCGCTCCAGAAATTTCCCTGTGCCTCTTTCTAGGTAATCTCCCCACACAATAGGCAAACACTGCTCTGATTTCTATTACTATGGATTTGTTTGACCTGGTTTAGAACTTCATGTAAATAGAATCACACAGTATGTATTCTTTCTTTTGTATGTGACTTTTTGCTCAGCATGTTTTTCAAGATTTATCCATATTATTGGATAAAAGGTGTTCTCTCCTTTTTATAGCTAAGTAGTATTTCAGTGTATGAATATATCACAATTTGTTTATTCTTTCACCTATTGATAGGCACTTGGGCTCTTTTCTATTTTTGGCTTATAAATAAGGCTGGCATAAACATTCTTGTACATGTCTTTTTATGAATATGTGTATTCATTTATTTTGGGCATATATCTATGAAGGGAATTGCCTTGTTGTATGGTAGGGGTAGGTTTAATTTTTTAAGTAACTGCTAAAGTTTTCCAAAGTTGTTACAGCATTTTACACTCTTACCAGCAATGTATAAGAGTTTCAGTTGATAAGCTTCTGTAAATTTAAAATATTTAATTTTGAAATATTTTAATCATAAAAAGAAAGGATAATATTAATAACTGATAACCATGTATCTATCACTAAGATTTAACTTGTTAATGATTTCCTGTATTTGTGTCAGGTCTTAATAAGTGAAATATTACAGATATACTCAAAGGCCGTCTCCCCCATCTTCATCCTTTTCCTCCTCCCTGGAAGTTACAATCATCCTGAAGTTGCTGTGTATCCTTACCATGTCTATTTTTATTTTTATTTTTATTTGAGATGGGGGTCTTGCTCTGTTGCCCAGGCTGGAGTGCAGTGGTACAATTATAGCTCACTGCAGCCTCAACCTACTGGGCTCAAGTGATCCTGCTGCCTCAGCCTCTCAAGTAGCTAGGACTACAGGTTTGCACCAATGTACCTGGCTAATTTTTTTAATTATTTTTAATTTTTTTTTGTAGCGATCCGGGTCTTCTTTGTTGCCCAGGCTGGTCTTGAACTCCTGCCCTCAAGTGGTTCTCCTGCCTCAGCCTCCCAAAGTGCTGGGATTACAGGCGTGAGCCACTGTGCCCACCTATTTTTAGATATAGGACATAGTATATGAACCATTTTCAATATTTCAACAATTCTAAAAAAGATGATGTATTTTTCTATGACACATCTGGGCATAGTATTTGAAATAGCAGCCATCTTAATAAAAAAGTCAATTTAATACTTTAAACATTTTTATTTCCTGCTTATTGTTATTTATTGATTCTAATGTATATTAATTAGGTTGTTTACTCAAAATTTATAGAAAATGGGGAATATTAATTTTTATTTTAAAAGGTAGATTATGTGGCAGATGAAAATCTTTCAAAGCTTGGAATCCTTCAAGGGAAAGCAATGAAGAAGTTCTTGGCGGTTGTACTGGTGGGAACTGTAGAGCTAATACAACCCTCCTGTATTATGGATAAGAAAAAACCGAGTCACATACCAGTTGTGACTTGCTAGGTTTTTGCAGTTAAAGCATACCAGCTCAGGACCAGAACCAGGCCTTCTGATATCCATTCTAGAATTCTCTTGATCACCCCATGCAGCTTCCATGCCACTGAAGGCGATCAAAGATGGAGAAGGAAGAAAGGAGAGAAGAAAATGTGATGTGGAGGCGGGAGGAAGGAAAAACTTCATAAAAACACGACGGCAGAAATGTGGTATTTTAAGCAAGACGTTTGCCCTTCATATGAATGATTCTTGGATTTTTGGTGTATATTTTTGGTAGCAGTATGCGGTGAGTCACTAACAAAGAGCTTGAGACAGATGAGTTAACATAAATGGACCAAAATAAGCTGTGGTCTCTAGGCTGAGCAGCTGTTGGACAGACCTGCCAATATTTTATTTCCCAGAGACACTTGCAGTGGATTAAAGTGAGCACGCGGCAAATGCCTCATTAGAAAATTCCATACCTTTCAGAGTTTCCTGTGCCTGAGATGCGGCTTTCCAGGGGAAAGGCAAAAACTCCTAGCTATTTATTGAAGTTTCACTGTGTGGAAGAGGGTAGGCAAGAGGGGCTTGTTGGTGGAGGGATAACACAGAGAGGCAGAGGAATCAGAAAGTCTTAGGTTTTCAGCCCCAGTTGTGCCACTAAGCTGTGTAACTGAGGTGGGACTCCTTTAGCCTTCTCTGTGGTTGTTTTTCATCTTCTGAATGATGAGCTTTTATACAAAGATCTCCTAGGTCCCTTCCAGTTTAAAAATGTATAGTTCTCAGGCCAGGCGTGATGGCTCATGCCGGTAATCCCAGCGCTTTGGGAGGCCAAGGCGGGTAGATCGCTTGAGCTCAGGAGTTCGAGACCAGCCTGGGCAACATAGTGAGATCCTGCCTCTACAAAAAATACAAAAATTAGCTGGGTGTGGTGGCTCACACCTGTAGTCCCATCTACTCGAGAGGCTGAGGTGGGAGGATCACTTGAACCCAGGAGGTGGAGGTTGCAGGGAGCCAAGATTGAGTCACTGCACTCCAGCCTGGGCAATAGAGCGACACCCTGTCTCCAAAACAAAAATTATAGTTTTCATTAATTAAGTGCTAACTTTGTGCCAGGCACCTTGCAAAATGCTTTACATACTGATATTTCTCCTCCATGAAACCTTTGAGGTTGTTTCAACAGTAGTCTCATTTTCAGATAAAGAAACCGAGGCTTAAAGATAGTAAGAAACCTACCTGAAGTCACGTAGCGAGCAGTGGCAGAGCCTGGACTCAAGCCTGAGACTGTCACAGATATTTGGCTGCTTAATCACCGTTCTGCATTGCCCTTTCTTTCTAAGCAGGACATTAGGAACTCGTTGCCTTCACATCCCTCTTCCTCTCCACCATTTTATATGTTTCAAATCGTTATGCTTCAACTGGACTGTAGTGGATTTCCAGGTCCTAATTGGAGCACCTTGCTGCATCCACATATATATACTATGGACTGTGGATGAATGACATTAAAGATAGTAAATCAAATTCAGGACACACACCTCATGCAAGACAGAAATAGTGTTGAGTGGAGCACAGCAAGGCCATTTGATTCACTGGATCTTCGTCGGCTTGAGTATTTTGTACGTTCTCTCCACTGGACACTCTGTACCCAATGTTCCAACTGATTTCGCTGGCAGAGACGTCTTATGAGAAGATACCTTATTTGAAGAGCCGTTTCAATAACCTCCTCTATCCTGATTTAATATGATATGGCCATGGCAACGGCAGTAATAGTGGCAGCTCCTTTGTTCCCTTTTGTGAATGACATACAATTTAAGCACCTTTTTGCACAGCCTCTCTTCCAGTGAAGACATCAGATGTAGGGAGAACATCCTTATCTTTAATATAAAATAAAATAAATAAACTCTAAGATTGTGGGTGATGTTATCTAACTTCTGTTCAAGATGAGTCTTTAGTTGGTTACTTAAAATATTGTCTTTAAGTTCTACTGGGATATTTATGAGTGAAATCACACTTTCCATACTTCTGTCTTTGATGTCTGCCTCTATAGAAATGGAGAACTGAAACAATATCTAATAATTCAAACCAAAAAGCCAGCGCTGCTTATATTGTACTATTTGGATGTTTTAAAGTATAGAAACTTTGAGCTGAAAGGGAAGGAAATAAACATTCAATCTTCTTGTTTTAAAAACCGTTTTACTGAGGTGTGATTGACATACAAAACACACTCAACCTTCTAAGTCAAAAAGCAAGTGTTACAGTATGAAAGATTACATTAATGACCTTACTTCTTCACCTCTTCCTTTACCAGGTGACCTTGGAATTTCATCCACTGAAGAGCCAGAGTCTATTTTCCTTTCCTTTGAATCTGGGCTGGCCCTGTAACTTGTTTTGGGCAATAGAATGTGGTGGAAGTGATGGTGGGCCAGTTCCAGGTCCAGGTCTCAAAAGGCCTTGAGTGTTTTCACTTACTTCTGTGTTTGCCACGAGAACATATCCAGGTTATCCTGTTGGAAGATGGGACATGAGGAGCAGAGTTGAGTCATTCTAGTCATTGCAGCTGAGGTTATCCTAGATTAGCTGAGCTGCAGATGACTGTAAGATCCATGAGTGAGTCCAGTTGAAATCAGAAGCACTGTCCATCTGAGCCCAGCCTAAATTGCCAACCCACAGACTTGTGAACACAATAAATGGTTATTGTTTAAAGACACTGAGTCTTGGGGTGTTTTATTACACAGAATTATGTGGTCACTGATAACTGATACAGAAAGTGAGGCTTTAGTTGTCAGGAAAACATCCAGGAAGTACCTAAGGATTGGAAGGATTGCAGGAAGTAGCAAGAATCAAACTGCGATTTAACAGTAATTTGAAGTCTTTGCAAATCAGCATGGCTATGGATCCCCTGCCAATAGTTATGCTGCATGCATGTACTGAGTCTATTATTAGCAAGACTCTGTGCTAGGTAGAATACCTAGTGAATGGGAGTCCAGGAGAAGTAAAAGTAAATGGTGGACCTGATTAAGAGAGGCTGACCATGGGAATGAAAGTGGGCCACATGGCTGATGACATTTATAGTGGTAGAGAATAGTGAATTCAAGGAGCTGGGTGTGGGGCCAAGGGTCAAGGAAAGACCAGTGAAAACAAGACGAAGTTAAAGGCCCAGATAAAGAGAAAGATACTGAATCTCAGTCATGGAAGAAAATGCCTATATTAGATACAGATGTGCTGGGAAATTAACATCTCCAGCCCCAACCTGCCAGCAGCAATCCTCAACCAATGACCCCTGGTCTCTCGGCTCTTGGGTAGGATAATTCTCTTTTTTTAAAAAACATAATTTCTTTTTAAATATTTTTTTAATTCTTTTATTTTCCTTTCTTTAGAGGTAAAGTCTGAGATTTTAGTGCACCCATCACCCAAGTAGTGTACGTTGTACCCAATATGTAGTTCTTTTATCCCTCACACTCCTCCCACCCTCCCCTCTTCTGAGTTTCCAATGTCCATTATACCACTCTGCATCCCTTTGTATACCCATAGCTTAGCTTCCACTTCTAAGTGAGAACATGCGGTATTTGGTTTTCCATTCCTGAGTTACTTCACTTCTCATAATGGCCTCCAGCTCCATCCAAGTTGCTGCAAAAGACATTATTTCACTCTTTTTCTGTGGCTGAGTAGTGTTCCATGGTGTATGTATGCCACATTTTAAAAATCCATGCATTGGTTGATGGGCACTCAGGCTGGTTCCATATCTTTGCAATTGTGAATTGTGCTGCAATAAACATACATGTACAGGTGTCTTTCTGATGCAATGACTTGTTTTACTTTGAGTAAATACCCAGTAGTGGAATTGCTGGATCAAACGGAAGATCTACTTTTAGCTCTTTAAGAAATCTCATGTCTGCAATCCCAGCACTTTTAGGAGGCTGAGGCCTGTGGATCACCTGAGGTCAGGAGTTCAAGACCAGCCTGGCCAACATGGTGAAACCCCATCTCTACTATAAATAGAAAAAATTAGCCGGGCGTGGTGGCAGGCGCCTGTAATCCCAGCTACTCGGCAGGCTGAGGCAGGAGAATCACTTGAACTTGGGAGGCGGAGGTTGCAGTGAGCTGAGATCATGCCATTACACTCCAGCCTGGGCAACAAGAGCAAAACTCCGTCTCCAAAAAAAGAAAAAAAAAAGAAAGAAAGAAGAAAGAAAAAGAAATCTCCTACTGTTTTCCAGAGTTGTTCCTACTGTTTTCCAGGTTGTGCTAATTTACATTCCCACCAACAGCATATAAGCATTCCCTTTTCTTGGGTAATTCTGAAGCATGTATTTTATCCCTTCCTCATAATTTCCCCCACTGAATTAAGCTCCAGTCACCTACTGTGGCAGCTGGCTTAATAACACACCCTTTATCTGCTGTCTTCACTTCCCCACTTACTCCAAGGCCCCTAGATTCCTCTCTGTTCCTTAAACAAGCTCAGTTACTTCCTGCGCTAGGGCCTTTGTGGTTTTACCCTCTGCCTGAAATGCTCCTCTTCTGACATGTGCATGGCTGCCATCTTCTTGTTATTCAGGCTTAAAGTTCACCTTGTTAAAGAAGCCTTGCCTGGTCACCAAATCTAAAGTACCTTCATCATCTGATCTTAATTTTCCACATTGCTTTTTTCACTATCAGATGTTTTACTTATTTGTTTGCTTGTTTTCATATGTTGTTGGTAAGAGTGTAAATTAGCACAAAACCTCTGGGAAGGTTGTTGGGCAGTAACTACCAAAGCCACCTATGATCCAGCAATTTCATTCCTAAGTATATATTTAGGAGGAATGTATATTTATGTCCATCAAAAGCCATATTCAAGAATGTTTACTGCAGCTTTATTCATAACCGGGACCAAACCAAATGTTCATCAATAGGAAAATAGATAAATAAATTGTGAAATATTCAATGGAATATCCTCAATGGAATACTATACAGCAATGAAAAGAATGAGCTACTGCTATACACAACCACATGGATGAATATCACAGAAATGATGAAGAACAAAAGAAGCCTGGCACAAAAGAGAACATATTATATGATTCCACTTATATGGCATTCGAGAACAGGGAAAACTATAGAGGTAGGATTTGAAATAGTGGTTACCTCTGGACAGGAGGATATTGACTGGGAGGGAGCATGGGGTGTATATATTACATGGGTATATACATATTTAATAAGTCATTGAGGTATATACTTAAGATTTGTGCATAGTGTATGTATGTCATACATGAATAAAAATAAAAATTAAAAAATAGGTTTCATGAGAATGAGAACATTTTCAGACTTGGGGACTATTACCCGACACAGAGTGTGCCACCACTAAGAACTCGTTGACTGAGCAAATGTGTAAATATAGATTTGCTTTTTTTTCCCAAAGAATTTAAACTAAAAATTAAGTTTTATTGAATATCTACTCTATGTACTGTATATTGTAGAGGAATCAAATGTGAATCAGCCTAACAAGAAATACACGGCTGATTATATAAAATGGCAGCATGTAATAAATGCTGTCAAAGCAGATGCTAAACAAACTGTTAGCAGAGCTAGAGAGAGAGAGTCGTTTCAACTGCAGCTTTGGGGAAGTGAGAGTTGTTCTGAACCAGGAAATATTTCTGCAGGTAGGGCTGGATCAGAGTGGAGACAAAGAAAGGGGTGGCTGTGAGTGGCAGGGAAGAAAGCCTCAGAGGCAAGGAAGCCCAGGGCATGTTCAGGAAATGAAGAAATCTGAAGTAGCTGAAGTCAGGGGAGGAGAGTCTCAGGGGAGGAGAGTCACAGGAGAGTGAAAGATGAGTGTCTGTCAAAGCAGGTTGGGGCCTGCTCAGAAAAGGCCTGGACAACTTTGCAAGTAGTGTGGCCTTCACTCCATGCATAGGGATGAGGTTTTAAAGCAGAAAAGTGATTTTGAAGGGTGAATTTTTTTCCTTCCTAAATTAATATTAAAAAATACGTTATAAAAGTCTGAAAAGCCAGGGTACATAAAGGATAAAAACCTGATATTCACCACTATCACTTTCATATGTCAACTCTGAGATACTTTTTTTTTTTAAAAAAATTGAGATATAACTCAAATGCCATCAAATTAACCATTTCAGAGTATACAATTCCGTGGGTTTTAGTATATTCACAAGGTTATGGAACCATCGCCATTAATTCCAGAATATTTACATCACCTCAAAAAGAAACCTCATACCCATTAGCAGTCACTCCTCATTCTCCCTCCCCTGGCAACCACGAATCTACTTTATGTCCCATGGGTTTTTCCAGAAATACTTTCCTATGTGTATATTTATAAACACACACACACGTTTCTCTCCCCCTTCCCACATGCAAGTTGAATTGTCACATACTGCTTAATAAGCTGTGTTGACTCTGATATCAGGAATATATCAGATCCATTTGTGAAAAATTAGTCTGGGTGTCAGGGCCAAGGACGGATTGGAAAAAAAGAGGTTGGAGGCAGTGAGACTGTTTAGCAATGCCTGCAGTAGGGGAGGTTACGTGGGCCTGAACTAGGATGCCAGCAGGGTAGTGGATGCTGTGGTGAGCCTCTAAGATCCCCACTCCAGGAATGAGACACTCATTACCCCAGTGGCAGGAAATGTTGGTGACTGATGGCTTTCAGTGGAATTTCTTTCTGGGACTTGCTCTCAGCTGAAGAGACCTTACTAGCTCCAAATCACAGACTTTCTCTGGAGCAGCCCACATCTAATAATTCGTCAATGGTGCGAGGGGGTGTTACAAAGGCCCAGGCACTGTTCCCAATTTGGAAAATCAGCAAAGGTCCATCCTGGCTCCAGAGCTCCCCTTAGGGTCAACTGATACTTTTATTATGACTGTGTTGTAGCCCAACTCCTCCCTCTGCCTACTCCTGCTGCCCTTACTGCCCCATAGGTGCTGTTCCTGAGAGCATTCCTAATCAAATTCCTGTATTTAAATCTCTATCTCAGAGTCTGTTTTCCAGGGCACACAACCTGTGACAAGCAATGAGGATGGAAAAGAAGCTGGCGTATGTGGATGTCTTTCTGAAGCAATTGACTAGATGGAGCTTGGTGACTGATTAGCTATATAGGGTGGAAGGGGTGGAAGAGCTAAAGAGAAGAAACAAAACACACACACACACATGATTTACATATGTACTTATATATATGTAATATACACACACACATATACATCATATACATGTAAATATATCCTTAGGCACTTGCTCAGTGTCTACTTTGTGCCTGAAACAGTTCTGGCAGCTGAAGATGCAAGATGGATTAGATCCGGTTCTTTTATTTAGAGAATCCACAGTGTTTTAGGGCAGAGAGTAAACAAGTAATTCCAATACAATTCGTTGAGCATTATGTTAAACTATAGGGAAAGGTGATGAGAAAATATTAAGGGAGTGAAGGCATTGCCAAGGTTTTAAGCTGGGGTGTTTTGAAAGATGGTAAATCCATCATGTGACATGGAGAATGCAGATGAGAGAGAATGTAATTAGAAAATAAAAATCGAGGTTAATATGTTCCCTGAAAAGTTAGAAATATGGGTTTGGAACTCCTGAGAGAGGTCATGAATAGAAATATATATTTAGGTGGTGTCTATATAGAAATGATAGCTAGTGCCTCAGGAGTGGATGAGATTGTCCAGGGAGATCAAAGAAGATGAAAACTTGAGAAAGATCTACAGCAGAGCTGATGTCTGAAATCTGCCCACCCTATGCCAACACCCATGGCAGACGTAGCTAAATTACCACACAGCCTCAGAATCCTTCTCAATGCATGACTTCAGGCAGCTATTACCAATAGATCCACTTACCATTTCTGGTTTCTTCTCAAAGTCTAGGTGTAGTGACCAGGAACAATGGCGGGCCTCCAGGGAAAAGTGAGCTGCTTGGTTATTAGGAGTGCAGAGAGCACCCAGGAAGGTAGGAGAAGTACTAGGAGAGCAGAGGATCCCAGAAGGAAGAAAAGTGTTTCAAGAAGAAGGAAATAATAACATTAGTCAAATGACTAAGTTGAGGACTTGAGGAGACAATGGAATTTGAAGTGGAGGGCAGTAGTGACCTTACAGAGAACAGGTCCACTAAAGTGGTTTTGAGAGAAGTGAAATGACAAAAGTTTGAGAATGGGAAGTATTTCCAAGTGCTCATCTATAAATGGACTGCTTGAGCCCATGTTGGCAAGCTTGTTGAAAATGCATTTCCAGGACTCACCCCAGAGCCATGACCTCAGGCTGTTCTCTGCCCCCCAAGGAACACTTTGATCAGGGTTATCTGCTACCGGTGGGTGCTCACTGTAGCAGATGCTCTTAGTGTCCCTTTTACATGCATTCAGCACTCACTATTCAGTATATACTGCTTGCTTCACAAGGAAGCACATGTGATGTCTCTGCCCGAGGACTTTCCCTGGCCACTGGAGCATGCTTGACCTGCTGCCAGAAATGCCAGAGTTGATTTCCCAGGGATTAGCCCACAACCAGCGAAGGACATGAGTTGTTGGAGAAATCAATCAGCTTTTTCACGTCTCAGGTGGAACAACTTGGGGCTTGTTTTATACAGAAGTTTTATCCCAGAAGTCTCCAGTAGGATTGAGCCTGTGGCGCCCAGAGTAGGCTCATGAACACACTGTATTGGCTTCCTTCTTTTTTTTGACTTACTTCCCTATTCTCTTTGCATTTCCTGAGGTCACCTCTCACCTAAGCTATTAGTACCCATATCCCTGTCTCAGAGCTGGCTTTTGGGGGAACCCAAAACTATGATACTTACCGTCTTATTTCTTCTTCCTGGGCACACGGAACAACTACATATTCCAGTGGTAGTACGTATTGCTGTCGGTTGAGCCTATGTGACTGAAGTCATGGGCAGAGTGATCGATGTCACCTTCAGGCCTGGCCACAAAACTCCTGGTGTGATAATCCCTCTCAATCTTTCTTTCCTATGGTGATTTCAGAGGCCATGGGTTTAAGATGGCAGCCTCACAAGATAGCAGCTGATTTCTGAGTCACTAATTGGAAGACACCTACTAAGGAGAGCTGCCCCACCTGTACCAGATTTTGACATTAATGAATGAGAAATAAACCTTTACTATGTTAAATTGCTGAGACTTTTTTTTGTTACAGCAGCTACCATTAATTACCCTCATTAATACACCTGCCCTGTCAGCCTTCCTTCACCCAGTTCTCCAAAATTACTGCTCTTTATCCTCCTTTAAACGTTTCCATTCCCTCAGTGTGACTGACACAGTCATGGGTTTAACTGATTAAAGTGTACTTAATTGTAAACAATAACTACCAGATTTGCTTCTGAAAGATAGTTGTGTTTTCAAATGGATTCCTGATTGGTAGGATCTATGAAGGAGATGTTTCCAAATATTGGATCCTTCTTGGTGTCCTTCCACCATCATTGACACAGCCCACTCCCAGCTTGAACTGTGTTGTCTAGAAGCAGAAGAAAGAGGGGTCAGCACTTCTAAGCTGTTGCTGACCTCTGGCCTCTGCAATCAACTCCAGACTCCTTAACCTGGTATTTCCATGTGTCCGCAGTTGGCCCCAACTAACATTCCTACCCTGATCCTCCCCACCCCACTGCCAGTGAAACCTCTTAAATCATACTGCTCGCAACAGGGTGTGCTTTCCTACCTTGCCAGCTTGG